>NC_000007.14:71597688-71900718 GCF_000001405.40 Homo sapiens
CCATGTCACACAAATGCAGTGTTGGAGAACCAGGAGGCCAAAGAGCTTTCCTGGCAGAGGTTGTGGGACTGGCCCCATCTCTGGGTTCCCTGGCAGCCGGTGCTTCGTGATTACCTTGCTTGTCAATGTGGGACCTGTGTAGTGTCGTCTGCCCCAAGTTCTTCTCAGTGCCCCTCAAAGTCCTCATCCTACTGATCTTGGCATTCACTTTTTCTCATGATCCCCTGCTCCCTGCTGTAATAACACGGTACTTTCATTTCCTTTTTTTTTTTTTGAGACGGAGTCTCACTCTGTCACCTAGGCTGGAGTGCAGTGGCGCAGTCTCGGCTCACTGCAACCTCCACCTCCCAGGTTCAAATAATTCTCTGCCTCAGCCTTCCGAGTAGCTGGGACTACAGGCGCACGCCACCATGCCCGGCTAATTTTTGTATTTTTAGTAGAGATGGGGTTTCACCATTATGCCCAGGCTGGTCTCGAACTCCTGACCTTGTGCTCTGCCTGCCTTGGCCTCCCAAAGTTCTGGGATTACAGGCATGAGCCACCGTGCCCGGCCGGTAGTTTCATTGCTTATTATGATAGTAGAAGTCATTTTCTAATTCAGAACACAGGAACAAAACTCATATTCTAGAAGAGATGTGTCACTCTGATAATCCTGGTTGACTCCCTCAAAAGCAGCGGAGTGTGTCATTAACATGCTGCAGTTGACAATGGGTCATCAGAGATATAGGCAATGCACCCATATAGGCATGGATCTCACATATGTGAAGATGAAATAGCTGTGTTTAGTATTTCTCTTACCTGGATTTAGTGGTAGTTTTTTGTTTCCAGTGTATTTTGGGGCTTTGTTTGGATGTCTTTTTATTCTTTTTTAATTTAGTAGATTTCAGATAGAAAGACCTAGGAGATCCATCCATAGGAATGAGATGTCTCAACAAACTATCTAGAAATATTCTAACATGGACTTGAGATGAAAAGAATCTATGGAAATGCCTAGACTTCAATCGGCATGCAAACATTTATTGAGCGTCTACTAGGTGCTGGCACTCTGCCAGGCCTGGGGTAATCAGAGGTCTCTGAGTTGTGGAGACATTAAGTGACTAAGCACACAGAAATGGGCAGTAGCAAATCGGGTAAATGATCAGAAGGAAAAGTACTGAGTGCTATGAGAAAGAACGGGGGGGATTGCGTGGTGGGTGGTGGGGGTGGTGTCGGTGGTCTTAGTTGACCTGTCTAGGGAATTGCATGGAAGCATGGCTTGAAAGTGGAAGAAGATAGCCAGGCACAGTCCAGGCAGAGAGCAGGACTCATAGGGGCCTCAAGGTCTGGAAAGAAATGGGTTTGTTGAGTTCCAGGACCTGGGGAAGGCCTGTAGCTGAGCAGAACAGTGCAGGCTGAGAGTGGTGAGGTTGGAAAAGCAGGAAGAAGCTCAATCTTACAGAGCCTCATGGGACACCATGAGTCTTGGGAACTTTATCTCAACTTTAATGAGAAATCATTGAAGGGAGAACCACATGATCCCACATGGGTTCAGAACAGACTTGGTTAGGGACAGAGCCTAAGAGGAGACTGACTTGGTCCAATTGCATTGGGAAGCCCTGTATTTAAGGGCTTTGCTTTCTTTTATTTAAAGGTTTGTTGCCACCCTCTGACAGTGAACCTCTAAGGGTCTCTGGAGGATGACTGCTTGGGCAAAGACAGCCAGAATTGAGGTCTGAGCAGGGCCTGTGAGCCTCACTTGCTGTGAAAGTGTGGTCTTGGCTAGTGTCTCCAGCAGCCCCAAGTTTGAGTCTTGTTCCACCCCGCATCATTCTGTGTCCTCTTAAAAAATATCCTTCCCTCTACTGGAGCAGCTCTGAATACCAGTCAGGGACCAGCTGAATTTTAAGCCTAGGCTGTTTCTTCTGCCTGAGTTGAGGACCCTAGAGGGCACTTGGGGGTCACCCATCAGAGCAGAATTTCTCACCTAGACATTGATATCTGGTGGGTAGAGGCCAGGGATGCTTCTAAACATCCTACAACACACAGGATACCCCCCCCACCCCACCTTAAGAAATTACCTAGCCCAAAATGTTGACAAACATGCAATAATAATTGCACTATTGCAATTGTGCAGTCATAATTGCACTGTTGACAAATATGCGATAATAATTGCACTATTGCAATTGACATTTTGGGCTAGGTAATGTCTTATTGTGGGGTAGAGGGTATCCTGTGTGTTGTAGGATGTTTAGCAGCATTTCTGGCCTCTACCCACCAGATAACAGCCATGCCTCACCCCCCAGCCAAGTTTTAACAACCAAAATATCTTCAGACATGGACAAATATCCCCCAGGAGAGAGGACAAAGTCATCCTTGCTTGGGAACCATGGATTTAGAACATGACTTCCCAAGAGGGTAATACGCCCCCCACCTCAAGGAGATAGAACATTAGTTTTGGGGGGCCCAAAATCTTAGATGTTATAGTGGTTTGTAGTTGACCAAAGGAGCCACAGTGTATAAGCAGATGTACAGCAGATCCATGGTATTGAAATTTCATGGGAAGGAAGGCAATTAGGGAAGGAAAAAAAAAAAAAGTCTAAAGGCTCCTGGGCAGGAATAGGGGGATGATAATAAAAAAAAAATAAGAAAGATTGATTTAGACCAAGAGAGAGCCAGTTTTTCCTGGAGGATAGGAAACTGGATATTGAACTGGGGAACCAGAGGGTACATTGGGAGGATCAGGCAGGGGATTAGCAAGGCACGGAAAACCAGAGACTCATGGTCATAATGACACCTAACTGTAATCATTCCCCACGTGCCCGGTACCGTGCCCAGTGGTCTGAGTGCTCACAGCAACACCATGATGCAGCTGCTCTTATTTATCTCCAACTTTATAGATAGGAAACAGACAGACACAGATTAAGCAATCAGCAGAGCCGTAATCAGATGTCCAAGTCCAGAGCCAGTGCCCTTTGCCATGATGGGTCAGGACTGACCTGTGTCCCTGGAGGAATGGGACCTAAAGGAGCTGATTAGAGGGGTTTGTACCTTGGAGAGTAATTTTGGTTTTTTGTTTGTTTGTTTGTTTTTTCACTCTTTTTTTTATTTTTCCATAAGTTATTGGGGTACAGGTGGTGTTTGGTTACATGAGTAAGTTCTTTAGTGGTGATTTGTGAGATCATGGTGCACCCATCACCCAAGCAGTATACACTGCACCATATTTGTTGTCTTTATCCCTCTCCCCACTCCCACTCTTCCCCCCAAGTCCCCAAAGTCCATTGTATCATTCTATGCCTTTGCATCCTCAGAGCTTAGCTCCCACGTATCAGTGAGAACATACAATGTTTGGTTTTCCGTTCGTGAGTTACTTAAGTTAGAATAATTGTCTCCAATCTCATCCAGCTCACTGCAAATGCTGTTAATTTATTCCTTTTTATGGCTGCGTAGTATTCCATCATATATATATCATATATATATGATATATATATCTACCACAGTTTCTTTATCCACTCGTTGATTGATGAGCATTTGATTGGTTCCATGATTTTGCAATTATAAATTGTGCTGCCGTAAACATGCATGTGCAGGTATCTTTTTTGAATAATGACTTCTTTTCTTTGGGTAGATAACAGTAGTGGGACTGCTGGATCAAATGGTAGTTCTACTTTTAGTTCCTTAAGGAATCTCCACACTGTATTCCACAGTGGCTGTACTAGTTTACATTCCTTGGGGAGTGATTTGGTATAATGGATTAGTAGAGAGCAGGGGAGATAGGACGGAGACAGAGCTGGGAAGAGAGCAAAGGGAACACAGGAAAGGGGAGGGGGTGAGTTGGTAGAAAACTGGCCACCATACCTGTAATCCAAGCACTTGGGAAGCTGAGGTGGAAAGATCATTTGAGGACAGGAGCTTGAGACCAGCCTGGGCAACACAGGAAGACCCTGTTTCTAAAAAATATGTATATATAATTAGCCAGGCATGGTAGTGCTCGCCTGTGGTCCCAGCTACTTGGGAGACTGGAGCAGGAGGATCAGTTGAGCCCAGGAGTTCAAGGCTGTAACAAGCTAAGATCACACCACTGCACTCCAGCGTGGGCATCAGAGCAAGACCCTGTCTTTGGGAAAAAAATAAAATAAAATAAGAAAACTGAAAATTGGGAAATTACCCAAGAGGGAAGAAGGAGGCAGGGGGTTGAGAGTCCAAGAAGCATGGAATCAATCAACCTCAGAATTTCAGTGAAATCATGATATGACTTTCTCCTGGTGCCTTTGTGCGGATCTTCCCTCTCCTCTGGCTGCACAGTGAGATGGGAACAGACTGGGCTGAGCAGCTGCAGATGGAGTCTTTCCAGCTGACCCGTGCAAGACTGGCCTTTGCCATGGCCTTTCACACTTGCTAAGTGAATCAATATGCTCCCGACTTCCCCCGGGGCCTGTCTTAACTGACTTCTTTCTTGTCCTAAACTTATGATCTTTTCAGGAAGGAATTTTACGACCATCCCTAATTTTAAAAAATCAAAATGCGTAGAGTATTTCTCACCCAAACTTTTCATCTACAAAGAGAAATGATGCTATTTTATGCCATCTTTTGACAAATATTGCTCTCTTCTCAGACCCCAAATGTTGGCTCTTTTTATCTTTAGTCTGTGCTGAGGAAGGGCTTTAGATTCCAGTCCTGTTGCTGCAGAGGCAGCTCCCAGCTCCCAGCACACACCCCAAAACAGATTGACCCTCCTTAACTCTCCTTTGGTAACCTAGGAAGCCAATAAAAGCTGTATCTTTGATGTCTCGGCTTTGAAAAAGAATTGCTGTAATGTGGCGTAATTGGAGCATTTCAAATTAGGAATGGAATTATGATAATTGACTCTACGTGTTACTGTCTCTAAGATTGTTCTTGCACACAGATTCGGTTTTGCTTCTGCACCCTCTCTCTCTCTCCCTCTGCAGCTTCTGGGGGATACACAGGGCCTGTAGCCATGTGGCAGGGGAGGTGACAGGCCAGATCATTTTCAGGCTCCCAGATTAATTGTAGATTGTCAGAGGGCCCCAAAAGTTCATGTAGTGTAAACAGTGAAATATCTGTGTGAGTTGTCAGGTGACCTGGGCTTAAACTCCTCCAGTGACAAGACACTCAACTCCTTCACTACTTCTGCCACTGGACTGATGGGAACACTGGAAATAGTGGATACACCTGGTACTATGCCAAGTGCATATACTGGGTACTGTGCCGAGTCCACACACTAAATGTTATGCTAAGTGCATATACCAGGTACCATGCTAAGTGCATACACTGGATACTATGCTAAGTGTATATACCAGGTCCTATGCTAAGTGCATACACTGGATACTGTGCTAAGTGCATATACCAGTTACTATGCTAAGTGCATACACTGGATACTATGCTAAGTGCATACACCAGGTACTATGCTAAGTGCATATACCAGATACTATGCTAAGTGCATATACCAGATACTATGCTAAATGCATATACCAGGTACTATGTTAAGTGTATACACTGGATATTATGCTAAGTGCATATACTAGATACTATGTTAAGTGCATACACTGGATACTGTGCTAAGTGCATATACCAGTTACTATGCTAAGTGCATACACTGGATACTATGCTAAGTGCATACACCAGGTACTATGCTAGTGCATATACCAGGTACTATGTTAAGTGCATACACTGGATACTATGCTAAGTGCATACACTAGATACTATGTTAAGTGCGTACTCTGGATACTATGCTAAGTGCATATACCAGATACTATGCGAAGTGCATATACCAGGTACTATGTTAAGTGCGTACACTGGATGCCATGCTGAGTGCATACACTAAGTACTATGCTGAGTGCATATGCTGGATACCATGCTAAGTGCATACAGCAGGTACTGTGCTACGTGCATATGCTGGATACCATGCTAAGTGCATACACCAGGTACTATGCTAAGTGCATACACTGGATACTGCTAAGTGCATGCACTAAGTACTATGCTAAGTGCATACACTAACTACTATGCTAAGTGCATATGCTGGATACCATGCTAAGTGCATACACTGGATACTATGCTAAGTACATACACCAGGTACTATGCTAAGTGCCTACAGTGGATACTATGCTAAGTGCATATGCCAGGTACTATGCTAAGTGCATACACTGGATACTATGCTAAGTGCATACACCAGGCACTGTGCTAAGTGCATACACCAGGTACTGTGCTAAGTGCATACAGTGGATACTATGCTAAGTGCATTTACCAGGCACTATGCTAAGTGCATACAGTGAATACCATGCTAAGTGCATATACCAGGTCCTATGCTAAGTGCATACAGTGGATACTATGCTAAGTGCACATACCAGGTCCTATGCTAAGTGCCTACAGTGGATACTATGCTAAGTGCATATACCAGGTCCTATGCTAAGTGCATACAGTGGATACCATGCTAAGTGCATATACCAGGTACTATGCTAAGTGCATACAATGGATACTATGCTAAGCGCATATACCAGATACTATGCTTAGTGCATATGCCAGGTACTATGTTAAGTGCATACAATGGATACTATGCTAAGTGCGTATACGAGGTACTATGCTAAATGCATACACCAGGTACTATGCTGAGTGCATACACTGGATACTATGATAAGTGCATTCACCAGATTTTATGCTGAGTGCATACAGTAGATACTATGCTAAATGCATACACCAGGTAGTGTGCTAAGTGCGTACACCAGTACTATGCTAAGTGCATGCACTAGGTGCTGTGCATAAACCAGGTACTATGTTAAGTGCTCATTGCCTTATTTCATTCTTAGAACTGACCAATGAACTATTATTCTTATTCTTATTAGCATTTCACAGGCAAGGAAGCTGAGTCATGGTGCTTGCAACAGGAGGAGCCAGATTTGAACTCAAGCAGTGTGACCCAGCAGGTTCAATTAACTACCATGCGATACTACCCTATAATTTATCTCACTCAAGCTTTAATACAATGCTTCCCTGTGGCTCTTATACAGGGCATTGGTTCTGTTCGCTGGAGCTTTATAGCACAAGCCCAAGTCCTCTTCTGTACAACATCCTTCAGATAACTGACCACAGTTGCATGTCTCCTCCTCCTTCAGAGTCTTCTACAGGGTAAATGTACCAAGTTCCTCACTGGTCCTCTAATCTAATGCTTCAAGTCTCCTGCTGTTGAGGTTCTTCTCCTGTCTTGCTCAGAAAAGAACACACCCATCATATGTGGCAAAGAGCAGAGTGCCCCCATTCTAGGACAAGGGTGTGTCCTATCCATTTTTCTGGAAGCTACACTTAAAGCCTGAAATCGTATCACATTGTGGACAGAGTGAATCACTGCACCTGTTTTCCCACAAACAAATAAATGCTTTGGGGCTGTCCCTTCAGAAACTACCAGTGAAACTACATTGAGAACACTTAATTCAAGGATATCTTGAAAGCTGGACACATTCTTCACCCTCAAACTTGGCTCGCTCTTGAATACTATGCAGTTAAGGAAAATTACACCGGATGCCAGCCTTCCGTTTATTTATTCTTTTGCTCATGTATTCAATATTTACACAGCAAAGGAGTGCCTACTAGGTTTCCGACAGAGGACTGGGTTCCAGGCATAGAACTGGCCAACCACGATGGCTCACACCCATAATCTCAGCACTTTGGGAGGCCGAGGCAGGCGGATCACAAGGTCAAGAGATCGAGACCATCCTGGCCAACATGGTGAAAGCCAATCTCTACTAAAAATACAAAAATTAGCTGGGCGTGGTGGCGTGCGCTTGTAGTCCCAGCTACTCAGGAGGCTGAGGCAGGAGAATCACTTGAACCCAGGAGGCGGAGGTTGCAGTGAGACAAGATAGCACCACTGCACTCCAGCCTGGCGACAGAGTGAGACTCCATCTCAAAAAAAAAAAAAAAGAAAGGTGAAGAACTTATCAGTTTTGTTCTCAAAGGAGAAAACAAACAACTCAATAGTTACAATAAGGTGTCATTAGCAAAATAAAACTGATGTGCCCAGGATAATCTGGGGTTAGAGAAGAGGACTCCAGGGTGCAGAATGAATTTTGACTCTGATGGTGTTTCAAGAGAGAGAATACATAGGAAACAGAAATTCATTTAGCCTAAGGAAGGCTTGATCTAGCCCTAACCCGAATCTACATCATAGCTAATAGCACAGTGAATGAGGCTTACCCATTTGATTGATTGATTGACTGAGACAGGATCACCCACTGTAGCACAGTGAATGAGGCTTACCCATTTGGTTGATTGATTGACTGAGACAGGATCACCCACTGTCACCCAGGCTGGAGTGCAGTGCTGTGATCTCAGTTCACTGCAACCTCTGCCTCCTTGGCTCAAGGGATCCTCCCACCTTAGCCTCACAATTAGCTGGGACTACTGGTGTGTACCACCACACTCAGCTAATTTTTGTATTTTTTTTTTTTTTTTTTTTTGTACAGACAGGGTTTCATTATGCTGCCCAGGCTGGTCTCAAACTCCTGGGCTCAAGCAGTCTGCCTGCCTTAGTCTCCTGAAGTGTTGGGATTACAGGCGTGAGCCACTGCGCCCAACCACTTACCCATTTAAATGCTTATGGACTGTGACTATTTTGAAAAGAGTGCAACACTCTTTCGAAAGTTACTCACCCCATTCCGAATCTGTCACCTTTGGTGGTCAGCATGCTTAGATGAACAGCGCTTCACACAAGGAGTGTAAAGGAGGCTCTATAACTCTTGGAGTGACACCTTTTTGTGAAACTGTCCTTTCTCCTATCATCTTCCATCTGAGTGAGTTCCTGTTTTTACTGACCTGTAATAGCATCTGCTCTTCTCTTGTGGCAGCAACAGCACACTTCCATCTTCACATATGTCAAGGTTCTTGCACGTGGTACCCAGTAGTCTGATTAGACTGTCTTATCTCTTCGTGGGCCAGATACCCACCTTCATCATCCTCTGTTCTCCTAGTATATAAACAGGCCTGTGATGAGTGAATATTTCTTAGGAGGTCCTTGGTTTCGTTGGGTTTACTTCTGTCAGCATTAGCCATCATCAAGTCTTGTTCCTGCCCACATATGTGCTGGCAGGTATTCACATACACATGTGGGAATCCCATCTTGATTTTTTCTGCTCATAATTCTGGATCACAGTTCTCTACAACTGGATGAGATACACTGATATATTCAAGAAGCCATATGCGGTATGAATGCAGTGTACAGTAAATCTGAAAGACAAGGGTAGTGGGGGTGGAAAGTAAAGCTACACAGTAATTTGGTGGTCAGAAACAAATGGCCCATCCCCACAAGATCACCTTCTTGGATAGATGCCTTGTTAAAATACTAATTGATACCAGGAGTGTTGGCTCACACCTGTAATCCCAGCACTTTGGGAGGCTGGGGTGGGAGGATTGCTTGAGGCCAGGAGTTCAAGGCTGCAGTGAGCCATGGTCATATCGCTGCACTCCAGCCTAGGTGACAGAGTGAGACCCTACCTAAGAGAAAAAAAGGAAAATACAAATTGATACCCAAGATAGCGATATGGTGAGAAGCCCACTAAAAATACTTCTAATACTGCCTGAGAAACTAAAGGAGTTCATCATCAGTTCACTAAAGAATTTTGTTTGAATTCTTGACTTCAGTAAATTGATGATGAAAGAATATGAATAAACTTAAAAAATCTAAAGCCTGTGAGAACATTTTGTAACACAAAACAATAAAGTCGTAAGAGTTTAAAGGTGGATCTAATTATTTCTTACTTGAAACACATAGAAAAGTTGGAAGACAATTTTTACAAATTCTCAATAAGATAGAGGAGGGCTTTATACCTATTAATCATAAACAGGGTGGCAGGTAATAAGCAAGTGGAATAAAACTGTTAGAAAACATGACACGTACTATTTGTTTGTTGTTAATTTCCACTGAAGAGCAAATTAACACTGAAAGATATAAAGAGATAAACTCAAGAAATACTGCTGAAGGAAAATGAGAAAAGATGACCTGCCAGGGTTGTAAGACATAAAGATATAATCTATGAAAAACATAATTTCCCAAAGAAAAGGAGAAAAAAAACCCCACAGATTAAAAGAGGAAAACAATCTATCCCTTGATTTTCACTTTTCTCTTGGTACTTTCTCAATAGAGTAAACCAAATGTGAACCAGACTTCCTTCTTCCTTCTTGATGGTTAACTTCCTTGGGATGCACACTGAACTAAGTTAAGATAGGATAAGCTATGCTACAGTAACAACTTAGTCCTGAACTTTCAGTTGCCTCACACACAAAACTTATGTCTCATACCTGTAAAATCCAGTGAGAGTTGAATGACTCTCTAGAGCAGTTTCCTTCCAGGTGGTGACTCAGGGATCCAATCTGCATCCCACTTACATGACATAGGGAGCCCATATTCTGTTTTCCCCAGGAAAGTTCTGAATTATTCCTGTTGAGCTGACATAATGATCACTAATACCTCTTTTTACTCTCAGAAACGTGCATGTGAGTACATAAATCATATAGTCATCTGAGAGTTTCACCCCCTGAATCTGGCTTTCAGGTCACTGCAGCAGGAAAGAAAGAATGGAGACTCATGGGCCAGTTTTGTTCTGAAATGCTTTGATCCTGGAGTGATGGATACTGTTTCCCACTTGCCACTCATGCAGTTGCTGGCTCCATCCATCTACCAGGGGTTGGGGGAGGGGGAAGGGACAGGACTTGGGTTGGGATGGAGGTGTCACGTGGACAGTCAGTGAGCAGTAAATGTCAGGATCACAATAACCTTAGTAAAAACCAAAATAAAATGAAAAGTGTTACACAAATACAAGTAGTATCAACATAATGAAATTCTCAAGTACCATCATATAATTTTGAGCTCTGCTATTGTAACAGCAAAGGGAGACCTGAATTGTGCTTGGTTTCCTCCACTGTCTGGCCAGGTTCATAGCAAACACCATCTCATTTTTTATCCCAGCATTTGAGGAGTAGTCAGGTACCAGTGGAGAGCTGAAAGTGGAGGACTGGGGTCATAGAAGACCCTTTGTGAGTAGTGAGGGCTTGAAGAAGAGACCGAAAAACCAGCAACTGGAGATGAACTGGGAATCCTTTATTATTAATAATTATTATTATTAGAAATGGGGTCTTGCTCTGTCACCTAGGCTGGAGTGCACTGGTGCAATCATAGCTCACTGCAGCCATGAGCTCCTAGGCTCAAGTGTTCCTCCCACCTCAGCCTCCCAAGTAGCTGGGGACTATAGGTGCTTACCACCACTCCCAGCTAATTTTTTTTTTTTTTGGTAGCGATGGGGTCCTGTTTTGTTGCCCAGACTCATCTCAAACTCCTGGGCTCAAGTGATCCTCCCATTACAGCCTCCCAAAGTACTGGGATTCCAGGTGTGAGCCATTGCACCCAGCCATCTTTTACTCTTCCTGATCAAAGCCATTCTAGCATGCTCTGCCTGTCTAAGTCTTCTCACTCAGGATCCACATCACAGCCTTGATGTCTATACCAAAGGATGTGCCTTTTATCTATTTCCCCGGCATTGGTTCGTTTATTCTGAATCTTTTGTCTGGACTTGTCTGTGTGGATTATGGATTCAGAATGAGTGAGCATTTGAGAGGGAGTCGGGTACCATAGACCTGAAAGATGAGGACTGAGGTCACCAACGTTCCTTTTTGTAAGCCGTGAAGGCTTGAAGAAGAGGCCAAAGAACCAGCCACTGTGGAGGTGAAGAAAGAAAGCAAGTTCAATGCATCAGGCGAATGGGAGTTGCAACAAGAAAGTAGACATTGTTGTTCCACCATTCTTAACTCACAGCAAACTGAGAAAACAGAGAGAGAGAAAGAGAGAAATAATTTTTTTCATTTTTATTATTTAAAATTTGTTTATGGGTACATAGTAGGTGTATATATTTATGGGGTACATGAGATGCTTTGATACGGGCATGCAATGCATAAAAATCACATTATGGAGAATAGGATATCCACCCCCTTGAGCATTTATCCTTTGAATTACAGACAATCCAATTACATTCTTCAAGTTATTTTAATGTATACTATATGTATATAGTGTGACTATATACTATGTACATAATATGAGTATATGGTGTCACCATATAGTCAATAATAACTTAATTATTACTAAGTTATTATTAATAACTATCTAATTGTGCTATTAGTAGGTTTTATTCATTCTTAAGAGAAAGAATTTATATAGCTGATGTGAAAAGTATAATTAGGCTCAATCGATAAATATTTATTCATCAATTATATGATGAGTGAATGAACACATATAATTAATAGACATTTTTTAGAACTTTAATACCTCCCAAAAAGAGAATGTAATGTCTTTTTAACTGTGTCCATGAATCAGTCACAAAAATTGATCTACTAAGCTGCAAAATTTTCATAGACCTTAAAAAGTAGAAAATTTACAGACCTTATTCTCCGATCACAATATAATAAAATCAAAAATTGATAATATAGAATTAAATAAAAAGACCCCTGATGGAAAGATATCCTAGCCATTAAAATGGTCCTAAATGACTAGGTGTGGTGACTCACACCTGTAATCCCAGAACTTTGGTAAGTCAAGGTAGGAGGACCGCTTGAGGTCAGGAGTTTGAGACCAACCTGGGCAACGTAGCAAGACTCTATCTCTTTAAAAAATAACTGGGCATGGTTGTGCACATCTGTAGTCTCAGGACTAGCTACTCAGGAGGCTGAGGTGGCAGGATCACTTGAACCCAAGGCTGCAATGAGCTAGGATCATACTACTGCACTCCAGCCTGGGTGACAGAGTGAGACCCTGTCTCTCACTAAAAGAAAATAAAAAATTTTCCCTAAATACAGCATTCTGGGGCAAAGGAGAAAACCAAAAATATCCTAACAGGCTGCTAAAAAATTATTGCCAGTGACAACAATATTTATCAGAATCCAAGGAATGTTGCCAAAATAATGTCCAAAGGGAAATACACAGCTTTTAATGTGGTCATTATTATTACATGAGATTCTGGAGAAATCAGGAATATTCAATCTCCATCAAAAAGGCATGATGCGGTGGCTCATGCCTGCACTTTGGGAGGCTGAGGTGAGCGGATCACCTGAGGTCAGGAGTTCAAGACCAGCATGGCCAACATGGTGAAACCCCTTCTCTACTAAAAATATAAAAATAAGCCAGGCATGGTGGCATGTACCTGTAATCCCAGGTACTCAGGAGGCTGAGGCAGGAGAATCCCTTGAATTTGGAAGGCGGAGGTTGCAGTGAGCCGAGATCACGCCACTGCACTCCAGCCTGAGCGGTGACAGAGCGAGACTCCATTTCAAAAAAAAAAAAAAAAAGTCCACTGGCCACATAACCTCTGAGCTTCTGTCTGATCTTTTGTCTCCACTGTCTTCTTTATGCTTCACATCCCATTCATCCACAGGTTTCCCCTGGGCTCCTTCAGATTATCTCGCAGCAAAACCTACTCTCTACTCCAGTGCCTTCTTTCCCCGAGACCATTATTCCTCCCCACCATGGGATCTTCCAGCTGTCTCTTCTTGCTAAGGCAGATAGAGTCCTGTTGTTCCCTCATGAGAAACATTGGTTATATCCCTCTACTGTCTGATTGAAATCTGTCCTCTGGGGTGGGCACTCAAGGCCCATTCCACGTGGACCCCATCCAACTCACTGGATTTTAAGATCCAGCCCAGTGTTAGCTGACTTTTAGTTACCAGTCATCATTCCCTCCATCCTGGGACTCTTCCTCTGCTTATATTTGATTTGACCCTGTGATATCACAGAGAAACAAATATCAGTTGCTTTGTCTTCTTCCCAATAGCTTATACGCTTCTGTGCCCTGACCCACTTCCTTTAGGAATCTCTCTGCTCCTCCTCTTCCTCACTGTGCCCCTGCAGAAGGTCTGGAGCACACAAATCCAAGATAAATGTTTCCTTGATGACAAAGAACTCTTGTCACGGTCTAGAGCAGTCATACATCCAAAAAAAACACGCACTTGCATGGTGGCATGCACACATTAAACTCCTAGGAAAATGGAGAAATTATGTATTATCTAGTGCCATGAAAATGCTAAAGGAATTTGGACAAAGCGGAAGACCATGGTGTAGAATAACCTCGGATGCCCTGATGTTGCAAAATGGAAAGCATTGTGTCAGTAAAGGGATGGATGGAAGAAAATGACCTCAAGCAGAGAGAGAAAGTGAGTATTGGGAGTGTGTGGTACAGCTTAGGGGCCGCCTTATCTGGAGAGGAAAATCTCCAATGAGAAGCACAGGAGATGAGCTTGGATGATCCACACACTTACCACCCAGCCACAATTTGGGTGCAAGTTGGTGCCATCTCTTGGTTGAAGCAATCGGCATCATTCAGGCCAAAATAGATGTCTTTGTTCTTTTTGTTCTTGGAAACCCTGCTCAGTTTGTATTGACAATGTACATTAAATTCAAATGGAATGTTCCCCCAGTGCAGAAGATTTTTTCAAACTTAGACTATGAGAGCAAAGGAATTTGAGGTCACACTTGAGTTAGTGTGAGTAGGAGAAACAGGACATTGACCCGAATGCTTTGGATTTTTTGTTTGCATTTGGATTCTATGCCTTTGGATTTTCATCCCACATTGCACTGTGGCTAACTCTAGCACAACCACATACCCCATCTGAAGAATTGGGCATATGGAAATAGACCTTTAGACACTAAATATTTGTCATTTTATATTGTGCATAATTACTCTGCCTGCATTGCAACGTGGACCACCAGCATCCAGCTCCACGCTCTTCGTGCATTGGGTCGAAATTAGTTAAAGGAATGCGTAAAGAAGAGGTTGTGTTCAGCAAGCCATGGTGCTAATATTCTGATTAAGTGTGAGCTTTTTGGCACACAGCGTAGATGAGATGTGCTGTTGTATTAATAGGCTGTAAATTATAAATAATTGCTTGATAGGATGAGAACCTGAAGCGATGGGTTTCTTTACAGAATGCTGATTATTCCCTCAGTAACAAAAGACAAGGGAACCGATTCCTGCAATTGTTTCCCTTTGGAAAGGAAAGGACATTTTGGTCTGTCATGTTGATGGAAAACACTAGAAATTTCCTTTGTGATTATTTTGTTCCCTTTCATCCAAGCTCCTAGTTTATTCTCACACATGCAGACATAAACTGGGCAGGGTGAAAATTCCCTGCATGAACCATTCGGTTTTCGGTTTGCCAGTCCCCATCAATGACAAGTATTTCTTTATCTGGTCAGAAAATGGAAATTCTGTTTTCTGAGCCAGCCAAGATACCAGGTACAAACAGAGCTTCCCCCTGGGGATTCACAGCCTGAAGGTGGTTAACGGCCCCCCTCTCGCCTATCACCAGACTCCAGTAGACGTTTCTGATGCGGGGAGGCTAGTTCTGAATCCAAGCCAACACTGGTTGTTGGTTCCAATTAAAAAGCAATTGCATTCCCAGCAGTTCAGGGCTGCAGCCAAAAATACAGCATGTTCAGAAAAGCATGATCTTTTTTGAGAGGCGGTTACTCCATCAAGGGATAGATGCTGCCAGGGAGAGCTAATGATGGTACATTCGTATGTGATAAAAATTTAAAAGTTCAAAGAAGAAAGCAAAAGGTAGATGATTTACTTTGAAGTTATTTGTAGATGGCAATGAGGATTTTCTGTTGGTCTCTTTTTCCCCCAGCATTAATCAGCCCATTTATTAGAAGACAAACAGGAATTGACCGTTTGTCAGACAGCAAAGAAACAGAGCAATCACATTAAGGAAATCAAAGGCGAGAATGTCAAAAGGTCAGCATTAAGCAGCCCTGGGAAGCAGTGTCACTCTGCAGACGTTTCAGCCAAATCCTTCTTTCCATGAGTAGCCTCTGCTTTTTGGGAGGACCAATGAGCATAGAGAGCTTGGAGGGACTTTCCAGTTCATTGCATTCTGTCTCCTCTGCTGGTCAGAGGCTTATGTCTGGGTATTTTTAGCAACCTCCCTCTGTCTTTGTTGGCTCCAGAACACATAATTTCAGAAAAATCAGGTATAAAATCTCAATCCCAGCACTTTGGGAGGCTGAGGCAAGAGGATTACTTGAGCCCAGGAGTTCGAGACCAGCTTGGGAAACATAGCGAGACCCCATCTCTATGATTTTTTTTTTTTTTTTTTTTAGTTAGCTGGACATGGTGATGCACACCTGTAGTCCCAGCTGAGGCAAAAGGATCACTTGAGCCCAGGATTTCAAGGCTGCAGTGAGATATGATCGAGTCACTACATTGCAGCCTGGGTGACAGAGTGAGACCCTGTCTCTTTAAAACAAACACACAAAAAACTCATAACATGGAGAGTCAAGAACTCTGATTTGTTTCAGATCTGGATCACTCACTACAAGACCTATTACTTTTTATTTTAGTCCTCATAGTGCAGGATTTTATGATAAAACTGTTTAGACTTGTCACCAACAAAGTTAGTATTTCAAAACAAAACAAAAGCCCTAATCCCCCAAACTTTTGTGATCACATTAAGTTGGATCAACCCAAATTTTCCTTCTGGAGAGAGCCAAGAAGTCATAGGGAGCAGGTTGGGTATCTCTAATCCAAAAAATCTGAAATCCAAAATGCTCCAAAATCTGAAACTTTTTGAGCACAGATATGACTCAAAGAAATGCTCTTTGGAACATTTTGGATTTCAGATTTCCAAATTATGGATGCTCAGCCTGTTAAATACAGTGCAAATATCCCCAAATTTGAAAAGATCCAAAATCTGAAATGCTTCTGAGGAGTTGCAGATCAGCCTAGGTAACATAGCAAGATCTCATCTCTACAAAAAATTAGCCAAGCATATTGGTGCATGCCTGTGGTTCCAGCCACTCAAGAGGCTGAGATGGAAGATTGCTTGAGCCCAGGAGTTCAAAGCTGCAACGAGCAGTGATCACACTGTTGCACTCCAGCCTGGTGACAGAGTGAGACCTTTTCTCAAAAAAAGAAAGGAAGGGAGGGTAGGACAAAGAGACAGAGAGGAAGAAAGGAAGGAAGGATGGAAGGAAGGGAGGGAGGGAAGAAAGAGAAAGGAAAAAAAGAAACAGAAAGAAAAAGAAGTGGAGAGAGCGAAAGAAACAGAAAGAGAAAGAAACAGAGAAAGAGAAACAGAGAAAGAGAAAAAAGTAATAGAGAAAGAGAGAGAATGAAAGAAACAAAGAGGAGAGAGAAAGAAACAGAAAAACAAAGAAACAGGGAGGGAAGGGAGGGAGGGAGGGAGGGAGGGAGGAAGGGAGGGAAATAAGCAAAAAAAACCACTTCTGGTCTCAAGCACTTCGAATAAGGGATACTCAGCCCATGATGTCCAGCCTCACATTTCTAGTGCTCCTCAAGAAGGACACGGATTACTGTTTGTTGCCAAGGTGGCTTGTTTCAAGACCAGCGTGATTGGCAAGAATCTTCCAGCACCACTGTGGCAGCTTTTGGTGGAAGGAATATAGCCCTGACTGGGAGGCTGCTGGGGAGATGACAAGGCCAGCGCTTCAGCACATAGCCTGCAGAGGCCCCATTGCCAGTGCCTAATGTAACTGAACAGGCCATTTGTCATATTTAATTTTAGCTGCAGTGGCTCAATTGGGACTTTATCCAGACTGGCTTCCACTCTGCTAGCCTGCTGTGCTCCCCTTGTCCCAGGCTGAGTCACTTATGTCCCTGGCCCTCCATCTGCCAGCGAGACCTCCGAGTCACTGATACTGAGATCATGGGCCCCAGATGTGGCTTTTCCAGCCTGTGCAGTAAATTAAAGCACCTTGGTGCCCTTTTTCTATCTGCACTTTAGGAGCAAAGCACTTTTTTTTTTTTTTTTTTTTTTTTTTGAGACAGAGTCTTACTCTGTCACCCAGACTGGAATGTAGTGGCACAATCTTAGCTCACTGCAACCTCTGCCTCCTGGGCTCAAAGGATTCTCCTGCCTCACCCTCCCAAGTAGTTGGGACTACAGGCACATGCCAACACGCCCTGCTAATTTTTTGTATTTTTAGTAGAGACAGGATTTTACCATTTTGGCCAGGCTGGTCTCCAACTCCTGGCCTCAAATAATCCACCCACCTCGGCCTCCCAAAGTGCTGGGATTACAGGCGTGAGCCACCGCGCCCGGCCTCAAAGTGCTTTCTTACTTTTTACTCTGCATCAACCTCTTTTCTCTCCAAGGAACTCTGAATGAATGAGACCATGAGAAGAGGCTTAGCCTCCACTCGGCTTGACAGGAGGAAAGGAAGGAGCTTTCCCCTGAGGATAGCAGGGGAGGAGGTGTCGTCTTGCCCACCTCTGTCCAGGGCAGGTGTAGCACAAGGCAGCAGGAAAAGCCCAGAATTTGGATTCAGAAACCTCGATCCCAGTTTTGAATGTGGTTCTTAGTTGGGCGAGACTGAGTGTCTGTAAGATTGAACCAATGTGCCTATAGACGAGCTCCCAGTTGGGTGGGATGGGAGGGCACTCTTAGATCATCAGAGAGTGGGGCTTTGTCAGTGGTGAAGATCAGAATGCGCCTGGCAGGTGGTCAAGACTGGGGCTCTTACTAGAATCTAGTCTGTTCGAGTACCCTAGGGTGGGCGATTCACAGTAGTGTCTGAAGCTGAACTTGAAGACAAGTAAATTCCAGATTCTTTCCCCCCCGTCCTCTCAGAGACTTGATTGCTTCTCTTGTCCTCACTCGCTCCTCAACCTCACCTTTTGTTGGCTCTTTTTTACCATATGAACTGGCCAGTCTTCTTCCTTTCCAGCTGTGTGCTTCTCTCCTGGAAATATTTTTTTATTATTATTTTTATTATTTATTTAGTAAATATCATTAATTATATACTAATATATAACTAATAACTAATATATAAATATTTGATATGTTAATACATTATATGTAATATAAATATATAATAATTACATATAACTATATAATCTGATATTCTGGATATTAGGCCTTTATTGGATGTACAGTTTATATATTTTATATTTATATGTAATATAAATATATAATGTATAATTATAATCATAACATGTAATATAATACATTATAATATATAATATATTGTGATTGATGTATATAATATATAATTACAATTTGTTTACATTATATATTATATTTATATGTTATATATTATGTGTTAATATGTAACTAATATATTAGTGTATACATTAGTTAATTATATAATCATATTATATATTATAATTATGTATTGCATATTATATTATAAAAGTATACATTATATAATTAAGAATATATAATTCTTATAAGAATCATATTAAGAATAAATAATTATTATATCATATGGTTAATAATTAACTAATTTATATATGAATATATTAGTTCTATATTAATATATAAATATATTAATTACACATTAAATACTATTAACTATATGAATATATAAATATATTAATTATGCCACATATAATTTTATTATATATGTGATTATGTATCAGTTATATACTTAATTATATAGTAAATATTATTTATACAATATTATTTATTTACTTATTCATTTGCATTTCAACTTTTATTTTAGATATGGGGGTACATGTGCAGATTTGTTACATGGGAATATTGCATGATACTGAGGTTGGAGTATGGATTCCATCACCCAGGTAGTAAGCATAGTACTTGATAGATAGTATTTTTGGTTTTTTTTTTGCAGGGGCGGGGGGGGTTGGTTTTTTTGTTTTTTTTTTTTTTGAGACGGAGTCTCTGTCACCAGGCTGGAGTGCAGTGGCACAATCTCAGCTCACTGCAACTTCCACTTCCTAGGTTCAAGCAATTCTCCTGCCTCAGCCTCCCGAGTAGCTGGGACTACAGGTGCCCACCACCACTCCCAGCTAATTTTTGTATTTTTAGTAGAGACAGGGTTTCACCATGTTGGCCAGGATGGTCTCGATCTCTTGACCTCGTGATCCACCTACCTTGGCCTCCCAAAGTGCCGGGTTTACAGGCATGAGCAACTGGCTGCTTTTGTTTGTTTGTTTGTTTGTTTGTTTGTTTGTTTGTTTGTTTTGAGATGGAATCTCGCTCTGTCACCCAGGCTGGAGTGCTGTGGCGCGATCTCGGCTCACTGCAACCTCCACCTCCCTGGTTCAAGCACTTCCCCTGCCTCAGCCTCCCGAATAGGTGGGACTACAGGTACTTGCCACCATGTCTGGCTAATTTTTTTTTGTATTTTTAGTAGAGACAGGATTTCACCATATTAGCCAGACTGGTCCCAAACTCCTGACCTCAGGCGATCCACCCACCTTGACCTCCTAAAGTGCTGGGATTAGAGGTATGAGCCACTGCGCCCAGCCGATAGATCGTTTTTTTAACCCACCCCCTGCAAACCCTCTAGTAGTCCACAATATCTGTTGTTCCTGTGTTTATCTCCATGTGGGCTGAGTGTTTAGTTCCCATTTATAAGTGAGAACATGCAGGATTTGATTGTCTGTTTCTGCATTAATTCACTTAGGATAATGGCCTCCAGCTCAATTCATGTTGCTGCAAAGGACATAATTTCATTTGTTTTATGGCTGCCTAGTGTTCTGTGGTGTATATGTAACACATTTCCTTTATTCTACCATTAATGGGCTCTTGGGTTGACCATGTCTTTGCTATTGTGAATAGTGCTGTGATGAACATACGAGTGCAGGTGTCTTTTTGGTAGAATGATTTCTTTTCTTTTGGATAGATACCCAGTAATGGGATGGCTGGCTCGAATGGCAGCTCTGTTTTAAGTTCTTTGAGAAATCTTGAAGCTGCTCTCCACAGCAGCTGAACTAATTTACATTCCTTCCAACAGTGTGTAAGCATTCCCTTTTCTCCCGTGCCATGCCAGCATCTGTTGTTTCTTGCCTTTTTAGTAATAGCCATTCTGACTGGTATGAGATGGTATCTCACTGTGGTTTTGATTTGCATTTCTCTGATCATTAGTTATGCTCACCATTTTTTCATGTTTGTTGGCTCACTTATATGTCTTCTTTTGAGAAGTGTCTGGTCATGTCCCTTGCCCATTTTTTAATGGGGCTATTTGCTTTTTGCTTGTTGACTTAAGTTCCCTATAGATTCTGGATTTTAGGCCTTTGCTGGATATATAATTTGCAAATATCTTCTCCCGTTCTATAGGTTGTCTGTTTGCTCTGTTGATAGTTTCTTTTGCTTTGCAGAAGCTCTTTAGTTTAATTAGGTCCTACTTGTCTATTTTTGTTTTTGTTACAGTTGCTTTTGGGGACTTAGCCAAACATTCTTTGCCAAGGCTGATGCTGAGAAGAGTATTTCCTAGGTTGTCTTCCATGATTTTTATTGTTTGAGGTCTTATATTTAAATCTTTGATCCATCTTGAGTTAATTTTTGTATATGGTCAAAGATAAGGTTCCAGCTTCAATCTTCTGCATATGGCTAGCCAGTTGTCCTGGCACCATTTATTGAGTAGCAAGTTATTTGCTCATTGCTTCTTTTTGGCAGCCTTTTTAAAGATCAGATGGTTGTAGGTGTGCATTTAATTTCCATGTTTTCTGTTCTGCTCATTGGCCTATAGTACCAAGCTGGTTTGACTACTGTGGCTTTGTAGTATAGTTTGAAGTCCAGTAGTGTGATACCTCCAGTTTTGTTCTTTTAGCTCAAGATTGCTCTGGCTATTTGAGCTCCTTTTTGGATCCATATGAATTTTAGAATAGTTTATTCTGATTCCGTGAAGAATGACATTGGTTGTTTAATAGGAATAACATTGAATCTGTAAATTGCTTTTGGCCATATGGCCATTTTTATGATATTGAGTCTTCTAATCCATGAGCATAGAATGCTTTTCCATTTATTTCTGTCATCTCTGGTTTCTTTCAGCAGTGTTTTCTAGTTCTCCTTGTAGAGATCTTTCACCTCCTTGGTTAGCTGTATTCCAAGGTATTTCATTTTCTTTGTGGCTATTTTAAGTAGGATTGTGTTCTTGATTTCACCCTCAGCCTGGAGATTGTTGGTGTACAGAAATGCTACTGATTTTTGTACATTGATTTTGTATCCTGAAACTTTACTTAAGTCGTTTATCAACTCAAGGAGCCTTTTGGCAGAGTCTTTAGGGTTTTCTAGATATACAGTTTTATTGTCAGTGAAGAGAGATCATTGGATCTTTTTTTCCTGTTGGATGCCTTTTCTTTTTTTCTCCTGGCTGATTGCTCCAGCTAGGACTTCCAGTACTATGTTGAATAGGAGTGGAGAGAGTGGGTATCCTTGTCTTGTTTCAGTTCTCAATGGGAACAATTTGAGCTTTTGCCCATTCAGCATGATGTTGGCTGTGGTTTGTCATAGATGGCTCTTATTATTTTGAGGTATGTTCATTCGATGTCTTGTCTTTCGAGGGTGTTTATCATGAAGGGATGTTGGATTTTATTGAAAACCTTTTCTCTGTCTATTGAGATGATTGTATGGTTTTTGTTTTTGATTCTGTTCTGTTGGTGAATCACACTTAGTGATTTATATAAGTTGAGCCAGCCTTGTATCCCAGCAATAGAGCCTGTGTGATCATGGTGTATTCACATTTTGATGTGCTGCTGAATTCAGTTTGCTAGTATTTTGTTGAGGACTTTTGCGTCTGTGTTCATGAGGGATATAGGTTTGAAGTTTTCCTTCTTGTTGCATCTCTGCCAGATTTTGGTATCAGGCTGATGCTGGTTTCATAGAATGAGTTAGGGAGGAGCCCCTCTTCCTTGATTTTTTGGAATAGTTTCAGTAGGCTTGATATCAGTTTTTCTTTGTACTTCTGGTAGAATGGAGCCCAAGAGTTTGAGGTTACCATGAGCTATGATCATGCCACTGCACTCCAGCCTGGGTGACAGAGCAAGACCCTGTTTCTAATAAATTAAAAAATTACAGTCACAAAAACTGTTTTAAAAATAAAAGTTTTTGAAACCATTCTTGTCACTCAGAGAGTAATTTTTAAATAAATTGGAATTAACAAAAAAAGGCACAAAACCTTTATTTAATTGATGCATAACGGATATACATAGTTTTGGGGTTGATGTGATCATTTAATGTATTCGTGTAATTTTCAAAGATCAAGTCAGTGTACGTGGGATATCTGTCACCTTAAATATTTGCCTTTTCTTTATGCACCAAACCTTTTTGACAGAAAAGGAATAATTGTCAGAAGCATAAAGCCTTGTCAGTGTCAAGTTTCTGCTGACCTCTTCAGCTATTCTGGTTGTCATTTTTTTTTCTGGCATCAATAAGCATTTTTTCCCTTTGGATAAATATCAAGTTTATTCTGATTCTCAATTCACATTGGCTTGCAAATTCAGATGACACTGAAGACCAAATTACTGCCTGTGGGACAATGGACTTTGTTTAGTTGCTAATAGGGGATTTAGTAGATAGCCCAAGAGACAGGATATGGGTCTGAGATTACACTTAGTTGCATTTTTTAAAAACTATGTTAATTATAGGCTTAAGTCATGTATTCAAATGCAGATATAAGAAATACAGCATTCCCATATTTTAATTGGATCCTTAGGTAAAGAGAGTTTTAGCCACTCAGCTATTAATCCAGCCTGAACAACTCTGCTATAAACGCACTTTCTTCTGAGCGCCTTTTTTTTTTCTCCCTTGCCTTACATCATGCTCTGTGGCCTCCTGAACTTTTCCTTTTCTTCTCAGTATACATGAAATACTTATAGCTACTTCATTAGCTTTCTTCTGTCTTGGATCACAAGCTCTCTAAGAAGAGCATCTATGTCGATTTTATTCATCAGTGTATCACCTGACCTGCCTAGCATGGTGCCCGGTATGACACTTAACCTTAAAGAAATATTTGTAGGAAGGATGGCTGAATAGGCGGGTGGATGGATGGATGAATGGATGAATGGATGGATTGATGGATAGATGGATGGATGGATGGATGGATGGATGGATGGATTGATGGATTGATGGATAGATGGATGGATGGATGGATGGATGGATGGATGGATGGACAGACAATGGATAAAAATAATAATTTTTTCTTTCTTCTATTTTTGACAACTGTGATAAGATCATAACATCCTAGGCTAGATGGATGGATGGACAACAGATAAAAATATTTTTTTCTTCTGTTTTTGACAACCGTGATAAAATTATAACATTCTAGGGTAGAAATGGAACCCTATTTGATGCACCCTTTAATTCTTCATCGAAGGGTTCCCTTGGCCTCTCTTCCAGATTGGTCACATACTGTGTCACTAAGAAAGGGCTCTTGCCCTCCTCCCTTAGAAGAGTAAACTAACTTTCTTTTGATCATGGACCCTGGGGTTCAATTTTTTTCATTTGTCACCAACAAAGAGAATATCATTCCTGCATGGATATCTTGGCAGCTGCTTGATTTTCCCTCCTTGGAGAGGAGAGACCAGTAAACCTTACACCATAATCTACCCAACTCCTTTGCTGTGAGAGACTTTCCAACTTTTGGTACTTTGGAATGGTGGCCCTGCAACCGAAGAGGTCAGTGGGCAGGACCACAGGCTGCATAGCTTTGGAGCACACCTCACAGGGGAACAGGGACCCAGCACAAAATCTGCGGGAATGGAACTCCTAGAATGGGCAACATGGCGGCTCTGCCATTGGGCTGGTAGAAGGCCTGTTCTGCAGGCTACCAATATGAGAGTGCCCCATTGTATCAATCAAATGTTCTAGGCATTCTTCTGGGGCTTTCCTCACATAGAAAATGAAATCATACTCTTCCAAGTGTTAAGTGCATCAATTCAAACACTGGACACAGAAGACTTTAAGACTTACTCGATGAAAGCAGCTGGAATCCTGAGTCTTCAAAGATATCTTCTTGTCTCTAGGATGAGTGGCCTGACCTGCAAGCCCTCTGGGTGTCTGTCTTCACTCTCACTGGTGTCTCTCTCGGCTTCTGCTGGCTTTAATCTTGAATGCATCAACTGTCTTGGACTCCTACCTTGCCCATGACAACATGAAGTTTCTCTTTATGTCACTTTAGGATCTAACACTTCCAGGACACAACAGCTCTCATGAGTTGACCTGACTCTTTCTGGATTGATCTCTGTCACTCCTGTTTGTAGGCTGAGAGACTGCTCTTCTGGTCTGGTTAGAGATGGGAAGAGGTGGAAGGACTGGGAAGACCACAGGCTCTTCAGACAATCCTCCATAAATACAGATTCTCCCAGGCGAGTTCTAAGGCACTATAGGTAGCAGGAAGTTGGCAATAGTGCTCTTGGTAATGTTTAGAATGTCTCTTACAAAACCCTGTGCTGGACTTTGAGGGATTCCCATGGGGATGAATCAAGATCTTTAAGCCCAGACTTTCCTCACTGACCCTGCCTTTTCCCTTCTCACCATCCCCTCTGGACTCCATCTTATGCTCTTCAAGTTGTCAAGTTGTTTCCTCTGAATGACTGTGGTATTTGGCCTACATCACAATTCACCTGCCACTTGCCATCTCCTGGGTCTGAACCTTATCCCCGCTTTCAGACTATGAGCTCCTAAGTTCCCTGAGAGAGGATATCATATTCTCTCTGTTTGCGTAGCAGTGAAAATCATCAAACTTCCTGAATGCAAACCCTGTCTCTGTGGTTTACTAGTTGTGTGGCATTAGGCAAGTTACTTAATCTCTCTGTGCCTCCTTTTCCTCATCAGAAAATGAGAAGAAGAATCATATCTGCTTTCCAGGGTTTTTGTGAGGTTTAAATAAATAAATACATGCAAATGACTAAAACAGTGCCTGGCTTGGAGGAAGCCTTCGTACGTGTAAGCGCTTGTTTCTGCTCTCGGTGGTAGTTTTTTTTCATTTCTATTTTATTTTATTTTATTTATTTTTGAGACAGAGTCTTACTCTGTCACTCAGGCTAGAGGGCAGTGGTGTGATCTTGGCTCACTGCAACCTCTGCACCCTGGGCTCAAGTGATTCTCCTGCCTCAGCCTCCCAAGTAGCTGGGATTACAGGCTCACACCACCACGCCAAGCTATTTTTTGTATTTTTAACCTTGCCCAGGCTGGAGTGCCGGACAAGGTTTCATTACGTTGGCGAGGCTGGTCTCAAACTCCTGACCTCAAGTGATCCACCTGCCTCAGCCTCCCAAGGTGCTGGGATTACCGGCGTGAGCCACCGTGCGTGGCCTCAGTGGTAGTT
Organism: Homo sapiens; assembly: GCF_000001405.40. Lineage (NCBI taxonomy): Eukaryota > Metazoa > Chordata > Mammalia > Primates > Hominidae > Homo > Homo sapiens. The sequence continues at coordinate 71,623,748 of NC_000007.14, forward strand.
TTGTTTCTCCTGGCATGAAGGTGCTTAGGAAGCATCAGCCATGGTGTGCATGCATGTGTACACATGTGAGCATACAGTCTTCCCCCGTCCTGTCATCTGCATTTCCACCATCTTTGTCCCTTCACCAGACAATGGCAAAAGACAGGACCAAAACTCCAGTTGCTTAAAGACCCAAAACATGGATCTATAGTGGACCAAGGGGTCCCCAAAACCGTGGTCAGAATGACAACTCAGAATATCCCCCAGGAAGTCAAGGAAGCCAGGCAGGACAAGGCCTGTCACAGACTGGACAAGAGACACAGACACCCAGGGCTCTGTTTTATGGCTTTGCGATGTCGGCGGCTGTCCCACTCTGTGCTTACGGTTGGGGTCAGCAGTGAGGTGCTGATTTCCTGTATTTGCCACTACCCAGAGGGCATGGGGCTCCAGGTTAAGATGGATGACAGCACTTCAAAGATGAATGGAGTGAACATTGGGAAGTTAGGGAGCTGTGCAGCGGCCATTATCTCTGAGTGTCCTCACACCAGGGCCTAGGATCTGAAAAGGTCTCAGGGCCCCCAGGCGTTCCATGGGCCATACTTTGAAAACCACAGCAGAAGAGCATAACCAAGGGAGGGCTGTGTAGAGAAGAGCAGCTGTGAGGCCGGTGCGTTCATGGGGTTCTAGGTATAATTAAGGGCTGTTTTACCTTTCTGTTAGGGCCCAAGGGAAATTAAACCTGGCCTTATACCAATTGCAAGGGGAAAAAAATGACGTAAAAGAGAATGGAGAAAAATGATGGTTTCATCAGTAAGTGTCATTCACTGCTGTAGAGCACCCTTTCTCAAACTCTGGTTTCAGCTCCCCTTTACCATGTTAAAAATGATGGATGACCCCAAAGAGCTTTTGTTTATGGGTGTCCTATCTATCGATTTTTACTATGTTGGAAATTAAAATGGAAAACTTTAAAAATATTTCTGCATTAAATCATTCAAAAGCAATAATAATAAACCCATTGCAGGTTAACATAAATCACACAATTTTGTGAGAAATAACTGTATTTTCCAAAACAAAAACATATTAGAAGGAGGACGGCATTGTTTTAACCTTGTCGCAAATCTCTTGAGGTCCTGGTAGACAGCAGGTGGATGCTTGTTTCTGCTTCATACATTTCATTCATCATTAGAGCAATGACATCGTGCCATGTGATGTGTCCTCTAGGAAACTCCACTGTACGCTTGTAAGAGAGTGAAAGTGAATAAGGCAAGTGGCGTCATAGCATAATTATAAAAATCATTTTGACCTGGTAGAGCCCTGAAAAGCTCTCAGGATCCCCACAGGCCACACTTTGAAAACCACAGCTGAAGAACCTAACCAAGTCCATGTCACTTCTTTGGTCTCCAGCCTTTGTTTTTATTTATTTATTTATTTATTTTGAGACAGAGTCTCACTCTGTTGCCCAGGCTGGAGTGCAATAGCACGATCTCGGCTCACTGCAACCTCCATCTCCCGAGCTCAAGCAGTTCCCCTGACTCAGCCTCCCGAGTAGCTGGAATTACAGATGTGTGCCACCACACCTGGCCAATTTTTTATATTTTTAGTAGAGACAGGGTTTCACTATGTTGGCCAGGCTGGTCTCAAACTCCTGACCTCAGGTGATCCACCCGCCTTGGCCTCCCAAAGTGCTGGGATTATAGGCGTGAGCCACCGAGCCCAGCTGGTCTCCAGCCTTTATAAAACCACACTCCAAGTATTTGCCTTGCCCTTAGAGATGTATGTTTTCTCCTCCTCTCTTTTTAAATTGCTTATAATTTTTTGGTGTTTTTTGTTGGGGGTGGGGTGATCATGTAATGGAAGCCTGGGAAGGTTCTGATTGACTGGCCCTCGGGAACCCTGGGTTTGAGCTCAGAGCCCATGAGCTGTGTGATTGCAAGCAGGTACTTCTCCTTTCGGGACCTCACTTTTCCAGTTTATGAAACACATGACTTCAGCAGTCTCCAAAGCGCTGACAGTCTGTGTTTCTCTGAGACTTAAACTGGAGAGACCAGATGCCTTTCCCATCTGTTATGGGCTAAATTGTATACTCCAAACAATCATATGTTGAAGCCTTAATCCCCGGTACCTCCACATTTGACTGTATTTGGAGATAGGGTCTTTAAAGAATGAAGTTAAAATAAGGTCATTGGGGTGGACTCTGATCCAATATGACTGGTGTCCTCGTAAAAAGAAGGGATTAGGGCTGGGTGCAGTGGCTCACACCTGTAATCCCAGCACTTTAGGAGGCCAAGGCAGGCAGATCACAAGGTCAGGAGAGCGAGACCATCCTGACCAACATGGTGAAACCCTGTCTCTACTAAAATACAAAAAATTAGCCGGGTGTGGTGGCACGTGCCTGTAGTCCCAGCTATTCAGGAGGCTGAGGCAGGGGAATCACTTGAACCCGGGAGGTGGAGGTTGCAGTGAGCTGAGATCACGCCATTGCACTCCAGCCTGGCAACAGAGCAAGATTCTGTCAAAAAAAAAAAAAAAGAAGGGACACAGACACACACAAAGGCAAGCCCATGTGAAGACAAAGGGAAAAATGGCTGCCTCTAAGCCAAGGAGAGATGCCTCAGATGTAACCACCCCTGTGGATACCTTGATCTCAGCCTGCTCGCCTCCAGAATTGTGAGAAAGTACATTCCTGTGGTTTAAATCACCAGTCTTTGGGACTTTGCTATGGCAGCCCTAGCAGACTATACACACTATTTATTATGTTCTCTAATCCTGAGTCCAGGCATCTTTTCCAGGCTGTTGCTTTGAACTCAGGCTTACCTCTTTGTTTTCAAGATAATTGCTCTAGAAGCTGAATGACCACTATTTGGAGATGTAAGCTAAAGATTCTTCTGGAAGAATACACCATCTGGACAGCTCAGGAGCCCTGAGTGCTGAAAGTTTCTGTGATGTTCATTCGCTTTGTCTGTTATCCAAGGGGAGAGAAAATGAGACACAATGGGCATCTTCAGGGTAGAACTACACCACCTTTGATTAAAGAGAAATCAAGAAATGAAGTTGAATTTCTGATGTCTGCTTACTCTCATGCTGAGCCTCGCAGAGGGAGAATGACTACAGCCTAGAGCTGATGGCTTCAGGAGCTGTAGTGTTTATCAGATTTGCTCCATGGGTGGCCAAAGCTGGGTGATGGGGTCTCAATGGCCAGGACTGGGCGCCCCAGGAACCTCAGGCCTTTCTGCATCAGCACAGATGCTTATCCATTGACTTCCAGTCACTTGTGACCTCGGGGTAAAGGAACATGAATTAAGAAAACCTCAGGCTCAGTTTTTCCCCAAAGTATGTTGCATGGAATACAGTTTCATGGGTTGTCATAGGTCTTCTGCAAAAAATAAAGGAGTTTCGTGAACAGACACGTTTGGAAGCTTGTGACTTAAACAGAGTTAAGTGGGCTTCACTGCTGAGTGCAACGTGGTCTCCCCAGCATCTTTACAATGCTGTGTTCATTACAAATATGTATATGAGAAAGGGGCATTTCCCAAACCGGTGCTTCTGCAGATGGGTTTGCTATGCTAGGTTACCCACACTGGAGCAACAGCCTTTCCAGGGGAGGATTGCTTGAGCCCAGGAGTTCGAGGCCACAGTGACCTGTGGTTGCACCATTGCGCCCTAGCCTGGGCAACAGAGACAGACCCGGTCTCGAAAAGAAAATAAAAGGAAAAGAAAGAAACAGCCTTTCCAGATGACCTTCAGAGCTTGCCATGGCTGCCTTGAGATACCCCAATGGCGGGCAGTGGGCAGTCAAAGGGCAAATGGCCAGAGTAGTGAGAACAGTGGAGGCCATCAACAGAGGTACAACCACGGCCTCCCCCTCCTTTTCATCTGTCAAAGAACCACAAGACCTGTCCGGTAGACAATAGATAACAAGACCTACTACATCCACAGTATCCACAGTTCTTTTTTTGTTTGTTCAAATCATTGTCATACCCTAACTCTAACGGACAAGGGAAATAAAAGAAAGGTAATTTACAATAACATGTATATTGCAACGCTCCGACTCAGCTATCAACTGCCAAGAACAATGCCCCCCCGCCCCATAGACTTGTACATCCCTCCTGGGCCAGAGCCAGCTCTCCTAAGACCATAACAGTTCTTTTCGAACTATTTATAGCCTGTATCCTTATTAGGAGTGATACGGCTGCCAACAGGGCAATAATTGGTTCTTGAAGGGGGGTGCAAAAGAGTATTACACTTTTATGTGTAAATCACAGATACACATACAGCATGCAAGCAGATATACAGCGCATCTGTGGTATTAAAATTTCATAGTGGGAGCAGGTAGGGGATCTCAGGGGGAAAAAAGTCTAAAAATGCCTCATAGAGAGGTGATAATGAAAAAAAAAGGCTGAGAGACACTGATGTGGAGTGAAGGACCAGATCTTATTTCCAATCTATCACGCAATGATACTTTTATAAAATATAGTAAAAGTGAATTCCTAGAAAAATAAAATAGGAAAAAGAGAAACAAATGTTAAGCTCCACGTTTTTATTATTAGATTCAACCGACATAAATTTGCTCTATTGAATTGCTAGAAATGCTTTTTTTTATTTTTTATTTTTTTAAGACAGAGTCTCACTTTTGTCGACCAGACTGGAGTGCAGTGACATGATCTTGGCTCACTGCACCCTTTGCCTCCTGGGCTCAAGCAATTATCCTGCCCCAGCCTCCCGAGTAACTGGGATTACAGGCGTGTACCACCACGCCCAGCTAATTTTTGTATTATTAGTAGAGACGGGGTTTCACCGTGTTGGCTATGCTGGTCTCTAACTCGTGACCTCAGGTGATCCGCCCACCTTGGCCTCCGAAAGTGCTGGGATTACAGGCCTGAGCCACCATGCCCAGCCAATGTTTTTAAAGCTTATTCAGAATTGGCCAGGTGCGGTGGCTTATGCCTGTAATTCCAGCACTTTGGGAGGCTGAGGCACGTGAATCACTTGAGGTCAGGAGTTCGAGACCAGCCTGGCCAACATGGTGAAACCGCGTCTCTACTCATAATATAAAAAATTAGCCAGGTGTGGTGGCAAACGCCTGTAATCCCAGCTACTCAGGAGGCTGAGGCACGAGAATCGCTTGAACCCAGGAGGCAGAGGTTGCAGTGAGCCCAGATCGTGCCACTGCACCTCAGCCTGGATGACAGCGAGACTCTGTCTCAAAAAGTAAAAATTAAAATTTAAAAAAAAGCTTACCATTTGCATCTGAACCACTGTTCAGACTGTTTTTGGATGGGGAGTAGTCCATGGGCCACGCCCCTATCTGGGGGCACTGAGGGTAGAGAAGCAGGGCCTAGAAGAGGGGTCTAGAAGGGTCAAGAGGAGTTGGCTGGTGGAGAAGAAGGAAAGATTGTTTCAGAGAGAGGACCCTAGCAGAGGCACCAAGCAGGAAGTGCATGGCACCTGTGGAGTGGCCAGTGGCAAGTTAGGGTTCTAGCAGAGAGTGAGGGGGCAGAGGAATAGGGGAGGCCAGGCAGGAGGACAGATCAAGCTGCTCCAGCCAGGAGCCAGCCCACAATCCTGCGGGCTGCATTCACACCGTGTTCTGTTAATAACCAAGTGGAGCTTCATGCTTTGGGGTCATTGAGAATCTGATGACATCTACCTATGCACCCTGTCCTGAAGACATTACAAACTCAGAACATCATCTAACAATCTTGGGAGCTGGTTTTGGGATCCCTTAAAGCTTATCTAAAATCTCTAGGTTCGTTTTTATTTTTATTTTCAGTTGTATTTTGAGACAGGGTCTCGCTTTGTCACCCAGAATCAAGTGTGATCATGGCTCACTGTACCCTCAAATTCCTGGGCTCAAACAATCTTCCCACCTCAGCCTCTTGAGTAGCGGGGACTGTGGGCACTTGTCCCAACTAATTATTTATTTATTTTTGGAGAATTGGGAGTTGGGAGGTCTTGCTATGCTGCCCATGCTAGTCTTGAACTCCGGGCCTCAAGCAATCCCCCTGCCTCAGCTTCCCAAGTAGCTGGGACAGCAGGCACAAGCCACCATGCCTGAATTATATTTTTAAACTTTTTTATAGAGAGGCAGTCTTGCTGTATTTCCCAGGCTGGTCTCTAACTCCTGAACTCAAGCAGTCCTCCCATCTTGGCCTCCCAAAGGGCTGGGATTATTAGTGTGAGCCACTATACCAGGCCAAAGTCACCAGGTTCACAATACCTCCCAAACAGTTGAGCTGATAAACCCTCCTCATGTACTCATTCCTTCTAGTCCATGTTTATTATATCGTAACTTTGTGCTGACTCCAGTACTATCAGGCCTGCCAGATAGACACAGGACTGACACCACCCAGAGATCATTAGCCTGGGATCCAGACATCCAGGGGCAATGCTGAGACTAAAGCCAACTCCTGAACTCAAGCAGTCCTCCCACCTTGGCCTCCCAAAGGGCTGGGATTATAGGTGTGAGCCACTACACCAGGCCAAAGTCACCAGGTTCACAATACCACCTAAACAGCCCTTTCTTCAGGTAACTGAAAAGATGCTCTTACAAGGACCATTAAGGCTCAAGATAAGGAACAGCCTTCGCTTGGCAAACTCCCGTGCCAAAAAAGCCAAGGATAAACTCAGAACATCCAGTCTGGATGAAGGTCTCAGCATTGCCCTAACACACCCATAAGGCCCCCAGTGCACTGATCCCCTCCTCCTTTCCTTGACCTCTTTTTGTCTGGCTGACTCTGCATTTCTATCTCTTTTCATGGACCCTAATGAGTTTCACCGGGTAGCTATGGTGGCCAAGGACACTCAGAACCGGAATTTCATTGATGCTTGTTAGGATTGATACCCATTTAGTGGACAATCTCATCAATGTTTGCATGGAATGTAAAAATCAGCCAGCAAATGGAAACATACCCAGAGAGGCAGCTGGTGTAATTGGCCCTCACAAACACATGAGAAGTGCTCTTCTAAAAATACCAGGGCACCTCATACTGAAAGGCAGGCCAGAGACTGAATTCAGCAAGAGCTGAAAACAGCCAGGACAAAGTGTTTGGATCTTCCAGTGCAATCCGGAAATCATGGAGCTTGATATTGAGGACCCAAGGGAGAAGTGCCATTTCAGATTTAAAGAAAATAAGCAAATTTGAGATAGGCCACGTCGTTAGAATACTACCCAAGAATAGTATGTGTTGATGCTGATAAATTAGGGTACAGGTACTTCAATTCGTTTATTCATTCAGTTGTTCAATGAGCACTTACTGGGTACCAGGCCCTATTCTGGCCCTGGGAATGCAGGAAGGAACAGAACAGATACAATTCCTGCCTGTTGCAGTGGACAATGAGCAAATAAATACATAATTTGGAGAAAGGAGAGAGAGATTGGAAGGGAGAGGGGAGATTGTTTTGCATTCTGTAGCCAGGGAACATTGTGGTGTAAGGAAGTGTTTAAGTAGTAAATCTTTTATTTTTATTTTTACTTTTTTTTTTTTTCTTGAGACAATTGCCCTGTTGCCCAGGCTGGAGTGCAGTGGTATGATCATAGCTCACTGTAGCCTCAACCTCCTGGGCTCAAGCGATCCTCCCATTTCTACCTCCTGAGTAGCTGGTACTGATGGACATGCATGACCACACCCAGCTAATTTTTAATATTTTGTAGAGAGGTCTCACTATGTTGCCCAGGCTGGTCTGGAATTCCTGGGCTTCAGCTATCATCCCTTATTGGCCTCCCAAAGCACTGGGATTAGGTGTGAGCCACCATGCCCAGACTCAGTAGTAAATCTGAATGAAGTAAGGGAACAAGTCTTGTGGGCTTCTGGAGGAAGAATATTCCATGTGGGAAGGATGGGAAATTCAACAGCCCTTCAACAAGAACAAGCTTGGTCCAGTTGAGGAAGAGCAAGGAGGCCACTGTGGCCGGAGTGGCATCAGCAAAGGTGAGAGTGAGAGGAGATAAGGGAAGGAAGGAGGAGGATGAACCATTTGCCGTCATGTAGATCTTGGTGTGTACTCTGAGTAGAATGGGAGCCATGGGAGGGTTTTGAGCTGAGGTGCAATATTGGGATGGTTAATTTCATAGGTAAATTTCACTGGTCGCAGGGTGCCCGGATTAAATATTAATTCTGCACGTGTCTGTGCTGGTGTTTTCAGAAGAGATTAGCATTTGAATGGGTTAACTCGCCCAGCTGAGTTATTCTTTTTTTGTGTGTGTAGAGACAGGGGTCTTGCTCTGTTGCCCAGGCTGGTCTCAAACTCCTGGCCTCAAGCAATTCTCTGGCCTTGTTCACCCAAAATGCTGGGATGACAGGTGTGAGCCACTGCATCCAGCCCTTTAAAGAAGGCTTTAAAGGACCTGAAGATGTTTAGTCTAAAAAAAAAAAGAAAAAGAAAAAAGACTGGGGCTGAGAGAGCCCTTTCTTCAGATACCTGAAAAGATGCTCTTACAAGGACCATTAAGGCTCAAGATAAGGAACAGCCTTGTGTCCGGCCAAGCTTTTCCACTGTGGAGCAGGCTGCTTTTCCACTGTGAGCTTTTGTCCCTGGAAGCAAGGCCCTGGGGGACCACCTGCCGGGTGCCGGGAGCACTGGGATCTGCCTGCCCTATTTCAGGTTGTCCATGCATGCATTCATTCCTGTGATATGGATGGGATTCCCATTGCCCGGTGTTGGGGTTCGAATATTACACAAGATCCAGCCCTAGCCCTCAAAGAAAGGAGAAGGCAGTAGGTGCTCTGATGGGGTGAGAGTGTCCATGAGGGGCCCTGTTCTGACTTGGGTGAGTAGAGTGATATCTACGACCAAGCTCAAAAGCACAAGCACTTTCAGCCGAGCTGAATACATCTAATGCATCTGTGGGTCTGTGTGTGTTGGGGACAAGGATGAGGAGAGAATCTGGGACCACGCTAGACATGGATGGAAAATACAACCAGAATGTAGCAAGTGAGAAGGGCTGGTGGAAACTCCTTCTCTCAGGGCCCAGACCAGGGGGAGGATTGTGAGCCCGGGGAACCTGTCTTTATTTCAACTTCTGACATTTTGCTCACCGTGGATTTTCTGCATGATTTTTGATTTATTAAACATTGCATCAAAATACTATTTATCTTGGCCAGGCATGGTGGTTCATGCCTGTAATCCCAGCAATTTGGGAGGCTGAGGTGGGTGAATCACTTGAGGCCAGGAGGTCGAGATCAGCATGGCCAACATAGCAAAACCCTGTCTCTACTAAAAATACAAAAACTAGCTGGGCATGGTGGCACACGCCTGTAATCCCAGCTACTTGGGAAGCTGAGGCATGAGAATCGCTTGAACCCGGGAGTGGGAGGTTGCAGTGAGCCGACATCGCACCACTGCACTCCAGCCTGGGCGACAGAGTGAGACTCTGTCTCAAAAAAAAAAAAAAAAAAAAAAGAAGGTTGATTATTGATTATTTAGTTCTAGGGGGTGCTTAAATGTGGTTCACAGAGAATGGCACTGGGAAGGTGTCAGTGAAGAAAACATAGTCCCTGCCATTCTCACTCGCCATGTCCCAGGCACAGCCCGGCTGTGGGTTGGGAAGGTTTCCCAATATGGAACACTCTAGTGCAATGTGGGGAGTTTGCATCATAAAATCATAGGATGGGGCTTCAAATCATGGCCTGCCTAACCTGACCCCCTGCAAAGGGGCAGACTGAGGCTACGCAGTTTGTCCTGGGGGCCGGGATAGCTCTCCTGTCGGCTGATGGCTTGGGGAGGATTCTCCCGAAGTCCTTATTCAGAAGCAAACTTCTTTTACCAGGCAGGGAGTGTTAAAGGGAAATGTGGCCGAGGAAATGAATGCGGCTGTCAGTATTTACCGGCTCATTATTTATTTATTTATGTAGGGGATTTCTGTTCTCTCTGCTAATCTTCATATAACATGCCTCATTGCCCTCTGAGGGCCCCGAGAGGATCCTCGCAGCATTTGTAGGGTGGAATTTGTTCTTGAAGCTCTGTTTCTGGTTGCTCATTCCTTGCTTCCTTGCAAATACCAGAGAGGAAATGAGTCATCTCAGAGACAAGCCTCTCACTCATTCCTACCAGCTGCTGGCAAATCCAAGGCGTAATTGGCATTTGCAGGTAGGGTCCAAAGGAAAAAGCACATTTTTTTGCTTTCAGTTTGAAGTCATGTGCTCAGCGACATCAAGCATTGAGAAGGGAGCCAGCCCCGGGCAAGGCAGAGACAAAGGGGGTTGGGGAGCTTGGGTGGAGGGCCCAAGGGCCCAGCCCATGCCCACACACATGGTGTGACTGGCCTCCTGTCTATTAAACTCTCTCTACTACAATACTGTGGTCTTTCTTTATGCAGTGGGCAGGAAGAACCCCTCGGGCAGTGACATCTCTCAAATATTGTACATTGTATTCGACAGGTAATCTTGCAACCCTCAGCCCCCTCCTTCCCTCCCCCTTTTTGGAGTCTCCAGTGTCTATTACTTCCATCTTTCTGTCCATGTGCAATTGGTAGAATTTAGACCTCCTAAGGGCCGTGTGGAGCCACTGAAGATGGGGAGTGCCATGGTCAGATTTGCACTTTTGGGGGGTCCGTTTGTTGACAAAAAGAGTCAAACTCTGTAAAATATTTGAAGAGATTTATTCTGAGCCGAATGTGAGTGACCATCGCCTGGGACACAGCCCTCAGGAAGTCCTGGGAACTTGTGCCCAAGGTGGTTGGGGCGCAGCTTGGTTTTATGCATTTTAGGGAGACATGAGACATCAATCAAATACATTTAAGAAATATAAGCCAGGCACGGTGGCTCACGCCTGTAATCCCAGAACTTCGGGAGGCTGAGGCGGGCAGATCACCTGAGGTCAGGACCTCGAGACCAGCCTGACCAACATGGTAAAACTCCGTCTCTATTAAAAATACAGAAATTAGCCATGTGTGGTGGCCAGTACCTGTAGTCCCAGCTGCACAGGAGGCTGAGCCAGGAGAATTGCTTGAACCTGGGAGGCGGAGGTTGCAGTGAGCCGAGATGGTACTACTGCACTCCAGCCTGGGCGACGGAGCGAGACTCCATCTCAAAAAAAAAAAAAAAGAAAAAAGAAAAAGAAAAAAAGAAATACATTGGTTTGGTCCAGAAAGGCTGGACAACTCGAAGCAGGGGGTTTCCAGCTTATAGGTCGATTAAAAATTTTGCTGATTGACAATTGGCTGAGTTTATCTGAAGACCTGGGATCCATAAAAAGGAATGCCAGCCGGGCATGGTGACTCACGCTTGTAATCCCAGCACTTTGGGAGGCTGAGGCGGGTGGATCATGAGGTCAGGAGTTCAAGACCAGCCTGGCCAACACAGTGAAACCCCGTCTCTACTAAAAGTACATAAATTAGCTGGGCATGGTGGCAGGCGCCTGTAATCCCAGCTACTCAGGAGGCTGAGGCAGGAGAATTGCTTGAACCCGGGAGGCAGAGGTTGCAGTGAGCCGAGATCTCGCTACTGCACTCCAGCCTGGGTGACAGAGTGAGACTCCGTCTCAAAAAAAAAAAAAAAAAGAGGAATGCCCAGGTTCAGATAAACGATTATGGAGACCGAAGTTCTTATTTGCAGAGGAAGCTTTTAGGTACTAGGCTTTAGAGAAAAGAGGTTGTAAAATGTTTCTTACTAGACTTAAAGTCTGTATTGATGTTAATGCTGGAGAGATATCATGAGGCCTGTCTGACCCCCACTTCCCATCATGGCCTGAAACAGTCTCTCGGGTTAAATTTTAAAATAGCCGTGGCTAAGGAGGAAGTACATTCGGATGGTTGAGGGGCCTTAGAATTTCATTTTTGTTTACACATTATATTTGTATGTATTTATGGGGTACATGGGAAATTTTGTTACCTGCATAGAATGTGTAATTGTTACCAGAAAGGGGTCCTGATCCAGACCCCAAGAGAAGGTTCTTGGATCTCATGAAAGAAAGAATTCAGGGCGAGTCCATAGAGTAAAGTGAAAGCAAGTTTATTAAAGGAATAAAGAATGGTTACTCCATAGGCAGGGCTGCTGGTTGCCCATTTTTATGGTTATTTCTTGATGATATGCTAAACAAGAGGTGGATTATTCATGCCTCCCCTTTTTAGACCATATAGGGTAACTTCCTGACGTTGCCATGGCATTTGTAAACTGTCATGGCGCTGGTGGGAGTGTAGCAGTGAGGACGACCAGAGGTCACTCTCGTCACCATCTTGGTTTTGGTGTGTTTTGGCCAGCTTCTTTACTGCAGCCTGTTTTATCAGCAAGGTCTTCATGACCTGTATCTTGTGCCAACCTCCTGTCTCATCCTGTGACTAAGAATGCCTCAACCTCCTGGGAAGGCAGCCCAGTGGGTCTCAGCCTTATTTTACCCAGCCCCTATTCAAGATGGAGTCACTCTGGTTCAAACGCCTCTGACATAATGATCAAGTCAGGCCATTTGGGGTATATCCATCATCTGAGTATTTATCTTTTCTATGTATTGGGTACATTTCAAGTTCTTTCTTCTAGCTATTTTGAAATGTGCAATACATTGTTGTTCACTATACTCTGTGCTTTAAAATCTTGCTGCAGAAGAGATGTGGCTCATAGCTAGAAGCAGGGAGTGGGGGACACAGGGAGACTATTAGAACACTGCAGTTCTCTGGGGAAGATGGTGGACTTGGGAAGAGGCAGTGGGGACAGGTGGGATAGGCTCCCAAGGAAGGAGGATGGACAGATCCAACACATAGGGGAAGGGCCACATCTCCCCTGTAACAGGAGGGTAGGTGGGAATCTGGTTCAGGTGGAGGCAAACTGGTTTGGCAACAGAGGACTGAGTGACTTCCCACTGGGTGGTTTCCGTTTGCTCCAGTAAATAGCAGGCGACGTCATCAGCTGAAAGTGAGAAGTGGTTGGAGATCTGAGAACAGGGAAGACTGAAATAGCTGCAGTGAAGACCCAAGAAGGAGTTTTCCGGGTAGACTTAGCAGGCTTCTCTGGCTGTATCAAGTGACCAGTTTAGGTTTGAGGACATACATTGATAGTGACAACTCTGTGTGCCTGTACATTTTTCTCCAGTCTTATTCAGTCGTTGGGATATTGGTCCAGAAAATGCAGGTGGTTGGTTCAATCCCAGGTTGTGGTTTTGCCATGTGAGTGCAGTGATAGGTCAGTGGTACAAGAGGTAAAACAGTAAGAGGGTGTGGAAGTGATGGAGAACAGACTGTAAGCTGGGGACGAAAAGAAGAGAAATGCATAGCAAAAATAGAGGAGTAGTGTCTGCAGATGGCCAGGATTCAAATCCCAGCTCAACCTGGGATGGAGTCGGATGACTTAGAGCTATTTTTTCTTTAACTCTCTGTGCCTCAGTTTCTTCATCTGTAAAATGGGCAGCACAGTAGCACATAACTCATCATGTTATTACGTGATCGAATTAACAAGGAGTTAATAAATGTAAAGTGCTGAAAACACAGTTACATGCTAGCTCTCATTACTTTGTTGTTGTTATTATTTATTTTTATTTATTTATTTATTTTTGAGACAGAGTCTTGCTCTGTTGCCAGGCTGGAGTGCAGTGACGCGATCTCGGCTCACTGCAACCTCCATCTCCCAGGTTCAAGTGATTCCCCTGCCTCAGCCTCCCAAGTAGCTGGGACTACAGGCACAGCCACCATGTCCGGCTAATTTTTTGTATTTTAGTAGAGACAGGATTTCACCATGTTGGCCAGAATTTTTCTGGTCTTGATCTCCTGACCTCGTGATCCACCTGCCTCGGCCTCCCAAAGTGCTGGGATTACAGGCGTGAGCCACCGCACCTGGCCATTTTTTTTTTTTTTTAGCCATCAAGTAGCCTGAGGGCTTCCCTCCAAATAGGTTTAGTGGGAGTAAGTGAATGAGAGAACCAGAAGAACAGAAGCCTGAGGTCAGAGTGAGATGTCCCAAATGGGGCCAGGATGGAACCATGGGAACAGGGGCTTGCCAGGGAGGGTGAGGGTCAGTCGAGATAGGGAGTTTGGGACATAGCTCAGCACTGACTTGGTAGATGAGTCACAGGCTGGGATCTCCTGTACGCTGTCGCTGTGCTCAGCCAGCATGTCAGACCATCTGCTCCATCTGGTGAAGTGAGCAGTGCTAATATTGCTGGAAAGGGGTCCCGATCCAGAGGCCAAGAGACGGTTCCTGGATCTTGCGCAAGAAAGAATTCAGGGCAAGCCATAGAGTTAAGTGAAAGCAAGTTTATTAAGAAAGTAAAGGGTTAAAAGGATGGCTACTCCATAGGCAGAGCAGTCCCAAAGGCTGCTGGTTGCCCATGTTTATGGTTATTTCTTGATGATATGCTAAACAAGAGGTGAGTTATTCATGAGTTTTCCAGGAAAGGAGTGGGCAATGCCCAGAACCGAGGGTTCCTCCCCTTTTTACACCATAGAGGGTAACTTCCTGACATTGCTGTGGCATTTGTAAACTGTTATGGCATTGGTGGGAGTGTCTTTTAGCATGCTAATGCATTATAATTAGCATATAGTGAGCCTTGAGGAAGACCAGAGGTCACTCTCATCACCATCTTGGTTTTGGTGGATCTTGGCCAGCTTCTTTACCGCAACTGTTTTATCTGCAAGGTCTTTATGACCTGTATCTTGTGCCAACCTCCTATCTCATCCTGTCACTAAGAACACCTAGCCTCCTGGGAATGCAGCCCAGTAGGTCTCAGCTTTATCTTACCCATCCCCTATTCAAGATGGAGTTGCTCTGGTTCAAATCCCTCTGACACTAATATCAAGTCTTAGAGTGGTAGATGAAGAAAAGAGGCTGTCCCTCCCCTGGAAGGTTAGGAAAGGGCTTCTGGAAGAGGGTCCCTGGGCCTTGAAAAGAGGGTGGGATGTGGACGAAAAGGGCATCCCGATACAGACACGGCATGGGTAGTCCTTGAGGTTAGAATGGACGGAGAAGCATGCAGTGAAGTCTAATGTGGATGGCTGGGGAGGTGAGTCTGAGAGTGTAGGTTTATCAAGGTCTAATCAGACAGGTCTTTTGGTATTCTGGTTTTAGCACCTGCCATCCAAAGAGTAGGTGAGGCCTCTAAGTCTGGATTCTGCATACTGCGATCCATGACGTTAGGTAGGTGGACAGTGCTGTTTCATTATGTTAAATGAAACAAGCCAGACACAGAAAGGCAAACATCGCATGGTCTCACTTATTTGTGGGATCTAAGAATTAAAACAATTGAACACATGGACACAGAGAGTAGGATGGTTATCAGAGGCTGGGAAGGGTAGTGGGGGGTTGTGCAGGGGAGATAAGGATGGTTAATGGGTAAAAAATAAAAAATAAAAAGAATGAATAAGACCTACTATTGGATAGCACGACAGGGTGACTATAGTCTATAACAACTCAATTGCATTTTAAGATAACTAAAAGAGTTTAATTAGATTGTTTGTAACACAAAGGATAAATGCTTGAGGGGGGATGAATACCCCATTCTCCATGATGGGATTATTATGCGTTACATGCCTGTGTCAAAACGTCTCGTGTACCCCATAAATATATACAGCTACTGTGTACCCACAAAAATTAACATTTGTTTGAAAAAAAAGGAGTCAACAGATAAAAACCATTTGAGGAGACTTGAATGGCACTTGGTGATTTGATGAGACCCTCTGTCCTGTCTAACTGATCTGCACTCTCTTGTTCGGTGTTCACACTTAAGAGAAATGTAACCATCTGTGGAGGCCCCATCTTCTCCTCCTAGGTGATCTGGGCTGTGCCTACTGGTGTCCCAGAGATGACAGCTGTCCATCATCCTCTTTGGCTGGTGTCTCTATTTTGCCTTCAGAGGTTCTGACACTGAGCGATTGCACGAGGAGGGCTGTGGGGAGGGCTCGCCTCCAGGGAGTGAAGCTGAACTCCCTGCTACCTCTGCCATGGAGATGAATAATTGTGAACGGCCCGGGAAACATTTAAACCCACCTAAACCATAGCACACAACCGAAAGCAGCAAGCAGGGAATGCTTTAAGCTGTTAAATGCTGTGCGAACATGCACAAAATCCTATTATCTACTGTATATATTGAAAAGCTAAAAACAGCAAACTTTCTGAGGTTCATAAAGCATTGTTCTTGGTTGCAACTTGGAGATTTCCATTATTGCTTTGGCTGTTGGAACCTTTAGGTAATCTCTTTCAGAGGGGGGTGAGCTCTGACAAGGCAAAGGAGAGGATGGTTGATTGCGGGAAGATCGCAGCCCATGAATATATCTCCAGCACCATTTGCTCTGAATAAGGATAATCATTTCTCGCAATCTGGAAACCATGTTATTTAGAAAATTAGGGTAAGTGCAAAACAAAGCAAGAGTGGGGAAAAAAACAACGTTCATCTTAGAATATCAGGATGCCGACAAAATGATAAATCATGCACCATTTTTTCCAATAAGATTTGCATGAGTGTGATTTCTCATGGTTACTATTCCACTCCAGTATTGATGGTAAATTTTTAAATCCATCATTTAATATGGTCCCTTTGCAAGAAAGAAAAGATCAAGATATCCACGCAGACTTCTTATTGCTAATGAAAATCAAGCACCTCTTTGGTTCGATTTTCCCTCTTGTAAAACTTGTATTTGCAGGAAGATTTTTTTGTAAGTCTCTTGAAATCTGCATTCTACATTTTTTTTTTAGATGATGGCTGGCCATAGCTCCACACCAGGGGCTCTTGGCTTGGAATCCACTCATCTCCAAGGAGTCTGTGATCATATCTGAGTCTGTAAACTTGGTCAGAAATATAAAATACATGTTGATGTTTCCCTAATCTCTAACTGATATTAGTGTTTGTTTCTTTAATGAATGTAGGCTAGACATTTTTATATTACATTCTAGTTGTTGTGGCTATCTTGAAATACTTAAATATCCTCTTGACTACTCTCAAATTTATAGTAGTTAGTAAACCAAACAGTAGATCTTGTTATTTAAGGTGCTAAAGAAGCACATAGGTTATATCATATTTTAAAAAAACCAATAACTATATTTCAACATAGTTAGTCTTTAGTAATCCTGTGCATTTTGTTTAATTTGATGCACTTAAATACATTATTTTCTGTAATTCCAGCTACTTGAGAGGCTTACCCAGGAGGATCACTTGACCCCAGGAGTTTAAGACCAGCCTGGGCAACATAGCAAGACCCCATCTCAAAAAAAAAAAAACTAAACTAAAAACATTATTCCGAGAAGGGATCCACAGTTTTCACCAGATGCCAAAAGTGTCTGCAGCACAGAGCTTTAAGAATCTTTAGCTGGTTTCTGACAGTTAGATTCCCTAACTGTGATAAAATGCAGATTCTGAGGCCCCTCCCAAAGCCTGCTATATCAGAACCTCAAGGAATGGGATATAGACATGGATGTTTATCAGAAGCTCCCCCAGGGAGCTGGGATGCAAGCAGCCCAGACCAGAGGTCTGTCATTGGGAACCTGTGGCTTAGGTTATCTGTATCCCAATAACCATGATCTCAGGACATAGGGGTTGGTAGACTTGGTCATAGAAAAACAAAGTCTTCTTACACTTCTTGGGGTATATGTGGTGGGAAAGAGAACAGAGGTTAAGCAGACCCACGTTTTGAATGAATTTGGTCACATAACTTAATAGGTGTGTGTCTTGGGCATTGTTGACCTTCATTTCCTCATCTGTAACTCGGGAATTATAGAAGGACCTACCTAATGGGCTTTGTCTTAGTCTGTTTGAGCTGCTATAACAAAATACCGTACACTAGGTAGCTGATAAACAACAGAAATTGATTTCTCACAGTTCTAGAGATTGGGAAGTCCAAGATCAAGGCAGATTCTGTGTCTGGTAAGGGCCCACTTTCTGGCTCCTAGACAGTGCCGTCTTGCAATGTCCTCACGTAGTGGAAGGAGTGAGGGGTGGCTTGTTCCTCTTTCATAAGGGCACCAACCCTATTCACAAGAGCTCCACTCTGAGGACCTAATCACCTCCCAAAGACCCCCATCTCCTCATCCTGTCACCGAGAGGGTCAGGATTTGAACACATGAATTTTGGGGAGACATGGACATTCAATCCATTCCAGGCCTGTTGTAGGAATGAAATAAAATAATGCACAAATGAATATAGAGCACTTTGCAAAGTGTCCAACACACAGTAAGTGTTCAAGTCTTAGCTGCTGTGGATGGTGAGGATGCTGCTGCTGCTGCTGATGATGATGATGTTCTTGATAGTAATGAGCTAGTCTAGTTAGCATTTCTGAGGCTAATGAGGGAACTGTGGTTATGGAATGACAGCAAGATCTGGCTTCCAAAGCTTGGTAGAGAATTTCGGCTGGAGGTTACAATGCAGCTGAGAGGCCCCATTGAAGCTGATCTCAGTGTCCCCAGCATCAGCTGTCCCCCCACTATGGGACAGGGCTGACATGTTACTGGGAACACGAGGCTGTCTGCTGATGCTCATTCAGTGATCCAGAAAGGGTACCATCATTCCTCCCTCTCCCAAATCTTGCATCTCATGAACCAGGCATCTCATTTTCCCAAAGAATCCTTCCCTTACAGCAGGCCAGAAAGCTATTGTCCTAGCCTATGGAAACACCTAAAACACACTGGGGAGATGTGGACACTCAGCCCATTGCAGGCTTGTAAAAATGAAATAAAATAATGCATAAATGAATATAGAGCACTTTGCAAAGTATCTGACACTTAACCAGTGTTTTAAGTGTTTCAATGGGCAAGGACAATAGTTTTCTGAGAGGGGATTTTTAATGGCTCTCCAAAAGCAGGCCCCCAAGGTAAATAACAGAATGTGCTGCAGATTCATGGACAACCAACTCCTTCACATCCTTAGAGATGAAATTCTTTGAAGAAAGATTTTCCTTTACCAAAGCTCTTCTAGATTCTTGACTGGGTGCAGTGACTCACACCTGTAATCCCAGCACTTTGGGAGGTGAGGCAGGTGGATCACTTGAGGTCAGGAATTCAGGACCAACCTGACCAACATGGTGAAATCCCGTCTCTACTAAAAATACAAAATTAGCTGGGTGTGGTGGTGTGCACCTGTAATCCCAGCTACTGGGGAGGCTGAGACACGAGAATCACTTGAACCCAGCAGGCAGAGGTTGCAGTGAGCTGAGATTACACCACTGCACTCCAGCCTGGGCAATGGAGTGAGACTCTGTCTCAAAAAAAAAAATGAACCTCTTCTAGATTCTCTATTCCTTCTATCAGCCAATGCTATCCAGGTTCCCTTGAGGCAGTGCCCTGCCTGTCATTAAATCTACGGAAAATGTATGAAGAACAGGTTTTTCTCTTAACCCCCAGGTGTTCCTCATAAAACCCAGGGGTGGCAAGAAAATACAGGAGCACATCGCATGTTTTGGGACAGTCACACATGATGAACTTCGTCGATAGGATGGATGGCGCTTCAAATTTTCCAGGACAAAGACCTGGGGTGGTCTCTGGAGAAACCCCAAGCCAATGGTTCTTTAAGGTTTCAAGATCAACGCTATTCAGAACTATCAAAACCCAGCCACAGGCCAGGCGAAGAGGCTCACACCTGTAATCCCAGCACTTTGAGAGGCAAGGCAGGTGGATCACCAGAGGTCAGGAGTTTGAGACCAGCCTGGCCAACATGGGGAAACCCTGTCTCTACTAAAAATACAAAACTTAGGTGGGCGTGGTGGCGTGTGCCTGTAATCCCAGCTACTCAGGAGGTTGAGGCAGGAGAATCGCTTGAACCCAGGAGGCGGAGGTTGCAGTGAGCTGAGATTGCACCACTACACTCCAACCTGGGCCACAGAGCGAGACTCTGTCAAAAAACAAAAACAAAAACCCAGCCACACACCCCAGCATTTTTACAAAAGGGAAAAAGGGATGCATTCAAGATAATACAATGACATTCCTATGTTTTCTCTGAGCCAGAGAGCAGAGAAACATTGTGGCTAAGGTGGCTTTCTTTCTGATCAAGGTTTCTGTGAATGGGCAGTGTCCACACATGAATTCTGCCTAAAGGCTCTGTGGGAGCCAGGCTGCGAGCTGATTGCAGCAGCAGAAGGCAGCAGGTAGGAGATGACATTTTAGAATTGTTCAAACAGACCCCAGGCCTAGAAGATATGCCAGACACGGTGTTAGGAGAGAAAGAACAAAGCGACACCAGAAACAATCGTTTAAAAATTTAAAAGACCATTTCCCTTTATCAACTCCACAGCTGGCTACCATTCCAGTAAATTTCTAAAACATGAAACTGGCCCCAGCAGGGCAGAGAAGTGAATGGGATGGGGCAGGCCAGTGACATTTACAATCTCCAGGTGCGATATCCAGCTTTCCTGGAAGCTGAAAAATGAATTGTTTTCTGGGAGAGAAACAGAAATAAAAGTATTGGTTGGTCATAACCTCGGGGAAGCCTCTTGTTTCTGGATACCTAATATTTATAAAAGAATAGGGTTCCTGTGTGCATTTTAAAACTCTGGGCTGGGAGCAGTGGCTCCTTTCTGTAATCCCAGCACTTTGAGAAGCCAATTCATGAGGACAGCTTGAGACTGGAGTTTGAGACCAGCCCGGGCAACATAGTGACATACCGATTCCACAGAAAAGAAAAATAGAGGCTGGGCACGGTGGCTCACACCTGTAATCCCAGCACTTTGGAAGGTCAAGGTGAGCGGATCACAAGGTCAGGAGATTGAGACCAGCCTGGTCAACACGGTGAAACCCCATCTCTACTAAAAATACAAAAATTAGCTTGGTATGGTGGCATGCGCCTGGAATCCAAGCTACTTGGGAGGCTGAGGCAGGAGAATTGCTCGGGAGGCCAAGGTTGCAGTGAGCCAAGATCTCACCACTGCACTCCAGCCTGGCGACAGAGCGAGACTCCATCTCAAAAAAAAAAAAAAAAAAAAAACAAAAGAAAAAAAAAAGAAGAGAAAGAAAGAAAAGAAAAAAGAAAAGAAAAATCAGCCAGGCATGGTGGTGCACACCTGTAGCCCTAGCTACTTGGGAGGCTGAGACAGGAGGATTGCTTAAGCCCAGGAGTTCAAGGCTGCAGTGAGCTAGGATTGTGCCACTGCTCTCCAGCCTGGGTGACAGAGCAGAGACCCTGTGTCTCTAAATAATAATAATAATAAAGTAAGTAAAATTCTACACATTACAAGTCAAAATAGCAGATGAAGAGTGCTGGGGGCAAGTCACTCTGGCTCCTGGAACAAGCAAACCTCCAAATCTCAGTGGCTTAGTATGGTAAAAATATGTTCCATGGTTGGCAGGTAGCCTTCCTGGTGGTCATTCAGTGACTTTAGCTTCTTTAACACTGTGGCTCCTCCATCATCAACAGGTGGCTTCCAAGGTCTCCATGCAGTGGGAAAAAAGAGGATGGAGAATGCACACTGGCTTTTCAACCATGGCAGGGTTGTGCTTTACTTAGACCCACATTTACTACTGAGAACAAATCTTACAGCCACATCTGTCTGCAGAAAAGGCTGGACTGGGTGTACTCAGGAGGCTCCTGGCCTTTGCCTGTAAGAATTAGGAGGCGCCAAAGCTGACACCAACTTTCTCCAGGTGTTATCATAAGTGGATTAGGTCTGT
Organism: Homo sapiens; assembly: GCF_000001405.40. NCBI lineage: Eukaryota > Metazoa > Chordata > Mammalia > Primates > Hominidae > Homo > Homo sapiens. The sequence continues at coordinate 71,645,233 of NC_000007.14, forward strand.
CCACAGATGGTGATATGGTTCGGTTCTATGTTGCCACTCAAATTTCATCTCGAATTGTAATACCCACATGTCATGGGAGGGACCTGGTGTGAGGTGATTGGATCATGGGGCCAGTTTCCCCCATGTTGTTATTGTGATAGTGAGTGAGTTCTCACAAGATCTGATGGTTTTATAAGTGTTTGACAGTTCCTCCTACACACCCTCTCTCTCTCCTGCTGCCTTGTGAAGAAGTGCCTGCTTCCCTTTCCGCCATGATTGTAAGTTTCCTGAGGCTTCCCCAGCCATGCAGAACTCTGAGTCACTTAAACCTCTTTCCTTTATAAATTACCCAGTCTTGGGTAGTATCTTTATAGCAGTGTGAAAATGAACTATTACAGATGGTTATAGGCCCAAGAAGAGTATCACTGGCTTTCTGTTCTGGGGAACAAAATAGAAGTTTCCATTCAATAAAAGGGACTGAGATTTGTCATTTCTTCAGTGTATAAGTACCTCCTCCACTTCTAGGATCCTCTCCTGATCAAAGCCCTAATGTTTACATTTAAAAACCTGAAGAGGAGAAAACCTGACTTCAGTTGTGAAGTCAGCTGGTGGAGTAATTTACCAATTGGCAAATATCAAGCCTGCAGGCCCAATTTCACATAGACGGGTCATGTCATGGTTGTGAATGTCATTTTGTGCCTAGGCCTAAGTGAAATGGGATCTGTATTTGTCTTTCCCTGGCTTTAAATTATCTGGTATCACCAGCAGCACTGACTGGCACCATGTCCTGGAATGTCTGATCTTTTGATGTGGCAATATCTCCTCCCCTAAGGCCACCTCCCTCCCCAGGTTCCATCAGTCCATGACTAGACTTGGCATTTTGCCTCCAAGTTCCTAGGCTCTGATACACCATCGTGGAACAGAGAACAGCATTTCTGCCCCTAACCTTACTGACGTTTTAACACCCATTTCAGAAACCCCGGATTTCCTGACTTCCATAGCTTCTAACCCAGCAGCTAGTCCCACACTTTTAAAAATTTAATTGATTTTATTTGCAGTTTATGCAAAAAGAAAAGGATGGGATGGAGCTCCAAGAAGGGTTCTGAGAACATTCTATGTTGAAGTAAGTAAGCAAAGGATAACCCAGCTCAGCATGGCAGGACCAGGGCTGTTCCTGGAGCACCAGCAGCCCCAGCCACAGGCCACCACCTTCCTCTGGGACTCAGCGTGTTTCTATCTCATGAGTAGAATGGAGAGTGGATTCACTCTGTTTAAATTTAATTTATAGCTATTTTCTCACTCTCTATTCTCTTTGCCAAGCCTGAGAATGGAGTGCATGTTAGTTTATCAGATGTAGTTCCTTGCATGCATAAGTTCACAGAGGAATCACATGGGTCAGACCCCTCATCTTGGCTGTAACAAAAGCAAGTGAGAGGCTGAACCCTCCTATGCTTGGACCATGCTTCTTTATGAGTTGCCTCCTGCCACAGACAGTATGTTTGGTGGCTTGGTCCCAAAAGGGGCATCCAAGTTTCCTTTTTTTTTTTTTTTTTGAGATAGAGTCTCGCTCTGTCACCCAGGCTGGAGTGCAGTGGTGCTATCTCAGCTCACTGCAAGTTCTGCCTCCCAGGTTCATGCCATTCTCCTGCCTCACCCTCCTGAGTAGCTGGGACTACAGGTGCCCGCCACCACACCCAGCTAATTTTTTGTATTTTTAGTAGAGATGGGGTTTCACCGTGTTAGCCAGGATGGTCTTGATCTCCTGACCTCATGATCCACCCACCTCAGCCTCCGAAAGTGCTGGGATTACAGGCTTGAGCCACCGCCCCTGGCCCAATTTTGCTATTTTTATTTATTTTATTTTATTTTTTGAGACAGAGTCTCGCTCTGTTACCCAGGCTGGAGTGCAGTGGTGCGATCTTGGCTGACTGCAACCTCCACCTCCCAGGTTCAAGTGATTCTCCTGCCTCAGCCTCCTAAGTACTGGGATTACAGGTGCCCACCACTGTGCCCAGCTATTTTTTTTTTTGTATTTTTAGTAGAGATGGGATTTCACCATGTTGGCCAGGCTGGTCTCAAACTCCTGACTTCAAGTGATCTGCCTGCCTCGGCCTCCCAAATCACTGGGACCTGAGGCATAAGCCACCATGCCCAGCCCAAATCTGCTATTTTTAAACAACGACAGGGATGGGGAGACAAGTTGGAGGCCTGAGAGCCTGCCCAGTTCCTCCTGCTCCTACAGGAACTGGAGAGGAGTGTGAGTGACAGCTTCTCCTGTCCTCTGTTGATACCCTCCATTTTCAAGCCCCAGTGACCCTAACTACTGGCACTGAGCAGGCAGGCTTTCAGGCAGAGGCCCCTCCAGGCCCTGGAAGCCCATGGCTCTGTTTTCTGCAAGCCTCTTACCTCTACCATTGCTTCTGTGTGCTGGAGTCCATGCTCTGTCCACTGTTCCTAGGGATGTCTGTGGCCATGAACACATCCCCATGGACCTCTGAGCAGTGCCCAGTAATCATACACATTCTCCAAGCCTCTGTGAACCCACTGACACCACCTGACAGCAGTTCCACTCAAGGAAATCCTTCAGCTTGCTCTGCTTCCAGCCACTTAGGCCAGGCTGCAGTCCAGGTGTCTGGGGGGCCGTCTAGTGAGACAACAAGAGAGTCCTCACAGCCAGGCAGGGCAGGAAGCGGCCTGGCCCACCAACAGCCCACACCCATTGCGGGCTGTGCAACAGGGAAAAACAGAATGTGGACAGAGGGACACACAGTGAGCCTGTAACCCCTATGCCAACATCAGCAGCTACCACTTCCTCACTTCCTCTGGGTCCTCACAGTCATTATCTCCAACCTGCCCCTCCCATGGGCCCACACAGAGGTGGTGGCACCGCTACCACTCAGGAAACAGTTCACTTCACAGCTACACAGCTATTCTCTTGGCTAGTAAATAATAACTACTTTGGTTTTTCTCAGCATTTACTATCATGTTAATGAGTGTTCCATACATTATCTCATATTACCTTCACAACAACCCTCAGATCAGCTGCTGTCATGAGCTACTTTTTTTTTTTTTTTTAAGAGACAAAGTCTCACTCTGTTGCCCAGGCTGGAGTACAGTGGCTCAATCACAGCTCACCGCAGCCTGGAACTCCTGGGATCAAACAATTCTCCCGCGTCAGCCTCCTGAGTAGCTGGGACTACTTGTGCATGCCACCATGCCCAGATAACGTTTTTAAAAAGATTTTTGTAGAGACGGGGTCTTGTTATGTTGCCCAGGCTGGTCTTAAACCCCTGACCTCAAGTGATCCTCCCTTGGCCTCCCAAAGTACTGGGATGACAGGCATGAGCCACTATGCTTGGTCCACTCCTTTTTTAAGTTGAAAATAATTTTTATTTATTTATTTTTCAGAGAGATGGGATCTTGCTATGTTGCCCAGGCCGGTCTTGAACTCTCGGTCTCAAGTGATCCTCCTGCCTCAGCCTCCCAAAACACTGGGATTACAGGCATAAGCCACCAAGCCTGGCCCTCAGCTGCGTTTTATGGCTAAGGAAACTGAAGATCAGGCATAAAAGTAGCTAGGCAACCGTGAGACCTAGCCTCAATTGTGGGCAACTCAGTAGTAATTGGCAATGACTTTGATTTCAACTCAACCAAGAGCCAGGATTTGAACCCAGTGCTGTGACTCCAGGACTATCTTTCTGTAATGTCATGCCATACAATGAAATAACAAAAGGGTTTGTGGAAAGCATGAAGCCTTATGGGCCCCACATTGGTGCCCAGTTCTAGGTGATGTCTTTTAGGGTCCTCTTCATCCTCTTCCTCCCATCTGCAGGGATGGTTCTGCCCCCATTACCCAGCTGTCACCACTGGATCTCTCTCCATTTGCCAGCCCACCTGCCCTGACCTTGAGTCCTAATCTCAGGCCCTTGGGCTTGGTGGCTTGCTGCAAGGTGCTTCTCAAGCTCTGCCGACAGTTGAGAGCTCTGTCCTGGCCCAGATCTCATGTTTGTGCACCAGATCCAAGTTTTGTGACCTTGAGTGAGGGATTCTCACATCTCATGGGCCATTTTTTAGGACCACCAGTTTCAATTTTCCATTGTGCCATAACACACCAATACACCAAAACAGCAGGAGTTGCAGCAGAGAAAGATCATTGGTCAGCCAAATGAGGAGATGGGAGGAAACCTAAAATCTGCCTCCTCAAAAGGTTTGGGATGGAGTTTTCAGGGGGTTTTTAAGAGGATGGGTGATTGGCTAAAGTGTGGGGATTCCTGACTGGTTGAGAAGCAAGAGGATGAAGTCCTGGGACAGGAAGATGAAGAAACTGTATGCCTGTCCTGAGTCAGTTCCTTGGTGGGGGTCTTCAGATTGGTTAGCCATTCTGCTGGAATTCAGGATTAAACACACACACACACACACACACACACACACACATACACACCTTAAGCAATTATTGGGTTAAAAGGTCCAGTGTTAGAGATTTTATCTATAGGAACAATGAGGGAGCAGGTAGTCAGTGTGCTACGTGACCCTTGAATAGTTAGCAACTGCAGGGAAGTGGATTAAAGTGCACCTGTGTACCCTGATCAATGTCTAACCATAATTCTGCCTAAAGCCTGGCTTGTAATTCTCGTTAACCCTATGAGGGCAATTTCAGCCTCCTTCTGGCATCTCCTGAGTAATAGAGAAGAGTTCAGGAAGTTGCCAGTCAAGCTTCTTTCCAAGGGGTATCTCAGGCATGCCTGGCTGGCTGCATCATAAAGAACAGGAAGTCCATATTAGATGGTGGCCAATGTGCAGATGTGCAGTTTAGTGTGGCAGAGCCATGCTGGCTGAGCAGTGCTGACTTCTCCCAAGTCCTAGCCCCAAACTCTAGACAACCCAGTACCACTGTCCTTTCTGCAGACTTATGGGACCAGTAATTGGGAATGCCTTTTATTTTGCCTTTACCAAGTTGAGTTCAGTTAGGGAATCTGAGTGCCAGAGAGAGTGATCACAAGCTTTGCTGGGCTTTTGGGCCATATGACATCAATCATGCTATTTATTTATTTTGAGATGGAGTCTCACTCACTCTGTCGCCGAGGCTGGAGCACAGTGGCATGATCTCTCTTCACTGCAACCTCCACCTTCTGGGTTCAAGTGATTCTCCTGCTTCAGCCTTCTGAGTAGCTGGGACTACAGGCATGCAACACCACACCCAGTTAATTTTTGTATTTTAGTAGAGACAAGGTTTTGTCATGTTGCTTAGGCTGGTCTCAAACTCCTAGCCTCCCAAAGTGCTGGGATTACAGGTGTGAGCCCAATTATGGGATTACAGGTGCCTGGCCCAATTATGCTCTTTAAAGGATGTGGACAGACCCGTCCTCTTCAGATCACTGTATGCAGTCTGAAAGCTCTGGCCCTTTGGTGTTGAAGACACAGAATTAAATATAATTCACTATTCTTTTATAGTTAAACATAGCTTATCTATAATTGTGCCCTACCAACTCCTTTAATCCCAGGCAAAATGCAAAGAAATGACAGTAGAAGGATGGAGGACATGCATGGATAAGGGAGTGAATACAGTGTTTTCACCCTCCCTGCTCTGCCAGCTTCTACACCAAAGGTTCTAAAGTCATTTTCAATACTTTCCTGGCATTCTATTTTTAAGCTCTGAGGAAAGAATAAAGGCTATGAGCCTGGCAGTGACATCCATGTCTAAATTATCTTTATACCCCTGGCAGCGTTTAGCTTGGAGCTCTTAGTAAACATGTAGATAGCACTGGATTGAATAACTAAGGAAGGTAAATTGTTAGAAGTTAAAGGCATCAGGCTGGGTGCTGGGAATACCAAGAATAATAAAATGCTTAATACTTACTTAGTTGAAGCTGTTGTAGAGAGAGGACTAATGGACCAGTGTTTGAACTGTCAGAGTCGGGAGGACAGAAATAGAGTGAGAGCTAGTAGATGTGAAGTAGTGGGTGGTAGGGAAGAGGGAATGCAGGAGAGGAGAGGAAGGGATGGGAGCACAAAAAAAAAAAAAAAAAAAAAGGAAGGGAGGTGGGGAGAATAGGACAAAGCCAATCTAGACATGCCTGATCCAGGCTACTTTTTAGGCTTTTTTTTTTTTTGAGATGGAGTCTTCCTCTGTCGCCAGGCTAGAGTACAGTGGTGCGATCTCGGCTCACTGCAACCTCTGCCTCCCAGGTTTAAGCAATTCTCCTGCCTCAGACTCCTGGGTAGCTGGGACTACAGGTGTGTGCCACCACACCCAGCTAATTTTTTGTATTTTTAGTAGACACGGGGTTTCACCATGTTGGCCAGGATGGTCTCCATCTCTTGACCTCATGATCCACCTGCCTCGGCCTCCCGAAAGTGCTGGGATTATAGGCGTGAGCCACTGCACCCAGCCTTTTAGCCAATTTTCTAACATCAAAGCCCTGGTCCTCTATGACAGTCACAAGCTATCTATCAGGCTGGGTCATAAGACTGGGATGGATTTTGTTTTCTTTTTATTAATTATTATTTTTATTTCTTTAGAGACAGGTTGTTACTCTGTTGCCCAGGCTGGAGCGCAGTAGCACCATCATAGCTCACTGCAGCTTCAGTCCCCGGGGTTCAAGTGATCCTCCTACCTCAACCACCTGAGTTGCTGTGACTGCAAGCATGCGCATCCATGCCCAGCTAATTTTTAAATGTTTTCTTATAGATGGTTGTCCAGGCTGGTCTTGAACTCCTGGCCTCAAGCAATCCCCCCCAGCTCGGCCTCCCAAAGCATTGGGATTACAGGCATTAGCCACCGTGCCCAGCCTGGGTTGAATTTTAAAATGGTGAAAATAAACCCATATTATTCTTTTCAGTACATAGTAACAGCAACAAAAATCAAAAGAAAAGAAAAAAGTCCTCCCAGCCCTACTTCTGGGCTCTATAGATCAAGCTGCTTTCAATCTGCATTTCTTGACTTCTCTGAACTGCTCATCACAAAACACTTCATCTTAATTCCTCTTGCCAGTCAATGACTTGCATTGACTGGCAAGAGGATCCACGTATTTAGAAGTTCTTACCACCGCGGTACTTAAATTGAGATATGTCTTGAGGTCCATATTTGTCAATCCCATTTCTGAGAAGCAGTCATAAATAAAGCAGAAGATTGAAATTGAATTTTTTAAAAGGACTTTAGGAGGAAAGCCATTATGCAACCGTCCCGTTTAGTGAAAGAGAATGTTGATTTAAACTGGGAAAAGTCAGCTCACCATCTCTAGCATGGCAGAGAGAAACGCTGAGGAAAATTCTCCCTATTTTCAGGAGTAGTAGCTTGCTCCTCTGGGAAGGAGGTTACCAGAAAGGCCCGCAAATGATTGGTAGGATGCGAGTAACAAATTAAAATATTCTCTTTGCCAGAAACCTGTGTTGTTGAGAATCAGACAAAGGGCTAAAATTTGCCTGCGCTTGGATTACCAGATGGTGTTATTTACGTAATTTATGCGTTAAATTTCCTCCAGTGTTGCTTTTAACAATGTAAATGGATTTAAATGGCTTCCTAAGTGAATTCCTTTTGGTAAAAAGAAGAATTCCTGTCAGTAGGAAGGAAGACATCAGAGACACATGCTCCAGAGGTGGTGGAACATCACTCTCTATGTTACAGAACCCGCCATAGCTCGCCCATCTGGCTCTGCAAACCCAAACACTGACATTGCAATTGCAGCGAGAGAAAGTGAGGCAGTTATTGCAGGGCGCCCAGCAAGGAGAATCGGGCAGCTCATGCTTAAGACCTGAACTCCCTGATGGCTGGTAGGGAAGGGTTTTTGTTTGTTTGTTTGTGTTTGTTTTTGTTTTTGTTTTTTTTGACAGAGTCTTGCTCTGTTGCCAGGCTGGAGTGCAGTGGCACAATCTCGGCTCACTGCAACCTCTGCTTCCCGGGTTCAAACAATTCTCCTGCCTCAGCCTCCCAAGTAGCTGGGACTACAGGCACCTGCCACCACACCCAGCTAATTTTTGTATTTTTAGTAGAGACGGGGTTTTACCATGTTGGCCAGGTTGGTCTCAATCTCTTGACCTCGTGATCCACCTGCCTCAGCCTCCCAAAGTGCTGGGATTACAGGCATGAGTCAACGCACCCGGCCCTAGGTAAGGGTTTTTAAAGGCAGAGAGGCAGAGGTTACAGGCAAAGTCAGAAATTGACACATGGAAGCTGTACATTGTTTCGACCTATAAAAGTAGGACTTTTTTTTTTTTTAAGACTTTCTCTCTTGTTGCCCAGGCTGCAGTGCAATGGTGTAATCTCAGCTTATTGCAGCCTCTGCCTCCCAGGTTCAAGCAATTCTCCTGCCTCACTTTCCTGAGTAGCTGGGACTATAGGCATGTGCCACCACACCTGGCTAATTTTTTGTATTTTTAGTAGAGACAGGGTTTCGCCATGTTGGCCAGGCTGGTCTCGAACTCCTGACCTCAGGTGATCCACCTGCCTTGGCCTCCCAAAGTGCTGGGATTACAGACATGAGCCACCACGCCCAGCCAAAAAGTAGGACATCTTGAAGCAGGGCCCAAAGGTCTAAGGTGGAGTCAAAGATTTTCTGATTTGCGATTGCTCCAGGATGCAAAGCTCTGTGTAAAAATCTGAGGTCAGCAGAAAAGAACATTAGTGCTCCCTCATGGACATGACCTCCTCCAGACCCCTTGGGAAGAAATTTAGAAACAAGCACTGTGGTCAGAGTTCAGTCCACAGTTCCCCCTTATCTGAGAGTCTACCTGCCAGCAAATCCCTTGAGTGGGGTCTGAGTTTCTGAAAAACAGCTCAAGAACATATGCTAAGATGTTATCTTATTTTTTTTATTTTTTATTTTTGAAATGGAATCTGGCTCTTCACCCAGGCTGGAGTGCAATGGCACAATCTAGGCTCATTGCAGCCTCCACCTCCTGAGTTCAAGCTATTCTCCTGCCTCAGCCTTCTGATTAGCTGGGATTACAAGCACCTGCCACCACGCCCAGCTAATTTTTTGTATTTTTAGTAGAGACGGGGTTTCACCGTGTTAGCCAGGATGGTCTCCATCTCCTGACGTGATCCGCCCGCCTCCAGCCTTGTGATCGGCAACCGAAAGTGCTGGAATTACAGGCATGAGCCACTGCGCCCGGCCGGCTGGAGGGTTTTATGGGAGAGGGATATGGGGAAACTGTGTAGAGGTTGGACTCAAGAAGCAACTGAGGACGGCAGATAATCTGGGCACCAGCAAGAGTCCTAAGTGATTGGGAACTTCTTCGTCCTTGGTTAGATCCCAATGTTCCTGTAAACCTTTAACAAAACATAGTGGTGTACCTACTTCCCCTGTAATCCCAGAGTTAGTTTCAAAACTATGTGATTGCTGCTTTGCATTGTATATCAGTGCTCTCAAATTATCCTAACTTGCATGCAACAATGAGTAAATTCCCCTTAAACAAAAATGGACTAGTTATGTTAATTTCTTGTTGTTTCACTGTTACGTTAAGAGACAGTGGTGAAATCTTTAACTTCAGGTATCTATGTGCCTATGCTTTCAGGAAGAAAGCTTCTGAAAATAGATCACAGGCTTTCACCGGGAGGGTTTTATTTTATATTTTATTTTATTGCATTATTTTATTTTGAGATGGAGTCTTGCTTGTCGCCCAGACTAGAAAGCAGTGGCACGATCTCGGCTCACTGCAACCTCCACCTCCTGGGTTCGAGCGATTCGTCTGCCTCAGCCTCCCGAGTAGCTGGGATTACAGGCACCTGCCGCCACGCCCAGCTAGTTTTTTGTATTTTTAGTAGAGAAGGGGTTTCACTATGTTGGCCAGGCTGGTCTCAAACTTCTGACCTCAGGTGATCCGCCCACCTCAGCCCCCGAAAGTGCTGCTAGAATTACAGGCGTGAGACACCATGCTCAGCCTACAAAATATTCAAAAATTAGGCGTAGTAGTGTTCAGCTGTGGTCCCAGCTACTCGGGAGGCTGGGGCAGGAGGAGTGCTTGAGCCCAGGAGTTTGAGGTTACCATGAGCTACAGTCATGCCACTGCACTCGAGCCTGGGAGACAGAGTGAGATCTTGTCTCTCAAAAAAAGAATCAAAGAAAAAGATTCAAAAAACTTTCTGCTACCTGGAAGGGAATTTTGGACAGATTAAAAGAAGTATTGATATACCCAGCAGTAGTTCAGATCTGATCGGGTAGTGTGTCTTCCATGATCTAGAAAACATTCCTGAATTCATTACTTGGGGAATTCCTGGCAGTCTCCAGATGATTCCTCAAGAAAGTCAACACCGGGGTAGGCAGCCTCTGCGGTCTGCTGTTTTCTGTTAGCAGAGGCCATAGTTCTGCAGACTGGGCCATGGTATCTTGAGATGCCAGAGCTGAAAGAAACCTCAGAGATAGCCCCCTGTCATTTACAGATGAGAAAATAGTTTCCGGGGGAAGAATGCATGTGCCTGACTTCTGGGAGAAATGGAGCCAGTGGCCTTTCCCACTAGAGAGTAAAATGATTGATCTTTCTTGGGTCTATCTCAGCTCTTGCTAGAGAACATCTCCCCACTGATTCCAGGCTAGGCTGGGCTGGCTGATGTTGACATACTGTAGGGTAGATTTGCACCAGAAGGGGTGCCAGGGAACAGCATTCTTAGAAGCATCAGGGTGGTTCTGGGTTTGTGGGAAGAGCGTTTGGGAAGAGACTCAAATCTAGCTCGTGTTGAGTTCTATAAGGGCCCTTGGTTGACTGACTTTAACTTTCTCTGCCTGGCATATTATATCTTCTAGTCTATTTCCTTTTCCTTTCTTTAATTTGTTCCTCTTTTCCCACCTCCTAGGCCCCCTCTCCAGACAATTTCGCTGCTTACTCCCTCCAGCCCCTCTCCATTCATTAATGTATGTACACATTCACTCATTGATTAAGAACTCAGAACTCTTTGGGTACTTACTTATGTTCCAGGCACAGTGCTGGGCAGTAGGGACACAGGATGACACAGTCTGTCCTCATTGAGGTAACAGCCTAGTAAAGAAGGGAGAAAGTAATTTTTTTTGCACGCCCACATGCTGGCAGGATCATGCAATTACAACCGTGATAAGGGCTATGCTAGCATGTTATAGGGAACTCTGTTTTTATCTGGGGCTTCCTTGAGTAAGCACTGATGGAGCTGAAAGCCAAAGTTTGATTAGGAGTTAACTAGGCAGATGGGGGAGGAGTGTCCCGGGCAGGAATGGGGCACAGGGGAGGACAAAAGGAAACATCATGGGATTGAGGGGAGCTGCAGAGATGAGGCTGCAGGGGGAGGCTTTGAAGACCACACGAAGATTGAGGATTTATTTTCAGAGTGGTCGGTGGGAGCCATCGAAGTTTGCAGGGCCGTGGAATGATCAGTTCCACCCTGGCTGCTGAGCGGAGGTCAGACTGAATGGAGTTGGATTCGGAAGTGGTGGCTGTGGTCCAGGTGGGAGATGGTCGTAGCTTGCACCAAGGTGATGAGGGAGGAGAAAATGATCTGGTGGTCATAGTGGATGTGAAAGGAAGTGGATGCAGTTGAGCTGTAGTGAAGAGGCATCATCTGCAGGACTTGGTGATGGATTGGCTGGCGCCTAGGGAGGAAGTGGTGAGGATGGTGCCTGGCTTTCTTTCTGGTATATGTAGCTTCCTTGCTCAATTTGAGTGACGGAGGTCGTGGGGAGAGAGAACACACTGTCTTTCTGCTCCGGGCCACCTGCTATAATAGCATGCAAGCTCTTTCAAGAGAGAGCTGCCCCCTGTTAGTGCCTTGAAGATCCCTGGAAAAGTGGCTTTCACATAATCAGGGCACCCAGGGTTCTCAATTTAATGGCACAATTGAAAACTCTCACCAGAATATTTTGGATCCAAACCTACTTATGCCCGAATGATCCTTCCTGCTGCTTTTGAGAAACTCCTGGCCTCTAAAAGTCACAGGACAAGACCAGACCTTGAATATTAGAATTCTATGACAAGGTGAGAACAGCTGCCTCACTGTTAGGGCAGTAGATTCCAAAGTGGGGTACACAAGATGATGTGGACCATTAGAGGGACAAGAGGAATATATTAGCACTCATATTCTAATGTCATTTTTGGATTTCTATATATCTAAATTTTTCATGTGTAAAATATATTAGCATAGTAGTATGTGCATGTACTGAAAAATAAATAAAGTAAATATATTGGAGAAGGTATGCTTTACATTTTTAAACATCAAAAATGTTTGGAGCCCATAGCCTGTGAGCATAGTGAATATAAATGAACCAGTCATGTTGGCTTTGATGGCTTGGCCTCCTCTTTCCTCCCTGGCTGCCTAGGCTCCTCAGTGACAGGTGCCCAGGGGAGCAGGTGGCCTGGGCAGTACCTGGCACCCTGCATCCTCATTTGTTGCCTGTGGCTCTTCCGGGGTCCCTGAAGCTACTATCCAGCTGTCCAGGCTGTGGCAGAGCACAGCCCTTGCTTAAATTCTTTCAGCTTCTGTAAAATTGAGTCATCAGATCACAACCCTGGAAATGATATTAGAAGCCTTCTAAGCTGGTGGCTCTCAAATGTGGCTACACATCTCAATCCCATGGGGGGCCTTTTTACATACACCCAGGTGCCTCAACTTCATCCCTGGGGAATGTGATTTATAGGGCTGGGGTGGGATCCAGGTGTTTGCAATTTTATTTCATTTTATGGATGGATGGATGGATGGATGGATGGATGGATGGATGGATGGATGGATGGATGGGTGGATGGATGGATGGATTGACAGGGTCTTGCTCTGTCATCCAGGCTGGAGTGCGGTGGCATCATCATAGCTCACCGCAGCCTTGAATTCATGGGCTCAAGTGATCCTCCTGTCTCAGCCTCCTGAGTAGATGAGACCACCGCCATGTGCCACCACACCTGGCTAATTATTTAATTTTCTTTTGTAGAGGCTGGTCTCGCCATGTTGCCCAGGCTGGTCTTGAACTCCTGGCCTCAAGGAATCCTGCTGCCTCAGCCTCCCAAATTGCTGGGATTCCAGTCATATGCCACTGCGCTGGGCCTAGTGAAAGTGTTTAGTAAATGATGAAGTTGAATGTATGAATGAAACATGTATCAAAAGATGTAACTAAACCAACGTGCCACTGAAGACTCTCCAAAATGATGAAAATCAATCCCCATTGACATTCATCTCCCATAGTGTGTCTTCTTCCAGGACATCAGCTGTCAGGAAGCAGAACAATGTGTCCTGCCTAAGACTTCCCAGACCCCAGAGTCTTGTGATGGTTTCTTTTGCCTCATCCCTTCCATATTCCAGAGGCCTGGGTAGTTTAGGGCAGGCTTTTTGCCCCAATGAATGAAGCTTCAGTATATCCAGTGGCTAGGGGTCATTCATAACCCTCCTTCTCCTTCCAAGCCATATCCAATCTATTGTTGATGATTTTGCCTATTAAAAATCCCTCGGCCAGGTGCGGTGGCTCACACCTGTAATCCCAGCACTTTGGGAGGCTGAGGCAGGTGGATCACTTAAGGTCAGGAGTTCAAGACCGGTCTGGCCAACATGGCAAAACCCCATCTCTACTAAAAATACAACAATTAGCCGTCCACGGTGGCACACGCCTGTCATCCCAACTACTTGGGAGGCTGAGGCAGGAAAATAGTTTGAATCTGGGAGGCGGAGGTTGCGGTGAGCCAAGATCATGCCACTGCCCTCCAGCCTGGGTGACAGAGCAAGACTCTGTCTCAAAAAAAAAAAAATCCCTCAAATCTATCTACATCTCTATTTTGTTGCTGTCACTAAAGCTATCAGCTCTTCTTCCCTGCAAAATAGCAAAGCATTCTTGTTTTCTCCATCTCCCCTCTTCATGCTGCCAGTCTTTTCCCCACAGTTCAGCCAGAGTGATCTTTTCAAACCCAAATTCTTCAGTGGCTTCTCATTTACAACAAAGATCAATTTCTTTTTAACATGACCTCCAGGTAATTGCCTGGTGTGGACCCTGCCTACCTCTCCAATATTTTCCACTATTCTCCTCTCTTCCAGCCCTACTTTCTGAATCCATTTTCTACGTTCCAGCCACATGGCTATTCTTTCAGCTCTTTGAATATCCTCTATGTATCACTTATGTATTGCAGTGTAAGCCCAAATTTAGTGGCCTAAATAACAATTGATTGGATTAAGATTCTGAAGTTTGGAAGTCTGGGCTGCGGTCAGCCAGGTGGTTCTTCTGCTCCACATGGCCCTGGCTATGCTTATGCACACACTGGCATTCCACTGATGGGTTGTCTTGGGGGTGTACAGTCTCACATGGCCTCACTCCCATGCCTTAGTCTTCAGCCATGATATCTGGAATAGCTGGGCCTCTATTGCTCCATTGTCTTTTATCCTCAGCTTCCTTACAGCCTGACGGGCTCAGAATTCCAAGAGGAAGAAAGTGCAAGCCGCAAAGTCTCTAAGGCCTAGTCCTGGGTTGTGTGAGACATCACTTCTGCATTCTGTTAATCAGTGCAAGTCATAAAATCAGCCCAGATTCAAGGAGAGGGGAAATAGGTTCAGCCTTTTTATAGGAAGAGCAAATAAGTCACATTGCCAAGGAGCATGGGTGGAATTGTTGCTGCCATCTTTGAATACAGTCCAGCACACCCTGCTCTCTCCTTCACAAGGTCATTGCAACTGTGCTGGCTGCCCCTGGGCTTGGGACTGTTGCCCACTTCCTCTACTCAGCTCAGCCTAGCCCTTCAGACTTCACCTTAGTATCCTTTCCTGGGGGATGCTTTCTCTGAGCCCACTGGCCACATCCTCGTGTTACACGCTAGATTTTTAGCCCTGTGTTGTTTTCCCTCATGGAAAAGCTCCCTTTGTGATGGTGCATTTCTGCCTGTGATTCTTTGATTAATGCATTTCCCTTGCTAGATTATCCACTTCATGACAGCAAGGACCTTGTCTACTAGCACCTCTCATTTCATCCCCCTGCCCAGCCCAGTAGGCCCTGAATGGATCATTTTTTGATGAATAAATAAATGGATGAGCGTCTGTTTCTGGAGTCACCACACCTCCTGGAGGCCCATATCCATTTAAGCAGGGCCACTTCCCCACTTCCCTAGCAAAGGGTCACCAAGAACCCTGCGGTGGGTTCTTTGCCTCCAGGACTGGTCCCAGAGCTTGGAGCGTGCCCTCCTCCTGGCCCATTCCAACCCATCTGGAAGTCCTCCTCCCTCCACTGTGTGAGGAGCCACAGCCTGGGGCGCTTTCCATTTGGGCACTTCCCTCTGCTCTTGGCATCAGCGACATGCCAGTCAGAGTCTTGTTCCTACCTTTCTGTGCATTTCTCTTCATTTCTTCAGCCTGCCTAGGAACTCACCATGTGGGCTGGTAAACACTGATGTAGAGAATAGATCCGCAGGACCCTTTCTTGGGACCAGCTGTACTTGGGATACTCATAGCTGGGTCTTATGTGTGGTAGAAACATAAACTGGATCGTTCCCTTTAGAGGGTACCCCTTTTGCTTCCAGACCTCTTGGGTGGACTCAGAGGCCAAGGTGGAATATCACTCCTTCCGGGAATACCCCTCCATAGGGGACTTAGCTGGACTGTTGGTTTATTGCTAAGGCTCAAAAGCCTTCAGTCCACTTTCTTGCATTTCTTTCCATCTGCTATGTAGGCCTGGTTGCTTAACCACTGGCAGACTTCACATCAGCTCATCATCACTTAGAGCCAGCCCATGAGCTGTGCTGGTGATCACCCCCAGCCAACACAGAGCAGAGCCTGAGGCCTGAAGAATCACTTGTCTCCCAGGCATCTTCCAGCCTCCCTTGCACAGCCATGCCGCCACTTGGATCCGTGCAGCAGCAGGCTTTGACCTCTGACCCTAGGATGTCATTGGTGCCACTGCAGATCCATGGAGCTTCCTCTGCATATATCTATATGCCCAGCTCTGTCCTCACTGTTTCCCCTGCTCACTGTGGTTACAATGCAGGTCAGAGGCACCAACCAGGCACCCAGAGTGAGGGACAGGGCTGTGACTGAAGAGAAGTCAAGGGGTCTACAGCTGTAGGTCAGCTCTCCCAGGGCAGGAAGGGCCAGTGTCTGCTGCTGTCGCATGTGGTCGGGGGTGTGGTTCTGACTCCTCCCCTTACTGACTGTGGGGTTATGAACCACTTTCTCCACCTCTTTGACCCTCAGTTTCCTCATCTGTGATAAGCTGATGAGGGAGTTGGTTTTGGTGCTTTCTGTCATTACTGGACTGGTCCTGGAGTTTGGAGCAGGCAGAGCAGGTATACTTGCCTCTCTAAGGGGAGGGGCCTGTGAAAGTGGAGAGTAGAGGAGAGATGAGCAAGAGGAGCCCTCGTCTTCTGTCTCACACAAGAGGTGCCGCTAATGACAGTTCATGTTTAGGATTTAAAATCCAGTCTGAGTCACTGGAGGTGATGAGCTAAAGTGCAGACTTAGGCTGAGGCAGGCAGGATAATGACCACAGTGCATGCCCAGTGATGGCAATGTTGTGGGCATCCAGGCCAGCAGCAGGATTCCAGGGCAGGCACTGACCCTGGCAGTTCACCCTGGGCTTGCTGGACCCCACAGCAGGGCATACCTTCAAGACATCTGCTATTCCAGGAGCCTCTGAGTCCTCCCCAGACTCTACAGGGAGAGCTGAGGGACTTTGGGTCAATGCACACTTAGTGTGCTGGCTGATATCCACACCACAGAGCCCAGGACAGGAAGCCCATGTCTCTGCCACACAGGACAGATGTGCTGAGCTTCCTGCCACCTGTCTGTTACACCATCTCCCTCCCCTTGTTTAAAAGGCTTGGTGTCCAGCACAGGGCTAACACAGCCAACATATGGCTCCTCCATCCTCTCACCTCCACTCCTAACAGCTACATCCACTTGAACCCTCTTGGGAGTTTGGCTGCACCCCAGGCATGAAAGCCATCCTGACCTTGGTCTGGATGGCTTGTGGAGGACATAGTGCCAAGTCAGACTGGCTTGTGGGTTCTGTTCCCACTTGGCACCTGTGTTCTTATGACTGGGTTTCAGGCTTTTGCTAAGGTCTCTTATGCGCCTGTGTCTGTCATCCCTGCTAAGTCCTTGAAGAGTTCTGCTTTGCTTCCATCCATCCTCCTGAGCCTCCCCAAACTGAGATTCACGCCCGAATCTACTTTCCCCCATCTCTCTGTTTATCTATCTATCTATCTGTCTGTCTGTCTGTCTGTCTATCTATCATCTATCTATTTTTATAATGGCTTTGTAGATATATTCACATACCATTATAATTCGTCCATTTAAAATGTGCCACTCAATGGTTTTTTCAGTATGTTTGAGCTGTGCAAAGTTCACCACAATCAATATTAGAATGTTTTCATCACCCTAAAAAGAACCACCAAACCCATTAGCAGTCACTCTACCTTCCTCCAGCCCCCTGCCCACCACCTCCCAAGCAACCATCAATTTATTTACCAGACATTTCATATAAATGGAATCATAGAATATGTAGTCCTTTGTGATTTGCTTATTTTGCTTAGCATGCTTTCCAGGTTCATCCATGTTGTAGCATGTATCAACATTTCATTTTTTTCCCAAATAATATCCCATCATATGGATATGTTACATTTTATTTATGCATTAATCAATTGTTGGGACATTTGCTTAATCCAAGGTCATGAATTTTTACTCTTATGTTTTCTTCTAAGAGTTTTATAGTTTTAGCTCTTATGTTTAGGTCGTTGATCCATTTTGAGTTAATTTTTTATATGGTGTGAGGTAGGAGCCATGTCCATTCTTTTACATGTTGTTCCAGCACAATTTGTTGAAGATATTATTCCTTAGCCCACTGAATTGTCTTGACACCCTTGTTGAAAGTTAGTTGACCATAAGTGTGAGAGTTTATTTCTGGACTTTCAGTTCTATTCCATTGATCCGTATGTCTGTCCTTATGCCAGTACCACACCATCTTGACTATAGTAGCTTTGTATTAAATTTTGAAATTGGGGAGTGAAGTCCTCCCAGTTTGCTCAAGGTTGTTTTAGCTACTTGAGGTCCCTTGTTTTTCCTTACGAACTTTAGGATCTGCTTGTTAATTTCTGCAAGGAATTCAGCTGGGATTTTTATAGGGATTGTGTTGAATTTTTAGATCAATTTTGGGTGTATTACCATCTTGACAATGTTAATTCTTCCAATCCTTGAACATGGTATATCTTTTCATTCATTCACTGAGTCTTGCAACATCATTGTGAGACCCTGATTCTTTATATATTGTCCGTACCTTGAAATTCAGCCGCCTTGTTTTACTCTCTAAGACACCAGTTTCCTGTCTCTATTCCCAGGCCCTTTGCCAACATTTGGCCTCCTTGACTTCCTTCCATGGCCAGCAGCTGGGTCTAACCTAACATGCGAGGGCATCTAGCTGTCCTGTCCCAGATCAAAGAAGTCTGGAACATCTATTCTCTACTAACCACTTAGCCCACAATTCCTCCTGGAAGAAGCAAGCAAAGTGAGGATTCTTGCTTATGGGAGAATTTTCTATCTGTATCGTTTCCCTGTGGTATAACCGAAGTTGGGAAATAGAAACAGAACATCATACACGCAAAACAAATTTTGCCACCAAATTCAGCCAACAAAAGTCAAGAAGGGGGTATGTAGACACTCAAGAGTGTCCCAGTATTCTTGCTTTGGTGGTTACTGGGAGACTAAAGGTGGAATGGCTTGAAGTAACCCATCTTGGAATGAGCCTACCTGAGTCAGCTCACCTGCAAAAACTGTCACTTATGCAGAGCATACAGTGTCTTCACAGCAGAACAGCCTCACAGGCTCCTGAAACTTTTCTGTCATTTTCCTTTTTTTCCACTGGTACTAGGAACCTCATTTCCATAAATTAATTTTTTTTTTTACAATAAGGTTTTTTTTTTTTTTCCCACCTGGACCAAGAGAAGTTGGATAGTCCAGCTTTCCTTTTGGAGCAGGTCCTTACGGCCTAGGTGCCTGCCATCCCCATGCAGAGGGATGAGAAGTCCCACATCCTTGGGCTTTTGCATCCCTCAAAGGCAGCCATCATTGCAACTTTCTTTCTGAATAGTTCAGTAATAGCAAGCGACAGCTGCTCATAATGGCATTGGAGTGGATGCTTCCAGAAGGCTTGGCATCTGTACCTGTAGGACTCCAAAGTAGAGCATATTAACAGTGTAGAACTAGGCTGGGAGTAGTGGCACATGCTTGTAATACCAACACTTTGGGAGGCCAAGGTGGAAGAATCGCTTGAGACCAGGAGTGTGAGACCGGCCTGGGCAACATAGCGAGACCTCATCTCTACAAAAAAATTTAAAAATTAACTGGGCATGGAGGCACGTACCTGTAGTCCCAGCTACTTGGAAGGCTGAGGCAGGAGGATCACTTGAAGCCAGGAGTTCAAAGTTATAGTGAGCTGTGATCGCACCACTGCACTCCAGTCTGGGTGATAGAGAGAGACCCTGTCTCAAAACAAAATAAAACAAAACTTAACCCAGAACTAGATCATTATATACATCTTGTGCTGATATGAATAAAGATCTGTTTCTTAGTATGAATTTTCCATTCTACATTGGCAGGGCGCAGCTTCAGCCAGATGGGAAAGGCAGCCTTCAGGGATGTCAGTTGTGCATTATTGAGAACATAAGAAAACTCATGTGTTGCCATGGGCAGCTTAGGTTTATGGGCCTTTCTTACCTAGAGGTGGATTTTATATCCTGAGCTGTTGTTTCTATAAGAATTCTCCCAAGCCTCTTTTTTATATGTTTTAGTCAGGTTAGGTTAGACCATGCTGCAGTAACAAACCAACCTTGAACTCTCATTGGCATTATTTATTTATTTATTTATTTGTTTAGAAACAAAGTTTTGCCCTGTCACCCAGGCTGGCGTGAAGTGGCACTATCTCAGCTCACTGCAACCTCCACCTCCCGGGTTCAACTGATTCTTGTGCCTCAGCCTCCTGAGTAGCTGGATTATAGGCGTGCGCCATCATGCCTGGCTAACTTTTCTATCTTTAGTAGAGACGAGGTTTCACCATGTTAGCCAGGCTGGTCTCCAACTCCTGACCTCAAGTGATCTGCCCACCTCAGCCTCCCAAAGTGCTGGGATTATAGGCATGAACCACCGTGCACAACCTCTCATTGGCTTTATATATTAAAATGTATTTTACGTTTATGCAAAGTCAGCTGAACCATTGCTTTTGGGCTTGGGGAGGGGGCATAGCCTCTGGGAATTTCTTTTTCAGGCTGATGAAATCTTTGTACCCCTAGGTATGGCTCTGTGGGGGCAGCATGGAGGTCCTTCCTTGCTCACGGGTGGCCCACATTGAGCGGAAGAAGAAGCCATATAATAGCAACATTGGCTTCTACACCAAGAGGAATGCTCTTCGCGTTGCTGAGGTCTGGATGGACGATTACAAGTCTCATGTGTACATAGCGTGGAACCTGCCGCTGGAGGTAGGGATCACCAGCCTTTCCCCACCACCCCAGTACAGTGATCCTTACTGTTTGATCACTATTTATTTAATAAACCAATCGTTCCTCCCCAGAAAATGCTCATGCTTAGAAAAATTATGAATGCATTTCAAAGGGATTCACAGATGTCTCAGCTTTAGAACTCCTGCCTAACTCCAGGGCTAGCACAATGGAAGTCTCTTTAAATCCACTTACAGAGATTAGAAGGGTCTTAGTGTGTTAATCCCAGTCTTATTATGTTAATCTGGCTGCCCTGCTCCTGATGATATGCTGTGTCCAGGAAGTTCTTGCCCAGATACTTCACAGCAGACTCTTCATCCTGCCAGTGTGTGACTTCCCATGGAGCTCCAGCTGCCCCGTATCATATGCCTTTACTCTATGCCAAATCCCCTAGCTCTTCAGCTCTCCTCCACATTCTGCTCAGAAGATGGCCCAAGGAAATTTCCATGTTACTGCAGCCCCACAGGAGTGTCATGCGGTAGTTGTATATTAGCGTGGTTTGAATCCCAACTCTATCATTTATGAGTCAGGAGATCTTGACCAAATCCACTCATCTTCTCTGTACCATTCATCCCTTGGTATCCACAGGGGATTTGTTCCAGGATTCCCTGTGGATAGCAAAACTCACAGATGCTCAAGCCCCTGATGCAAAATGGCATAGTGTTTGCACATAACCTAAGTATAACCTCCTGTGTGTGTATATATATGTATAAAATATATATTTATATAATATATAAAATATATAATATAAAGATTTATATAAATTTTTTTATGGCAGCACAAAATTTTTTTAATTTTATTTTTCTATTAGTTATTGGGGTACAGGTGGTATTTGGTTACATGAGTAAGTTCTTTAGTGGTGATTTGTAAGATCCTGGTGCAACCGTCACCCGATCAGTATACACTGCACCATATTTGTTGTCTGTTATCCCTCGCCCCCCTCCCACTCTTCCCCTGAAGTCCCCAAAGTCCATTGTATCGTTCTTATACCTTTGCATCCTCATAGCTTAGCTCCCACATATCAATGAAAACATATGATGTTTGGTTTTCCATTAGAATAATACTCTCGAATCTCATCCAGGTCGTTGCAAATACTGTTAATTTATTTCTTTTTATGGCTGAATCATCTCTAGATTACTTATAGATAATACAATGTAAATGCTGTGTAAATAATTCTTATGCTTTATTTGTATTTTTTATTGTTGTATTGTTCTTACTGGGCTTTTAAAAAATATTTTCAGTCTGCAGTTGGTTGAACCGATGGATGCAGAAACCATGGATATAAAGGGTTGGCTGTACCTTATTTTCCTCAGCTGTAAAATGAGGATAATAGCAGATTCTCCTTCTTGGGGTGATTGTAAGAACTAAATGAATTTATACATGTGGCATGCTGAGAGTAGCACCTGGCACAGAGTGCATTGTTCGTCCTATGCTGCACAGCAGGGTAACCTGCACCCTCAGCCACAGCTCAGTTTATCTCCTCAGCCAGAGCACCCATAGGTGTCTGAGCCATGCTGGAAAGTCACCTGGAGTGGTGCCCATTGAGAGATGGCAGCCCCTATGTATCAGGAGGCTAGAGCCCAGAACAGAAGAAATACAGTTGAATATGTGCCAGATATGTGGGTCAAGAAGATAAAAGTGAATTTATTCAATGTTGTTATAAGTTTTGAAATACATTCTCAAGAATTAAAAAACCCCTTCTGGACACTTAGCACTTTTTAGCTGTTAAGTAATAAGTGCTTTTAGCCATTATTACTATTATGTAAAGATAGGTAACATTCGTTGAGCACTTACTATGTCCCAGGTACCTAGTAAGTCGTTATTTGTAATATCTTATTTAATTCTCATAACAACCTCATGACATAAGAACTGTCTGCCTCAGTTTCCTCATCTATAAACATGGATTATTAAAATTTATCTGATAGGACTCCCGTGAAGATAAAATAAGGCTGAGAACAGAGCTTAGCAAATATTAAGAGTTCCATAAATGCTAGCTTGATATGAATGTATTATGATGTTCATTTTACAGATGAAGAAATTGAAGCTATGAGAAGCTAAAAGGGGCTCGTTCAAGGTCCCACACAAAGCACATGGGCAGGGAAGTCAGTTCAGGTCCTCATACAAAACCTCACCCCAGCCCTGTGAAATAGTGAAATAGGTATTATTATTATTCCTGTTTTATAAAGGGGAATTTTTTTTTTTTGAGATAGGATCTCACTCTGTCACCCAGACTGGAGTGTAGTGGTACGATCTTGGTTCCCTGTAACCTCCGTCTCCCAGGTTCAAGCCATCCTCCCACCTCAGCCTCCTGAGTAGCTGGGACCACAGGCTTGCGCCCTCTACCTGTCTAACTTCCGTATTTTTTGTAGAGACAAGGTTTTGCCACGTTGCCCAGGCTGGTCTTGAACTCTTTGGCTCAAGCAATCCTCCCACCTCAGCTTCCCAAAGTGCTGGGATTACAGGTGTGAGCCACTGCGCCTGGCCTCAAGTTTTGACCTGGAATGGTGGTGTGACTTAGAGTTACAAATAACTCAAGTCTTTTGACTGTAGCCAAGTGCTTTGTCCATGACTGCAGACAATCTCTGGTCCCAAATGCCAGTGGTAACCTACCAGGCTTTTAAAAAATGACCATTAGCTCACGCCTGTAATCCCAGCACTTTGGGAGGCCGAGGCGGGCAGATCACCTGAGGTTGGGAGTTCGAGACCAGCCTGACCAACATGGAGAAACCCTGTCTCCACTAAAAATGCAAAATTAGCTGGGTGAGGTGGCGCATGCCTTTAATTCCAGCTACTCGGGAGGCTGAAGCAGGAGAATCGCTTGAACCTGGGAGGCAGAGGTTGCGGTGAGCCAAGATCGCACCATTGCACTCCAGCCTGGGCAACAAGGGCCAGACACCATCTCAAAAAAAAAAAAAAAAAAAGACCATTTCATGGATCATACTAAATATATTAAAACAAAGAGTTAAAAGTTACTGCTCAGGGTTGTCTTTGAGGTTGAATAAGTTTGACATTTAAAGGGATTTCCCTTTAAAGTCATTGTTTGACTGCCCAAGTGATCTTAATGACATAATTTGAAGTCTTCTCCCAGGCCCCCCAGTGCATCCTGTCTCTGCTAATTCCTGGCCATCTTGCAGCTGAGTCTGCAGAGTCATATTTCAGATACTTTATTTTCCCTGTCAGCACACAGCAGCCATTATGGGTTCATTTCTGTAAAAGCAGAGTGAATTATTCATTAGAACATCATTACAAGCTTTGCAATGGAAAATTATTTTCACTTCTGCATGTAATGAACTTCGCAAAGAGCCAACAAAAGGAGAAATTTTGCAGGTATAGGAAAGAAAAGACAGGAGGTGGTTGTAGGCATTTATTTTCTTGTCGTAATCAAATAATTCCTCTAATAATTGTCTCTGATAGTTACTAAGGAAATGCGTAAGAGCAGAAACTGAGAATGTAGGTCGTCAACATCAGCGTGTCCCAGAAATCCATTTGCACAGCAATGATAAGGATGGTTGACCTGTCTGGGACCTTTATTGCTGTAGGTTCCTGATTTTGCTTAGGAAGGAGGATTCCCTGGCCTGGGTCTGGATGAATCAAATAGGTCTCCTTAAACCACCCTTCTGGCCGGGTGCAGTGGCTCACACCTGTAATCCCAGCTCTCTGGGAGGCCGAGGCTGGCTGATCACTTGAGGTCAGGAGTTTGAGACCAACCTGACCAACATGATGAAACCCCATCTCTAAATATAAAAATTATCCAGGCATGGTGATGCAAGCCTGGAATCCCAGCTACTGGGGAGGCTGAGGCAGGAGAATCGCTTGAACCCGGGAGGCCAAGGTTGCAGTGAGATGAGATCGTGCCACTGCATTCCAGCCTGGGTGATAGACCAAGACTGTGACTCAAAAAACAAAAACAAACACCCTTCTGAATAAGCATACGAGGCTTAAGATCTTTTTTTTTTTTTTTTTTTGAGACAAAGTCTCGCACTGTCACCTGGGCTAGAGTGTAGTGGCATGATCTCGGCTCACTGCAACCTCCACCTCCTGGGTTTAAGTGATTCTCGTGCCTCAGCCTCCTGAGTAGCTGAGATTACAGGTGCCCACCACCATGCCCAGCTAATTTTTTGTATTTTTAGTAGAGACGGGGTTTCGCCGTGTTGGCCAGGCTGGTCTCAAACTCCTGACCTCGTGATTCACTCACCTCTGCCTCCTAAAGTGCTGGGATTACAGGCATGAGCCACCGTGCCCAGCCCAGGCTTAAGATCTTCTATGTGAAGGTTTCCCTGAAAGTGACTCCACCTGTGCCCCACTCTGGCCAGAGCTCCACAGTCACTAACACCCCTTGGCTTCTCTCTCCTTTCAGAATCCGGGAATTGACATCGGTGATGTCTCCGAAAGAAGAGCATTAAGGAAAAGTTTAAAGTGTAAGAATTTCCAGTGGTACCTGGACCATGTTTACCCAGAAATGAGAAGATACAATAATACCGTTGCTTACGGGGAGGTAATTCAGACCGTGCATGCTTTTGGCTTGGAATGCTGTTCAATATGCTGTGGGTTGCTTCGCTGGGGAGAAATAGAGTTGCTCATTCATTCATTCAATGAGTGGTTTTTGGAGGTGCTGGCCCTGATAGCAAGATTCTCTCTAGCTGGGGGGTTGGGGTAGGGAACAAATGTGATGAATGTTACAATGGACTATGGATAAAAGACTATGATAGTCTACTTTGCCTGAGATATGTAGCAGATAATGAATCCTGTTTGGGAAATTTTGACTTTGAGGTCCTCTGGGACCTGTAAATGGAGATATTGAGCAGGAAGTTTGGATGTAACGAGAGGCAGGAGGGTTGGAGTCCTCCATTGCTCTGTGCTGTGGGCTGGAATCACTTATCAAAGAAAGGAGGAAACGTTCTCAGATTGTCTATGGTGTGATCATATCACCTTTCTAAACCTGAAAGCAAAGCGATTTTTCTCTTATTACAAATACCATCAATATGCATTTGAGAACATTTTGGAAATAATAATACTAGGGATGAATATTTGAGTGCTTTTGAAGTACTGGGCACTATTCTAAGTGCTTTTTGCATACAAATTAATTTCACCTTCACCTTATGAGAGATTAGCGTTATTTCTGTTTTCTTGATAAGAAAACTGCAACTTAGAGAAATTATCTAACTTACCTAAGGTCACAGAGCGTGTAAGTCACAAAGCCAAGGTTGGACTTGGGGATCTGGATACCAGAGATAACGTGTACACTTTGATGTGTGGGCCTCCGGACTGTGTGTGTGTGTGTGTGTGTGCGTGTGTGTGTGTGCATGTGTGTGTATATGTGTGCATGTGTATATACCCATGTATTTTTTTTACTAAAACCATTCCATTCACAATGCCTAATAATTTGAAATTTTACTCAATAATATGGAGGATATATAAGTGTATCATGAAATATTTTTTGTCAGTAATTAATGGCCGCACATGGTTCCACTTTTTGTGTAAGCTGGGCTTTGCTTGAGAACATAGACACTGGTGTCTTTTCCAATTTTAAAATATCACAAGTACCATTGCTGAGAACATCTTCATATAGAAACACTCATGCATCCACCTCATTCTCCCTTGTGATGCCTGTTTGAGATGGAATCGGTGACACACAGTCAGGCCAAGGAGCAGAGAGCCAGGTGCTCTCAATTTGGCTGAGACACCCCATTAGCTCTGCAATCGGGTTTTCTTTCCTGGGACTCCCTGTGACTACCAGGTTAAAGCTAAGAAGAATCCCTTTGACTTAGGAGTATTTACATTTTTCTACAACTGTGGATTTTCCTATTCTTTGCCTGCTGCCTTTTATAGAAAATAAATCAACCACAGGTTAAGTCATCAGGGTGTAGAGTGGTGACCCTCCTGAGCTGGAATTTGGAATGGGATGCTCACATCTTGCAAGGGCAGTCTCTAGGGCGGTTAGGGATACATGAAGACTAGAGCCAGCCTGCTGGGTTCAAATCCTAGTAGGCTGTTACCAGCTGTGTGGGTCTGCTTGGCAGCCATTCCCTCATCTATAAAATGGGAGGAAGGAGAGTATCTCCTCTACAGGATTCCTGGGAGGATAAAATGAGCTGTGATGTGTGAAGTTCTTAGAACGGTACCTGGCATGGCCAAGCACCGTGGCTCACGCCTGTAATCCCAGCACTTTGGGAGGCCAAGGCGGGTGATCACTTGAAGTCAGGAGTTCAAGACCAGCCTGGCCAACATGGGGAAGTCCTGTCTATATAGATATATATATTAAAAAACTAGCTGAGCGTGGTGGCTGGTGCAGGTAATCCCAGCTACTCGGGGCTGAGGCAGGAGAATTGCTTGAACCCGATAGGCAGAAGTTGCAGTGAGCTGAGATCGCGCCACTGCACTCCAGCCTGGGTGATAGAGTGAGACTCTGTCTCAAAAAAAAAAAAAAAAAAAAAATGGTACCTGGCACACAACAGTAATTATTAATAGATCTGAACTGCCTTGCCTTTTCTTCTCCAAAATAAAAGCATGAATTTTTTAAAATTATCAAAGTAAGATTAAATATAAAGGAAGAATCAAACAATGGGCAGTGAATGGATTATTCCTAAGACAATAAGACAATTGGCTCAATTGCCTAGCTTTTTGGAAAATAAATCAATTTAGATTCTTACAGCTCACCATTTACCAAAGTAGATTTCAGATGAACTGTAGCATTACATGAAAGAAATAATAAAAGAACCATGAGGAAATAGTGATGAATCTGATCTCTGAATGAGGAAGGGCTTTCTAAGAATGAAATCCACGCAAGAAATGCAAAGGAAATGTGTCATGGATCCAAGCTCATAAATATTAAAATAATCTGTACATCAACTGAGTAGAGAAATAATACACCAAACTGAAAATACATATACCACAAATGCTATAGATGAACAAATACCATTAATATATAATAAGCTTTGCAAGTTAAGTTAATTTTTTTCTTTTTTTTGAAACAGTCACCCAGGCTAGGGTGCAGAGGCACAATCTTGGCTTACTGCAACCTCCATCTCCTGGGTTTTAGCAATTCTCCTGTCTCAGCCTCCCGAGTAGCTGGGATTACAGGCACACGCCACCACGCCCAGCTAATTTTTG
This sequence comes from Homo sapiens, assembly GCF_000001405.40. Classification (NCBI taxonomy): domain Eukaryota; kingdom Metazoa; phylum Chordata; class Mammalia; order Primates; family Hominidae; genus Homo; species Homo sapiens. The sequence continues at coordinate 71,672,725 of NC_000007.14, forward strand.
TGTTTTTGTAGCAACGAGGTTTTGCCATGTTGGCCAGGCTGCTCTTGAACTCCTGACCTCAAGTGATCCACTCGCCTCAGCCTCCCAAAGTACTGGGGTTACAGGCGTGATTTTAAAAATTTGATTTAAACAACAAAATAAAACATCCTCAAAGAAAAATAAACAAAGTACAAGGTCAGTTACACAAGAAAAAATACACATGGATGAAAAACACATGACAATTTTAAATTTATTTCATAGTCAAAGAAAATAAAAAATTAAATACACAGAGGTGTTTTTTTTTCCCCCTATCCGCAAATGAACAAAGATTCATTTTTTGTGTTGATACTTTACAGGCAAGGCCTTAGTAATATGAAAAAAATCATATCTTCTGTGAGTGCAAATTGAAACAAGCCTTTTAAAAAGCAATTTGAGCCACATGTATTAAAAAGCTTGATAATGACAGTCATAGTTTCTTCTCCACTCATATCCCAAGCAAATAATCTGAAATAAGGACAAAGATTTGAGAGTAAAATTGTTCAGCTCAGACATGTTATTTTTGAGGAAATTTTTTTTTAATTTAACTTGGAGATTAGTTGAATGTAATGCATTCATGGTTGGGGATATTTTATAGCTGTTATAAATGGTGCGTACAAAAGTTTAATGACATGAGAAAAATATTGATACCATAATGCTTAAGAGGAAAAAACTCAGGATGATAAAACTGAAATCGCTGCTATTTTAGATTGGAAGCAAGTGTGATAATAGCATTGGGAAATGGAGAAGATACTTATAATTACCTTGGGTAGTAAGTAGGACTTTGGGCAGTTTTGCAAGTGGGTACTTTGTCATGCTTTTCCAGCTTTCACTAATGTCAGGTGATACTTTCATCATTAGAAGAAAAATAGTTACTAAAAAGGAAATAATAAACATGATGACCAGCCTGTGCCCCCCAGGCTGGAGTGCAGTGGCACAATCTTGGCTCACTGTAGCCTTGAACTCCTGGACTCAAGCTATTCTCCCACCTCAGCCTTCCAAGTAGCTGGGACTACAGGTACATATCATCACATCTGGCTAATTTTGTGTTTTTGTTTTTGTTTTTATAGAGGTCTCACTGTTTTGCCAGGCTGGCCTTGAAGTCCTGGGCTCAAGCAATTCTCCCACTTCCGCCTCCCGAGTATCTGGGGCTATAGGCATAAACCACTTAGGCTAGAAGGCTGCCAGAGCTGCTGTGTACAGCTCCAAGTCTGTGCACTGCACAACTCCAGGAGCTGCCTTTGACATCAACCACAGTATAAATGATGTCCCTTGAGCCGTACAGTGGGGGTGGCATTGGGGGTGACATTGTGATCATAGTCTGATTATTTGGAAGAGAGAAGCCTTTTGTTTTTACAAACTTTCTTTTTAAAATAATAAAATCAATACATACATTCTATCGGAAATATAAAGATGAAAACTAAACTTACTCCAAATCCCAATTCCCAGATATAATCAATGTTAACATTTTAAGGCATCTGGTTCTATTACTCCTTTTCTACCTGCTGAGTATCACCATTTACAGATATATATATTTCAGATGGACTATAGTGTTAAATGAAAGAAACCAAATTAGTCAAAAACCAATTTTTAAATAGCTCTTCCTTTTTAAAAAAAAAAAAAAGAGATAGGGTCTTGCTCTGTTGCCCAGGCTACAGTACAGTAGCATGATCATGACATACTATAGCCAAGAACTCCTCTGCTCAAGCAATCCTCCCACCTCAGCCTCCCTAGTAGCTGCTACCACAGGTGTGAGCCACTGCTGTTGGCTCTAGACAACTTTTTCTTTTTTTTGAGACACAGCCTTGCTCTGTCACCCAAGATGGAATCCAGTGGCGCAATCTCAGCTCACTGTAGCCTTAAACTCCTAGACTGAAGCCACCCTCCCACCTCAGACTCCTGAGTAGCTGGGACTACAAACACATGCCACCATGCCTAGCTAATTTTGTTTATTTTTTGTGAAGGTGGGGTCTCACTATGTTGCCCAGGCTTGTCTCACACTCCTGACCTTAAGCAATCTTCCAGCCTCAGCCTCCCAAAGCACTGGGATTACAGGCGTGAGCCACCGCACCCAGCCCACATATGCTTTTAACGCTTAGGGAAGGAGTCATCTCCTCTTAGCAGTTATCTCTGAATCCTCGGAAGGGGTAAAGAAGTTCTCCTTGGCCAGTTGCAGTGGTTCACGCCTGTATTTCCAGCACTTTGGGAGGCCGAGGCAGGTGGATCACGAGGTCAGGAGATGGAGACCATCCTGGCCAATATGGTGAAACCCTGTCTCTACTAAAAATACAAAAATTAGCTGGGTGTGGTGGCGCGTGCCTGTAATCCCAGCTACTCAGAAGGCTGAGGCACGAGAATCACTTGAACCCAGGAGGTGGAGGTTGCAGTGAGCCGAGATTGCGCCACTGCATTCCAGCCTGGTGACAGAGCAAGACTCCGTCTCAAAAATAAAAAATAAAAAAGAAGCTCTCCTTGTTGGCCCTAGCATATTTCAAACATTGCAGTAGACCGTGGACTACTTTAGGGCAGGGACTATGTTATTTATCTTTTGCTCATTAAATTTAGCACAGTGCCAGGCACTTACCAGGCCTTCAATAAATATTTATTAAATTACTGAATGATAGATTTGATTGCAGAAACATTAGAACAAAGTTTAAAAGCCTGGCAGCCTCAAATCATGACGTAAAGCAAATATTCTGTTAAAACATTCATGTCCTTAATATGTAAAGAGCTCTTGGCCAGGCACAGTGGTTCACACCTATAATCCCAGCAGTTTGGGAGGCTGAGGTGGGAGGATTGCTTGAGGCCAGGAGATGGAGGCTGCAGTGAGCTATGATTGCACCCCTGCACTCCAGCCTGGAGTACAGAGCAAGACCCTGTCACTCAAAGAAAAAGAAAGAATTTAAAAATCTGCTCGAGTTGTCTGAGCCTAAACACAATTTGGGTACATAAAGAACAAAATGCCAGCCAGGCGCAGTGGTTCACACCTATAATCCCAGCACTTTGGGAGGCCAAGGCAGGTGGATCACCTGAAGTCAGGAGTTCGAGATCAGCCTGGCCAACGTGGTGAAACGCCATCTCTGCTAAAAATACAAAAAATTAACTGGGCGTGGTAGCGGGCGACTGTAATCCCAGCTACTCGGGAGGCTGAAGCAGGAGTATCGCTTGAACCCAGGAGGTGGAGGTTGCAGTGAGTCGAGATCGCGCCATTGCATTTCAGCCTGGGCAACAAGAGCGAAACTCTGTCCCAAAAAAAGAAAAGAAAAGAAAAAGAACAAAATGCCTTTTCCTCTCTTTGTTTCCATGGAGAATATAACCTGGAGGGGAATGAATATAGATGGAAAGGACCAGCAACATGACCTTTTTCCCACTCATTGAGACCCTAGGGTGGTGGTGGGATGGATACCCATATAGATCACAGTGCACCCAGAGATCCAAATTAGATCAGTTCTCACATGCTCCCAAAGACCCATGCCTAGTTTCACGGGTGTTGCTTTGGGGACTTTTGTCTATTTCCTCCGTGGGTGCATTCCAAACACCAAACACCTACAATGGTGCTTAGTACAGCATAGGTATCAGTAAATGTTTTTGAATATATAAATAGATACTGCTAGAGCATTTTATGATAGTAAGCTTTTAGGTTTTTTTTTTCTTTTTTTTTTAGAAATAGGTCTTGCTCTGTCGCCCAGGCTGGAGTGAAGTGGTGCAATCATAGCTCACTGCAGCCTGGAACTCCTGGGCTCAAGCGATCCTCCCGTCTCAGCCTCCTGAATAGCTGGGACTACAAGTGTTTGCTACCATGGCTGGTTAATTTGTTTTAATGTTTTTTTAGGATGGGGCCTCGCTATGTTGCCCATATTGGTCTTGAACTCCTGGGATCAAGCGATCCTCCTGCCTCCCAAAGTGCTGGGATTACAGGCGTGAGCCACCGCATCCAGCCTAATTTGCTTTTAGGCTCTTCATGCCTTTATGCAAATAATGACCTGAGAAGCTAACCTCTGATTACCCAGTTTATTAAAACCAATGTCGGTGCTGAGGCCCACTTACAAGCCTAACCATCTGGATAACTGGATTTTACAAGCCACTTAGAAGACTTAGAAGCCACTGAGAAGCTTAGAAGCCACTTAGAAGCTTCAAAGCTGTTTAGAAGTCTAAGATCGGGGTAACCAGTGCTCCTGTATGCAGAAGTTCCCTGAGATTGCCTTTCATGTTAGGAATGGAGGTGCTGTGAGGGTGGGGGGGCAAGCTGCCCAGGACACAGTCAGAGACCTAGCATCCATGCCATCCACCTTAAGACTTGATCTTTCTTGTTAAGGTGATCACCGCAAAGATTTGAGCCCTGGTCCTCACTTAGAGGCTCGTGTTGTCTTCCCATCATGAAGTTGGAACCAAGCCATGGTAGAACAGTGACTCGGCATCCACACCTCCACTAGCTGAGCTCTCATGGGTCGTGTTTTGTCTATTCTTGCAGCTTCGCAACAACAAGGCAAAAGACGTCTGCTTGGACCAGGGGCCGCTGGAGAACCACACAGCAATATTGTATCCGTGCCATGGCTGGGGACCACAGGTAGGAGCTCGTCTCTGACCAGGAAGGAAGTAATATCACCATCTCCGACCCACAGAGGCCTTGCAGGCCTTCTGGATAAACTTTGTTGCTGTCTACCTTGGTAGTTATTTATTCTGAGAAAAATTTTTAAGAAGAAGGTAGGAGTCTTTCTGGTTATTTCTGTAAAGAAGCTAGGGAAAAAATTCATAAGTGGTTGTTGCAGCATGCAGATTTTTTTTTTTTTTTTGAGATGGCGTCTCACTCTGTCCTCCAGGCTGGAGTGCAGTGGTATGATCTCGGCTCACTGCAACCTCCGCCTCCCAGGCTCATGTGATTCTCCTGCCTCAGCCTCCAGAGTAGCTGGGACTACATGCGCCCGCCACTGCGCCCAGCTAATTTTTTTGTATTTTTAGTAGAGACGGGGTTTCACCGTGTCAGCCAGGATGGTCTTCATCTCCTGACCTTGTGATCCGCCCGCCTCGGCCTCCCAAAGTGCTGGGATTACAGGCGTGAGCCACCGTGCCCGGCCAAGGCTCACAGGTTTTTCTCTGTGTGTAGTGGTTTTGCATTCCCCCGAGGTCAGCTGTGTACCCTCTGCCACATCACTGCCGGTAGTTCTCAATGTCCAGATGGATACTCACCCTTCCTCCTAAGGTGGGTGAGCAATGCCAGACAGGTTACTGTTCAAATCCTCAGCCCTTTGACCTTGCAGCAACTCTGGGAAGTAGGCAGGCAGCATGAGGAAACTGAGGCACAGAGGGGCAAGTGCCTGTGAGCAAAGCAACCTAGAACCCAGGCTTTCCAGCACAGCCAAGCATTTTATACTATTTATTTATTTATTTATCTGTTTATTTTTTTAGACTGAGTCTTTCTCTGTCACCCAAACTGGAATGCAGTGCCACAATCTCAGCTCAGTGCAACCTCCGCCTTCTGGGTTCAAGCGATTCTCCTGCCTCAGCCTCCTGAGTAGCTGAGATTACAGGCTTGCACCACCCTGCCCCAGCTAATTTTTGTATTTTCAGTAGAGACGGGGTTTCACCATGTTGGCCAGACTGGTCTCAAACTCCTGACATCAAGTGATCCACCACCTCGGCCTCCCAAAGTGCTGGGATTACAGGTGTGAGCTTCCGCCCTGGGCCAAGCACAGCCAAGCATTTTAAAGTCAAATTATCACCTGAGGTCAGGAGTTCGAGACCAGCCTGGACAACATGGCAAAACCCCGTCTCTGTTGGCCAGGTGCGGTGGCTCACGCCTGTAATCCCAGTGCTATGGGAGGCTGAGGTGGGCAGATCATGAGGTCAGGAGATCGAGACCATCCTGGCTAACACGGTGAAACCGTCTCTACTAAAAATACAAAAAATTAGCTGGGCGTGGTGGTGGGCGCCTGTAGTCCCAGCTACTCGGGAGGCTGAGGCAGGAGAATAGCATGAACCCAGGAGGTGGAGCTTGCAGTGAGCCAAGATCGCAACACTGCACTCCAGCCTGTGCGACAGAGTGAGACTCTGTCTCAAAAAAAAAAAAAATTAGCCAGGCATAGTGGCGGGTGCCTGTAATCCCAGCTACTGGAGAGGCTGAGGCAGGAGAATCACTTGAACCTGGGAGGTGGAGTTTCAGTGAGCTGAGATCGTGCCACCGCACTAGAGCCTGGGCGACAGAGCGAGACTCCATCTCAAAAAAAAAAAAAAAAAAGTCAAATGCGATCCATTTAAATCCAAGTTATTTATGGAGCACCATCACCATCTACGATTGGTGAAAAGTGCCTGTGGGGAGTAGGAGATTGGCTGGGAAGCCTAGACCTTCTCCTCTCCCTGAAGGTTCTCTGTAGGGAAATGGGGATGCACATGGAAAGCAATATGAGCTACAGAATCTAATGCAGGTGGCTGTGATGGCTGAGGCGGGAGGATTGCTTGAGGCCAGGAGATTGAGACCAGCCTGGGTAACATAACAAGACCCCCGCCTCTACAAAAAATACATAAAATGAGTTGGGCGTGGTGGCACACGACTCAGGAAGCTGAGGTGAGGGGATCACTTGAACCCAGGACTTCAAGGCTGCAGTGAGCCATGATCATGCCACTGCACTCCTGGGTGACAGAGTGAGACCTTGTCTCTTAAAAAAAGAAAAAAATAAGTGCACGTCTTCATTCATTCATTCACTCAACTAATATGTCTTGATTACCTATTCTAAAATGCTAGGCACCACTGTAACACAGGCAGCTGGTATGATGCAGTCTTTGCTCCCAAATCGTTTACCCTTGAAGGGGAGGGACTAGAAAAGAGGCAAGAAATCTACAGTAGAATAAGCGTAACCCACGGTGCTGGGGCCTGGGAGGTGGGAGGTAGCCCAGTTTGGCCGGAACTTTGAATGCAAGAGGGAAGGGAGTGCTGAGAGAGAAGGCAGCAGAGAGGTGGAGAGCAGATGGTGAGAGACCTAAGGAGGCCTGCACCAAGACTCCAGCCTGCACGCTGCAGTGGGCAGCAGAATCGTCCCCAAGGCTGCGACAACACCAGCTCCTGGGCCCCATCCCCAGAGTTTTTGGGTCAGATCTCCGGTGGGGTCTGAGAGTTTGCTTTTGTTTTCTCCTTCCTTCCTTTTTTTCTTTTTCCCTCCCTCCCTCCCTCCCTCCCTCCTTCTCTCCCTTCCTCCTCCCTCTCTCCCTTCCTCCCTCCCTCTCTTCCTCCCTCCCGCTCTCTCTTCCTCCCTCCCTCTCTCCCTTCCTCCCTCCCTCTCTCCCTTCCTCCCTCCCTCTCTCCCTTCCTCCCTCCCTCCCTCCCTTCCTCCCTCCCTCTCTCCCTTCCTCCTCCCTCTCTCCCTTCCTCCCTCCCTCTCTTCCTCCCTCCCTCTCTCCCTTCCTCCCTCCCTCTCTCCCTTCCTCCCTCCCTCTCTCCCTTCCTCCCTCCCGCTCTCTCTTCCTCCCTCCCGCTCTCCCTTCCTCCCTCCCTCTCTCCCTTCCTCCCTCCCTCTCTCCCTTCCTCCCTCCCTCCCTTCCTCCCTCCCTCTCTCCCTTCCTCCCTCCCTCTCTCCCTTCCTCCCTCTATCCCTTCCTCCCTCCCTCTCTCTCTTCCTCCCTCCCTCTCTCCCTTCCTCCCTCGCGCTCTCTCTTCCTCCCTCCCGCTCTCTCTTCCTCCCTCCCTCTCTCCCTTCCTCCCTCCCTCTCTCCCTTCCTCCCTCCCTCTCTCTCTTCCTCCCTCCCTCTCTCCCTTCCTCCCTCCCTCTCTCCCTTCCTCCCTCCCTCTCTCCCTTCCTCCCTCCCTCCCTTCCTCCCTCCCTCTCTCCCTTCCTCCCTCCCTCTCTCCCTTCCTCCCTCCCTCTCTCTCTTCCTCCCTCCCTCTCTCCCTCCTTCCTTTCCTTCCTTCCTCCCTCTCTCCCTCCTTCCTTCCTTTCTTCCTTTCCTTTTGTTTCCTTTCCTTTCCTTTCTTTTCCTTCCTTCCTTCCTCCCTCTCTCCCTCCCTCCTTCCTTTCTTCCTTTCCTTTTGTTTCCTTTCCCTTCCTTTCTTTCTTTTCCCTTCCTTCCTTCCTTCCTTTCTTCCTTCCTTCCTTCCCCCCTTCCTTTCTTCCTTTCCTTTCCTTTTTTCTTTCCTTCCTTCCTTCCTTCCTTTTCTTCCTTCCTTCATTTTCTTCTTTCTTTTTTTAAGAGATAGGGTCTTGCTGTGTTACCCAGGCTGGAGTGCAATGGTGTGATCACAGCTCACTGCAGCCTCAGCCTCCTGGGCTTAAGTGCTCCTCCTGCCTCAGCCTCCTTAGTAGCTGGGACTAAAGGCAGATGCCACCATGTTCCACTCAATTTTCCATTTTTTTGTAGACATAGAGTCTTGCTGTGTTGCCTGGGCTTGTCTTGGACTCCTGGCCTCAAGGGATCCTCCCACCTTGGCCTCCCAGAGTGCTGGGATTACAGGCGTGAGCCTCAGCACCCAGCCCCAGTTTTGCATTTCCAGCTGATTTCTAGGTGATGCTGATGCCGCTGGTTTGAGGAAATGGGACTTGATCCAGAGGATGTCAGGGAGCCACTGGAAGGCTCACCTGGGGGTGGGAGAGGTGATATGTTTAGACTGCCTACAGCAGTTCCAGCAGGGACTAAGAAGCTATGTCTTGGAATAGACCAAATGAAAAGCCCTAGCTAGTCTCGGGCTGAGATGGCCAAGAGTTGGATATAGCAACTTGTGGTACTGAGCCTAGAGGACTTGAAGAAAGGGGACATAGAGGGTGGGAGGCAGGGCCCAGCACACTCCCCACACCACCTTCCTAGGATACCCACAGCCTCTGGCCCAGGCAGCAAGATCCCAGAGGCTGAGCCTAGGGCAGTCCCACTCCTGGGCCCCATGGCTGTGCCGGATCATCCTTTTAGGCAATTACTCCAAGAGTAGCTGTGAAAAGAGCACTTAACTCCCAGACTTCTTTGTTCAATCTTCTGAATAAGTCACATTTGAATGGCGCACTTATTAACGGTGACATAGTAGAGGCTATCCCAGTTAGATACTGGCATAATCAAAAACTGCTCCAAGGACGTCCACTTGTCCTATGAATGTGGAACAAAGTAAAGATGGTCTGATCCCATAGCTTCCCCATGTGGCTCTAAGCAGTTACATTTTGCTTTGGGTGTTTCAGGGGAAGGTTTTGTTTTTGTTTTTGTTTTGTTTTTGTTTGTTTGTTTGTTTTGTTTTCAGACAGAGTCTCGCTCTGTCACCCAGGCTGGAGTGCAATGGCGCGATCTCGGGTCACTGCAACCTCCGCCTCCTGGGTTCAGGCGATTCTCCTGCCTCAGCCTTATGAGTAGTTGGGATTACAGGCGCCCACCACCATGCCCAGCTAATTTTTGTATTTTCAGTAGTGATGGTGTTTCGCCACGTTGGTCAGGCTGGTCTCAAACTCCCGACCTCAGGTGATCCACCCACCTTGGCCTCGCAAAGTGCTGGGATTACAGGCAAGAGCCACTGCGCCCGGCCTCAGGGGAAGGTTTTTAAAGCCACTCAGGAAGCACGTGGGTGAACCTGAGGGCTGGGATGTGAAGGCGGCAGTGTCTGCCTTCTGTGGCCCTGTGGCCCCCCACCCTCCCCAGCATCTTTAACACCTTTGTGATGCCTACACCTCCAGACATAGTCTGGGGCAGACTGCTGTGAACTTGACCTTCCTTACCTTTCTGTCTGGAGCCTTTATTCCTCTATAGCCCCTCCCTCAAGCTTCTGCCCAGTGGGAACCTGATAGACCAGCAGGAATGCCTGGATGGCATAATTTCAGGACAACATGGTCAGAACTTTTCTTTCTTTTCTTTTCTCTTTTTAGAGACAAGGTCTTGCTCTGTCACCCAAGCTCGAGTCCAGTGGTGCAATCATAGCTCACTGCAGCCTTGACCTCCTAGGCTCAAGAAATCCTCCCATCTCGGCCTCTCAAGTAGCTGGGATTACAGGCATGAATCACCTTGCCCAGCTAATTTTTTTTAAAAAGTTTTTTGTAGAAATAGGGGTCTCCCTATGCTTCCCAGGCTGGTGTAGAAGTCCTGACCTCTGGAACTCCTGATCTCAGGCAATTTTCTCACCTCCGCCTCCCAAAGTGCTGAGGCTACAGGTGTGAGCCCCTGTGCTTGAGCCTGTGGTTAAAATTTAATGAGGGCTTTCACTCTGAAGGTGACCACCTTCTGACTCCCTCCCCAGGCAGGAGGCAGACATCAAGTCTCCTTTCCTGCTGGGAGCTTAGTGGCACTCCCAGCACAGTGTGGCCCCTTTGTTAGGAAATGGCTGGGTTTCATCTTTCCCAGTTCCACCTGCGTGCGGAACTTTTCCAAGTGAAAGCTCCTGCCATGGAGCTGATTAGATTGAGTTGATTTAGAACGGCAAACCGGATTAGGCTGCTCATGGCTCCCCCGGCTCTGGGATGGACGCTTGTTAAGTGGGCCCCGGCTGCTTTCCGTCAGCTGCTTTTTAAAAAGTCAATCTCATGTTGCTTTCTGTTCAGCCACGTGTCCTGAATTAGAGAACGCTTGGTGTGGCTCTCCAGCTGCCAGGCGGTCCCTCTACTCACTCATCAAAGCTCCCCCACTTCCCAAACCCACTCCTTCTGTGCAAGGAGTCCTGTCACCCAACTGGAATCCTTCTAAACTGCTTCCCAAAATGCCATGGGTGCAAACAGTGGCAGAATCAGAGCTCCTGTAACCAGGCGGCTCTCAGCAGAAGGAATTGGTGCTCCACGGACATCGCTAGCTTAATTAATGGACTCTATGTTGTAATTTATTATCAAACAGCAATTAAACAGAGATAAAATAGGCACTGAGGAGGGTAATTTCCTGTCTTGCAGCATGTGTTTGTCAACAAGATGTTCCGGGCCACTCAGAGAGCCTTGCTTGCTCGGAAATGTCTGTCGCCTTGGTTTTGGCTGATTACTAATTAGAATTAGACAAACATCCGCTTCTTTTTGGAAGCCTGAGTTTTATTTAAAAATAGAATGTCAAGGCTGGGCGCACTGGCTCACGCTTGTAATCCCAGCACTTTGGGAGGCCAAGGCGGGTGGATCACTTCCAGTCAGGAGTTTGAGACCAGCCTGGCCAACATGATGAAACCTCGTCTCTACTAAAAATACAAAAATTAGCCAGGTGTGGTGGTGGGCGCCTGTAATCCCAGCTACTCCGGGAGGCTGAGGCAGGAGAATCACTTGAACTCAGGAGGCGGAGGTTGCAGTGAGCTGAGACCATGCCACTGCACTCCAGCCTGGGCAACAGAGCAACACTCTGTCTCAAAAAAAAAAAAAAAAAACAAAAGAAACCATCAAGGATGCAGTAGCAGCCTTAGTGTTGGCTTGAACCTATTTGGAACAGAAGTTCTTGTCTAAGGAGACCCACAGACCCCCAGTTCTACCAGGCTGTTGCCCTCCTGCACCCAGGCCCAGGGTGGGTCCCCAAGCTAGAGCAACCACAGTGAAACCAGAACACTTTGGCTACCCTGCACGGAGAGCACCCTCCTCTGCCAGGCCCTTCTTGCTACACCGCTCCAGACAGCTGGTCAACCTTCTCCAGCCACAGCTTCTGATTTCTCCAGAAAGGCAAAGGTGCTATCAGGAAGAAAGAGGGGGCTAGGGGTAGTGCTGACCCCAGGGACCCACTGTGGCATCTTTCTCAGCCCTGAACGCCCCCGATGGCTCTGCATCTGCTCTCTCAGGTCCCTACAGCTGACCCGCAGCCCAGGGTTTGAACAGTGCGGCATACAATGGACTCTGGCCCCATAGCCGCGTGTTCCAGCCCCTGCCTAGGGACAGCTCTGAACACTCTGGGTCAGGGCTGGGCTGTGTTAAAGAACAAAAATGCTGACAATAAGACCCATATCTGTTTTTGGTGACATGTTTAATCCTTCCAACTACTCTGTCTGGTAAATAGTAACCTCCTCCCATCCCCCCGACTTTATTTTTTATTTGAGATAGGGTCTTGTTCTGTCATCTAGGCTGGAGTACAGTGGTGCAATCATAGCTCGCTGCAGCCTCAAACTCCTGGGTTCAAGCAACCCTCCTGCTTCAGCTTCCAGAGTAACTGGGACTACTGGTTATGAACCACCACACCCAGCTAATTTTTCAGTTTTTTTGTAAAGATGGGGTCTCACTATGTTGCCCAAGTTGGTCTGGAACTCCCAACCTCAAGCTGTCCTCCCACCTTGGCCTCCCAGAGTGCTAGTATTTTGGATGTGAGCCACCTTGCCTGGCACCACCTGCTTTTTTTTTATTATTATTATTAATGAGAACATGGAGATTCAGATAGGGCAATGCCAGCTGTCAAACGAATGTCCCATATCATTTGGTCTTGGGTACTCTGATCTGCATCTGGTGAATTCTGGAGAGCACCTCATATCCTTGAGTCCTTCGGTGTTCTCCAGGCCACAGCAAAACACAGTGGAAAGACTCATAGGAAGCAGAGAGGAATGGAACATGAAAGCCCAGGTGCAGAGGCTGGAATCACGAGGCACATTTCAGGAAATAATCACACAGTTGGCAGAAGCAGGTGGTTCAGGGTGGCCCAAAAGGGACAGAGTATGGAGATCCTCCGGTGCTAGGATCAAGGGCTAGGGCTTCCACTCAGCATCTCAGGTGTGGTCCACTGACCCAGTGAACCCTCTGGGGACTTATTGTAACCGCCTCTTCCAAAGTCCAACCCCCGACCTAGTGGAGGTGGGGCCTAGGATTCCACATCGTAACAAGCATTGGCAGGTGCTTTTCTTTGTCAATCCACAACTATTTATTGAGCATCTATTTTGAGAACTTGTTTGGGGGTTCTAGCAGGGGAGTGCAGATACTCGTATACCCTTGACCAAAGACTGGTCTTCCTCTATTGGGGATGGTCATCCTCTTTGACCAAGCATGCAGTTTCAGGAGGGATGCACGTGGAGGGGTGAGGGAGAAAGGGGACACCCGTCTAGCCAGCCAGATCAGCTGAATCAACCCTGGCGATCAATGGGATGACAGAAGTTGCAGCCAGATCACCCTCACATCCAAGTGAGCATCTATTTAGGATAATGCTGTGAATTAGGCCATATAGGTGGTGATCATATGTCCCTATCTGCCCAGGACAGACGCTGTTTAGGCCTAGTGTCCCAGCTTGATTTTTTGTTTTTAATTTATAACACTATCTTAGTTTTTTATATAATTGAGGTTCTTGGGTTTTTTTTTTTTTTTCTTTTCAAGGCAATTACTATTTTTTTTTTTTTTTTTTTTTTTTGAGACAGAGTCTCACTCTGTCACCCAGGCTGGAGTGCAGTGGTGCGATCTTGGCTCACTGCAACCTCCGCCTCCTGCGTTCAAGCGATTCTCCTGCCTCAGCCTCCCGAGTAGCTGGGATTACAGGCACCTGCCACCACACCTGGTTAATTTTTATATTTTTAGTAGAGATGGGGTTTCACCATGTTAGCCAGGCTGGTCTTCAACTTCTGACCTCAGGTGATCCGCCTGCCTAGGCCTCCCAAAGTTCTGGAATTACAGGCGTAAGCCACGGCGCCCAGCCTGTTTACTCTTTATAATGTATAATTTTGCAGGTTTTAGCAAGCACATGTGATCAAGTAATCACACCATAATCAAGATACAGAGCAGTTCAATATTCCCCTGAACCTCTGCCCACATATACTTTTTAAAAAGATTTATTTTGTTAGAGACAGCATCTCACTCTGTCACCCAGGCTGGAGCACAGTGGTGCCACCAGAGCTCACTGTGACCTTGAACTCCTGGGCTCAAGCAATCCTGCTGCCTTAGCCTCCTGAGTAGCTGGGATTACAGTCACACACCACCATACCAGGCTTTTTTATTTTTTTTTTAAATTTTTGTAGAGATAGGGATCTCACTATGTTGCCCAGGCTGGTCCCAAACTCCTGGGCTCAAGTGATCCGCCCACCGCTGCCTCCCAAAGTGCTGGGATGATAGGTATAAGCCAGTGCGCCCAGCCTTCCACATACTTTTATACACATCACAATCACTTTTGAGGACCATAGTTGAGAGAGTGTTCATAGAAGTTGCCTGTACACCTGCACATGTTCAAACCTAACACGTTCCTGCAAATTCTGATGCAGCTTTGTCCCCGAGCTGAGACTCACTGCCCCTCCACAGCCCATACCATGGACGAGGTGTGACTAACAGGGTCTGCAAGAAATGGCCCTGGAGATTTCGACGGGCACTCTTTGAAACAGCTACTGGCTGTAATGAGATGTTCGTAAGATGAGGTGTGCACTGTGGGAAGGAATTGAGGGTGGGAGTCCCTCTTGGAAGGTGTCAAGCTCTGTTCCCAGGACCTTTCTGATTCAGTAGGCTCAGGGGAGGACATTAGCGCCCAGGACCTTTCTGATTCAGTAGGCTCAGGGGAGGACATTAGCGACGTCTCCTCTGTGTGTCCTCCCTGTTAATACATTTTCCTCCTCTTCTCCGTCCTTTCCGAGAGACTCAACGTTTCTTCTCTCAGTTAATTCATCACCAAAATGACAGATGAGATTCTTTTATCCTGTAATTAAATTCAATCTGATCTTGGACTCATTCTCTGATGGCTTCATCTTTTAAGCGATACATCATCCAAACACCTTGTCATTATGATGCATTGTGCCAATAAGGCACCCGTGCCCTGCTGGCGTGACGGGGCTCTGGCGAGCTATTAGCATGTAGGAGGCACCCCTGGTCGTCGTCGGAAAACACAGAAGTGAGTGACACCCAGCAGCCTCTTGGCTTCCAGATGCTATCATGTAAGTGTCGGAGCTCAGGCAACGCAGCCTTTGAGAACACATTGAAGTTTCGCCCAAGAAAAGATGGCTTTGGTCCAGAAAACAGGCCTGAGGTTCTGGGAATATGCCTCTCCCATTTGATAAGAAGCAAACTTGATCATCCCTTTCCATCCACGAAAACCCAATTCCTAGAAATCACCATGGGGGTCAAATCAGGGGATCTGTAGACCTTCTGGAAAACAGAGTTGGGGGACTGAAGGCAGATACTTTTTAAAAATTTTTTTATTAATTAACTATATATTTCATGACAAGGTCTTGCTCTGTCACCCAGGCTGGAGTGCGGTGGTGCAGTCAGCTCACTGCAACCTCAATCTCCCAGACTACAGGTGCACACCACCATGCCTAGCTAATTTTTTTGTGTTATTTGTACAGATGGGGTCTTGCTGTGTTGCCCAAGCTGGTCTCAAACTCCTAGGCTCGAGTGATTCTCCCCCCTCAGCCTCCCAAAGTGCTGGGATTACAAGTATGAGCCACTGCACCTGACCCAGATACTTTTGATGCTGAGAAAACCTGCTGCACACACAAATGGGAGATGAAACAGAAAATAGGAGAGGAAATGCTGATGGTGTTCTATGTATCTGAAATTCGACACCACAGAGGTTCTGAACCACTTATTTTCATTTTCCATTTTCAATCTCTTATGCCATATTTTTTAAAACCTCTCCTTTTGCATTCCAATGCAACACTTATAAATTCGTCTTACCTCGTTGCATGCAGATAGTGAGAATATTAACAGCCTTTTTTGTTGTTGCTGTTGCTCTTCTGACTCGTCTTCTCTCAAAATATTCAAAATGTTTCTGATTTTATTACTTTGGGTTGTTCGTTCCTGCCTCCTGGGCCCTGCGTCCATCAGCCTGTGTGTACACTCCTTGCAGCCACTCTCTTTGCAGACCTCCATGCAATGCAGTTTTACATGCTTTCTGCTTGCTGAGATTTTCCCCGAGGCTTTGGGGGACCCAGGCCTCTTTCTCTGCCATCTGCTTTGCTTCTCTTTTCTATTTCCAACTCCCAATTCCGTTTTTCTAATTATCCCTGAGAAGTGGCTCTCGTGATCCACGTGCAGAGCACAGGAAGGCTTGAGTTCCTAAATATTTCCTGCTGATGTATCACCTAAGTTTATGAAATATTCCAAATATTCTGTTGTGTCCTTTCAACAATATTCACAACATCTTCATCAGGAGTAGATTCCTCCTCAAGAGACCACTGTCTTTGCTTATCCATTAAGAAACAACTCTATATCTGTTCCTGTTTGATCATAAGATTGTAGCAATTCCATGCCATCAGTGTGCAGAAGTAAAGACACATGTACAGGCATACCTCATTTCATAGCGTTTCACTTTATGGTACTTTGTAGATGTTGCATTTTTTCACAGATCGAAGGGTTGTGGCAACGTGACATCGAGCAAGTCTATGGGTGCCGTTTTTCCAACAGCACCTGCTCACTTCCTGTCGCTGTGTCACATTTTGGTAATTCTTGCAATATTTCAAACTTTTTCATTAGTATTGTATCTGTTATGGTGGTTTGTGATCAGTATCTTTGATGTTACTATTGTAATTATTCGGGGCACTATGAGCTGCACCTAGACAGGACCGCGAACGTAAATCATAAATGTTGTGTGTGTTTGACGGCTCCACTGTTGGGCCATTCTCCTATCTCTCTCCCAATTCTCGGGCCTTTCTATTCCCCGAGACACAGCAATATTGAAATTCAGCCAATTAACAGCCCTATAATGGCCTCTAAAAGCTTTAGTGAGGAAGACAAGTCACAAGCCAAATAAGGCTGAAAGCTAGGCCTCTTGTGCCAAATAATTTGCCAAGTTATGAATGCAAAGGAAAAGTTATTGAAGGAAATTAAACATGCTACTCCAGTGAACACACGAATGCTAAGAAAGCAAAACAGCCTCATTGTTCATAGGGAGTCAGTTTTAGTGGTATGGTTAGAAGACCAGTCCAGCCACAACATTCCCTTAAGCCAAAAGCCTAATCCAGAACAAGGGCCTAGTTCTCTTCAATTCTATGAAGGCTGAAAGAAGTGAGGAAGCTACAGAAGAAAAGTTTGAAGGTAGCAGAGGTTGGCTTGAGGTTTAAGGAAAGAAGCTGTCTCTGCAACATAATGGTGCAGGGTGAAGCAGCAAGTGCTGATGGAGAAGCTGCAGCAAGTTCTCCAGAAGATCTAGCTAAACTCATTGCTGAAGGTGTCTACACTCAACAACAGATTTTCAACGTAGACAGAACAGCCTTCTATTAGAAGAAGGTGCTATCTAGGACTTTCCCACATAGAGAGGAGAAGTCCATGCCTGGCTTCAAAGCCTCAAAGGACAGCCTGACTCTCCTGTGAGAGGCGAATGCAGCTGGTGACTTTAAGTTGAAGCTAAAGCTCATTTACCATTTTGAAGATCCTAGGGCCCTTAAGAATGATGCTAAATCTACTCTGCATGTGCCCGAGAAATGGAACAACAGAGCTTGGATATCAGTGCATCTGTTTACAGCATGGTTTACTGAATATCTTTTTTTTTTTTTTTCTTTTTTTTGAGACGGAGTCTCACTCTGTCACCAGGCTGGAGTGCAGTGGCGCAATCTCGGCTCACTGCAATCTCCGACTCCTGGGTTCAGGCGAGTCTCCCGCCTCAGCCTCCCGAGTAGCTGGGACTACAGGTGCGCACCATCACGCCCAGCTAATTTTTCTATTTTTAGTAGAGACAGGGTTTCCACCATGTTGGCCAGGATGGTCTCGATCTCTTGACTTCAAGATCCACCCTTCTTGGCCTCCCAAAGTGTTGGGATTACAGGCGTGAGCCACAACGCCTGGCCGGTTTGCTGATTATATTAAGCCCACTGTCCAGTCCCACTTCTCAGAAAAAAAAAAAAAAGATTCCTTTCACAATATCACTGCTCATTGATAATGGTCACCTAGGAGCTCTGATGGATACGTACCAAAAGATGAATGTTGTTCTCATGCCTGATAACACATCATCCATTCTGCAGCCCACGGATCAAGGAGTAATTTTGACCTTCAAGTCTTATTTAAGAAATTCATTTTGTAAGACTGTAGCTGCCATAGATAGTGATTCTTCTCATGGGTCTGGCCAAAGTCCATGGAAAGCTTTTTGGGAAGAATGTACCATTTTAGATACCAGTAAGCATGTTTGTGATTCATGGAAGACCAAAATAGCAACATGAACAGGAGTGTGGAAGAAGTGGATTCCAACCCTCATGGATGACTTTGAGGGTTTCAAGGCTTCAGTGGAGGAAGGAACTCCAGATGTGGTGGAAACAGCAAGAGAACTAGAACCAAAATGGAGCCCGTAGATGGGACTGAATTGCTGCAATCTCATGATCAAACATGAACAAAGAGTTGTTTCTTCACGGATAAGCAAAGACAGTGGTCTCTTGAGATGGAATCTACTCCTGATGGGGATGTTGTGAATATTGTTGAAATGACACAAGAGAATATTTAGAATATTCCATAAACTTAGGTGGTGTATCAGCAGCAGGATTTGAGAGGATTGGCTCCAATTTTGAAAGAAATTCTACTGTGGGTAAAATGCTACTAACCAGCATTGGATGCTACAGCGAAATATTTCATGGAAGGGAGAGAGTCAATTAATGCAGCAAACTTTGTTATTCTCTTATTTTAAGAAATTGCCACAGCCGCCCCAACATTCAGCAACCACCACCCCGCCACCCTGATCAGTCAGCAGCCATAACATCAAGCCGTGACCCTCCATTAGCAAAAAGATTACAGCTTACTGAAGGCTCAGATGATCACTAGTATTTTTAGCCATGAAGTATTTTTAAATTAAGCTATGCACATTTTTAAAAGGCATGCTATTGCACACTTAATAGTCTACAGTATAGTGTAAACATAACTTTTTATGCACTGGGAAACCAATATATTTGTGTGACTTGCCTTTTTATTGCAATATTCGCTATATTGCAGTGGTCTGCAACTGAACCTGCAATATCTCAAGATATGCCTGTATTTGATTTTGCCTAAGGAAGACTCAGGGTTAAGGAGGAATTACTGTACTATTTCTTTCCTGCCAGAATGGATTGATGAGCTATTCTTTCCAGGAAATCACAATGACAGACATAAATTGTTTTCCAGTGGAGATTGTGAGTTGAGACTTTTGTGTCTTCCGGGAAGTTTAGCTGACTTTTCTCCAGGCACAAAAAGTCATTCAGGCAGGTTTTGTGCTCATGTTAGGCTTGGAATAAGGAACTCAGATTGAACAATAGAGTGGTAGCCATGTCACCAGCTGAGCCTTTCTCCCTTGCCCAGGGATATTAAATTCCACAGCCAAATAAGTGAAAGTCACTTCTGCTCCTCTTTTTTTAATCTTTTCTTTCTTTCTTTCCTTTCTTTCCTTCCTTTCTTCCTTCCTTTCTCTCTTTCTCTCTTTCTTTTTTTCTTTTTTTGAAAGAGTCTGTTTCTGTCACCCATGCTGGAGTGCAGTGCCATAATCAGAGCTCACTGTAGCCGCGACCTCCTGGATTCAAGCAATCCTCCCACCTCTGCCTCCCAAGTAGCTGGACCACAGCCACACACCACCATGCTTGGCTAATTTTTAAGTTTTTTATAGAGATGGGGTCTCGCTATGTTGCCTTGCTGTGTTGACCAAGCTGGTCTCAAACTCCTGGCCTCCCGCAATCTTCCTGCCTCAGCTTCCCAAAGTGCTGGGATTTATAGGTGTGAGTCAGTGTGCCTGGCCCTTCTTTTTTACTGAAGGCACAATAGCATTTCAGAGAGTTTGAAAAACACAAATTTAAATCATCCATGGTCCTGCCACCCTACAACAACTATTATTATTACTGAAGGTTACTTTCAGCTTTTCTTTTTTTCAAAGAAATATATTGATTTGTTAGGCTGTCTTTATATCACTGAATTAAAAAGGAAACAACGTCACTGTTTCTGAAGGACAAGGAGGGGGACGTAAAGCCTCCTGGTGGAATGTATTTAGTGCCTTACTCTTTACTCTTTAGCTAGGAGGCTCAGCAGAGCGATGCAGAACTTCACAGTAGCCTCATCCCTGACTGCTTGATTCACAGAGCTTTGATTTCTCCTTGGGACAGTAGTATCTGTTGAATGATTATTTTCAGTAAGTTCATAGTGAGATATGTACACACACATACACATACACATAAAACAAGCTACATAAACAATTTTATTATACATACACAATGTATGTATATAAGTACTTTTTAATTTTTTTATTTTTATTCTATTTTTTTTTTTTTATTTTTGAGAAGGAATCTCACTCTGGCACCCAGGCTGGAGTGCAGTGGCGTGATCTCAGCTCACTGCAACCTCCACCTCCCAGGTTCAAGTGATTCTTCTGCCTCAGCCTCCAGAGTAACTGGGATTACAGGTGCCCGCCACCACACTCAGCTAATTTTTGAATTTTTAGTAGAGATGGGGTTTCATCATCTTGGCCAGGCTGGTCTCAAACTCCTGACCTCAAGTGATCCGCCCACCTCGGCCTCCCAAAGTGCATGAGCCACCGCACCCAGCCATAAGTACATATTTGTTATAGTATATACTTAGATAGATAACTATATACTAGTGTTAGTATTCAGTGAAAGTGGATCATCATAAAGTTCTTCATCCTTGTTGTCTTCACATACTATAAGTATATAAGTATATATTTAAGTATATACTATAATATAAATAGTGTGTGTGTATATAGTGTGTGTATATATATCTACAATACATGTATACATATATACACATATATATACACACACACACATACACACACACACACACACACACACACACACACACACACACACACACATATATATATATGGAGACAAGACCAAAACAATGCAATGTGAGATCCTGGGTTGGATCCTGGGAAGAAAATCCATGTTTGTGGTTTTGATTTGCATGTCCCTTCAATGATAGACTGGATTAAAAAAATGTGGTGCATATACATCATGGAATACTTTATAGACATAAAAAAGAATGGAATCTTGTCCTTTGCAGGGACATGGATGGAGCTTGAGGCCATTATCCTTAGCAAAGTAACACAGAAACAGAAAACCAAATAACTTCTCTCTTATAAGTAGGATCTGAATTATGAGAACACGTGGACACATAGAAGGGAATAACAAACACTGGGGCCTATTGGAGGGTAGGGGGTGGAGGGTGGTAGGAGGGAGGGGATCAGGAAAAATATTAAATAGCTAATGGGTACTAGGCTTAATACCTGGGTGATGAAATAAGCTGTACAACAAACCCCCATGACACAAGTTTACCTGTGTAACAAACCTGCATATGTACCCCTGCACTTTAAAAAAAGTTAAAAAAAAAAAAAAGAATCTATAGGAAAGAAAACAAGTTCTTTGTAAAGCTGGAGCAAGACCCCAGTTATTCAATGGTGGGTGAGGTCGGGGAAGCTAATATCCACATTTGCTTCTCATTATTTTATTTAATCCGTTATTTTATTAGTCTGTTTTCATGCTGCTGATAAAGTCGTACCTGAGACTGGGCAATTTACAAAACAAGGAGGTTTAATGGACTCACAGTTCCACGTGGCTGGGGAGGCCTCACAATCACGGTGGAAGGTGAAAGTGATGTCTTCCCTGGTGGCAGACAAGAGAAGAGAACTTGTGCAGGGAAACTCCCCTTTATAAAACCATCAGATCTTGTGAGACTTATTCACTATCTCAAGAATAGCACAGGAAAGACCCACCTCCATGTTTCAATTACCTCCCACTTGGTCCCTCCCACAAAACATTAGAATTGTGGGAGCTACAATTCCAGATGAGATTTGGGTGGGGACAGAGTCAAACCGTATCAATCTCCATAAATGCACTATGATGTAATCTATAATTATCCCAATTTTTTTTTTTTTTTTGAGATGGAGTCTCACTCTGTCACTCAGGCTGAAGTGCAGTTGCACAATCTCGGCTCACTGCAACCTCTGCCACTCAGGTTTAAGCAATTCTCCTGCTGCAGCCTCTGCCACCCAGATTCAAGCAATTCTCCTGCCTCAGCCTCCCAAGTAGCTGTGATTACAGATGTGCACCACCACGTTCAGTTAATGTTCGTATTTTTAGTAGAGACGGGGTTTCACCATGTTGGCCAGGCTGGTCTCAAACTTCTGACCTCAAGTGATTCGCCCGCCTCGGCCTCCTAAAGTGCTGGGATTACAGGCGTGAGCCACGGTGCCCAGCCATTATCCCCATTTTAAAAAATAAGGAAGCAGAGTCCCATAGGGCTAAAGTAATTGGCCCAGGGCCATAAAATCATTAAGTAGCAGAGCCTGGATTTCTTAAGCAGGCCCCAGAGTCCAAGTCCTTAACCATTATACTCCTGTCTCTCTAATGACACAGCAAGGTCAGAAATGCTGCTGTAGTTGGCAAGCGAAGAAAGTGAGCTGGTTGAGCCGTGGTACAGAAAGCCAGTGCTTGCTAGCACGTCCACACTGAACCAGGATACAGCCCTCCCTTCCCATTTCACATATAGAGACAAAAAAGAAATTCATGTCATCAGCGGTCTGTCCTACTGAGAAATAAAGTCTTTACTTCCTTAACCAATTCAGCAGTCAAAGGTGTGCTTTGAAGATGTGCTTAGGAATATTCTCCTGATTCCCTAGAAGTCGGAGTGGACTACGCATTCCCTCTCTCACCCAGCTCTTCCAGCTCTCATCCTGGTGCCCCACACCAAGAGAGGCCCCAGGTCTCTCCACAGGTCATGTGGGCCAGACCCTGCCTCCATCAGAACTGCCCCAATCTATCCGCTCCTAGAACTGTCTCTGCAAGAAAATCAGCCTGAGGTTTTTGTGGCACAAAGATGTATCCCCATTCATTCCAAGTAGCAAATGCATTTTCTGGAAACATAGTGCTTGAATCCAGCATGATGAGTCATATGGCAGAAGGGAGAAGCCAGCAGAGGAAGGGCCCTTGGGACCATCCCAGCCCCCAGGAGCTGGCCCTCTCTGCAGGAACCATCTGGTTCCATAGCATGCTTTCTAAGCTCCCATATATATTTTTAAATCAACTATATGGAAGCGTAAGGTAAATAAATACACTGCATCTATTTAAAGTGTGCAATCTGATGAGTTTTGCCAGGTGTGTGCACCTGTGAAGGGGCTCTTGAAATCAAGATTCAGAACATTTCCATCTCCCTCAAGGATTTCTCATGCTCCTTTTCTAACCCCAGCTCTCAGGCAGCCACCACTTGCCCACTGTGAGACATTTATTTTCTATATTCAGTTTGGGATTGGGCATTTGGAATTTTCCAAAGGCAGCATCCTCTGTAGATGTCTACAGGCCCCTGGAGACAGAGCATCTTCTCAGGCCTGTATCCTCCATGCCTGGGACTGGGTCCTTGCTCTCAGGACAGCCTAGAGGGGCTCCTGTCCCCTGCTGGGCTGCCTCTTTCTTTGCTTGGCCCAGCTTCCCAAACACCCAGGATAATAAAGGAGAAACTCTGTCAATTTCAATAATATACACATGTACTTGCCAGTCATAAGAAACCATTCTTCTGGGCTTTAACCAAGCAATAAATAAATGTACTCCAAAGCAGATCTGAATTAATGGAATATATCTCTCTGTCTCTTGAGTAGAAGCTGGGAAACCTGAACTTTTCTTTTTTGGTGTTTGTTTTAGAGATAGGATCTTGCTCTGTCACCTAGGCTGGAATGCAGTGGTGCAGTCATAGTTCACTGCAGCCTTAAGTTCCTGGGCTCAATTGATCCTCCTGCCTCAGCCTCCCGAGTAGCTGGGACTACAAGCATGTGCCACCATGCCCAGCTAGTTTATTTTATTTTTATAGAGACGGTGTTTCACTATGTTACCCAGGCTGGTCTTGAACTCCTAGCCTCAAGTGATCCTCCTGCCTCACCCTCCCAAAGTGCTGGGATTACAGGTGTGAGCCCCTGTGCCCAGCCAAGAAACCTACATTTTGCATTTAGCCATTGTTTTCTACACTGACTGCTGGATTTTAAAATCAAGAGAAAGGCCTCTAATAGGAAAGCAATTGCAAGCCATGTTTTTATTGATAATCTGATGGATTTTGCTGTGTTCTGGAGTCATTCTGCAATTATTTATCTGGTTTTTGTTTATCTGGCTATAACCTGCGTATTCTAGTTTTCCTTCAAGGCTGTTAAATTTGGGTTAATAGTTGTATGTGTCTCTTAGATCATCTCAAATGGAAAATTCTTTCCCCCTAAATGAGAATTAATTGTATTTGAGCTCAGAGGGTTTTTTCCCAATGCATTAGGGTGTGGATAATGACGTTCATTTCTCCTCATGAGCCCAGGAGCCAAATAGAGTAATCCCATTCACTTCCAAAGACATTTATAGAGCATTTGATTTTTGCAAGATACTTTTGTTGGTCCTTAATGCTGGATAAAAATGGGTATAATGCTGCTAAAAATAACACTAAGAAAAACCTATAGCAAAGAAAGACACATTTATAAAATACGAGATTATGTAAGTTGGAAGAATCATATCTGGGTGGGGGCTATATGGAGCCAGTGGAGACAGGGTGGGGCTAGGGAGAGAATATCCTGCACATACAGGGAAGGCAGGCTGGACGGTCAGCTGTTGTTGAGAAACCTCATATCATCTATCAGACTAAGCCAGAAAAGCAAGAGTTACACCTGAAAAGGTAAGTGGGACCATAGAGTAAAAAGTCATGGTAGAAAGTTTATTCTTAAATTGGTGGACCATGAGAGCAATGGAAGATTGAGGCAAGGAATGGTATGGTTATAACCTGCAGGACTGGGTAGGGTAGATGGGAACTGTGAGGGTCTGGAGGCAAGAGAACCAGTGATAAAGATCTGTCTTTATCTGCATCTGTCTCAGAATAGTAAGAATATTCGGGTCTCAGAATAGTCTGGAATTTTGGGAGGAAATATTTAGAGGCAGGAATCGGAGGACATGCAAATTTGTGGATGAAAGGATGAGGGAGGGGAAGGGTGCAAAGTTGATTCAAGTGCGCAAGTCTAGAACTAGGGGACTCTGGGTGCGTAACAGGGAGCTAATTGTCTGTTGGCTCCACACTGCAGGAATGAGAGTCACAAGTTTCAGGCAGTCGTAAACTCAGAGAATAATGCATTACCCATCCTTCTCCTCCCACTAGCAGGATTACCTTGGCAACAGTGAGCATCATCATACCAAAATGATAGATTTCACAGATAGTGGCTTGGCCATAATTTGGTGAATGAGCATCACAGTAATGAAATAGCTTTCAGTAGTAGAGTACATTAGATACTTTGAAGGGTCTCCCTGCTCTCATATAGACAGATTTTAGATAAACTATAACAAATATTATTTAGATTTTTTTTCTAGGCTCATAAGAAAGTGGTTGTATCAGCCGGGAGTGGTGGCTCATGCCTATAATCCCAGCACTTTGGGAGGCCTAGTCAGGCAGATCACCTGAGGTCAGGAGTTCAAGACCAGCCTGGCCAACATGGCAAAACCCTGTCTCTACTAAAAGTACAAACATTAGCCAGGCATGGTGGTGGGCGCCTGTAATCCCAGCTACTCAGGAGGCTGAGGCAGGAGAATTGCTTGAATCTGGGAGGCAGAGGTTACAGCGAGCCATGATCACGCCACTGCACTCCAGCCTGCGCGACAAGAGCAAGACTCTGTCTCAAAAAAAAAAAAAAAAAAGAAAAGAAAAGAAAGAAAGTGGTTGTATCAGTGAGCTTTTGCTGCATAACAAATTATCCCCAGACATTTTCAGATAAACTAAATCTGACAGTGTGTCTGTCCTATGACAGACAGTCACCAAAGGAACTTCTAAAGAATGTACTGTAGGAAAAAGGAAAATGACTGCAGAAGGATGTCTTGAGGCAAGAATGAATTATAAGCAAAGAAATTTATAAACACATAAATCTATGCAAACATTTATTGCATAAAATCATAAGAATAATGTCTAATTTGGGGAACAAGGGAGATATAACCAAAATACTGAACTATTAGAAGGAAGTGATCAGATTTGGTATCCTAATGTCTTTGAATTTTATTGAGGGGAAGCAGATGTTAAGATATTTTATAAAATTAGATTTTGCAAAGTTGTCACTGGTTAAATTTGAAGAGTAAACAATAAAATAATAGAAATGGAGTGTGATTTTTAAATCTGTAGAGGGGAACAATGAAATCTGATAACATGTCAACAAATCAACCAAACGCAACTAATCCAAGCAAAGGCAAGTAGAGGAGAAAGAAGGAAACAGAGGAGCCTGGACAAACAGAAAGCACAAAGAGAGATGGTAGAAATAAGTACAAATATATCATTAATTACAATGAATATGAATGGATTTAACTCTTCAGTTAAAAGACAGAGATTGCCACCTTAAATTTTTAAAACTCCAGCTGTATTCCATTTTCAAGAGACACATAAAAAACCTCAGGAGAGCGCCGGGCCCAGTGGCTCACGCCTGTAATCCCAGCACTTTGAGAGGCCGAGGGGGGCAGATTGCCAGAACTCAGGAGTTCGAGACCAGCCTGGGCAACATGGTGAAACCCTGTCTCTACTAAAATACAAAAAATTAGCTGGGCATGGCAGCGTGTGCCTGTAATCCCACCTACTCGGGAGGCTGAGGCAGGAGAATTGCTTGAACCAGGGAGGTGGAGGTTGTAGTGAGCCAAGATCATGCCACTGCACGCCAGCCTAGGCAACAGAGCAAGACTCCATCTCAAAAAAAAAAAAAAAAAAAAAAAAATGACCAGGTGCAGTGGCTCACACCTGTAATCCCAGCACTTCTTGAGGCCGAGGCCGGTGGATCACGAGGTCAAGATATCGATACCATTCTGGCCAACATGGTGAAACCCCGTCTCTACTACAAGTACAAAAATTAGCCTGGCATGGTGGTGCACCTGTAGTCCCAGCTACTCCGGAGTCTGAGGCAGGAGAATCGCTTGAACCTGGGAGGCAGAGGTTGCAGTGAGCCGAGATTGCGCCACTGCGCTCCAGCCTGGGTGACAGAGTGAGACTCTGTCTCAAAAAAAAAAAAAACCCAAAAAACAAAAAAAAAACCCTCAGGAGAGTGAAATGTTGAATTAAAAAGATGGAAAGGGTTATGTCAGGCAAATTCTAAAGAGCAGAAAGCTGGGGTAACCTCGTTAATATCAAACAAACTAGCCTGTAGATCAAAATGCGTTATTAAAGATGAATGCGGCCTGGACACAGTGGCTCATGCCTGTAATCCCAACACTTTGAGATGCTGAAATGGGAGAATCATTTGAGCCTAGGAGTTTGAGGCCAGCCTGGGCAAAATAGTGAGACCCTGTCTCTATGATTTTTTTTTAAATAACCAGGTGTTATGGCATGCACCTGTAGTCCCAGCTACTTGGGAGGCTGAGGCAGGAGGATCACGTATGCGCAGGAGTTGGAGGCTGCAATTAACTATGATCACTTTACTGCACTGCAGCCTGAGTGATGGAGTGAGACCCCTGTCTCAGAAAAAAAATAAGGTGAAGTGTGTCAGTGTATGATGATAAAATATTCCGTTTTCCAGTAAGATAGAATAATTATTGGCCAGGCACAGTGGCTCACACCTGTAATCACAGCAGTTTGGGAGGCCAAGGCGGGCAGATCACTTGAGGCTAGGAGTTCAAGACCAGCCTGGCCAACATAGCGAAAGCCCATGTCTACTAAAAATACAACAACAACAACAACAAAAAACTAGCCAGGCACAGTGATGCACACCTGTAGTCCCAGATACTCAGGAGGCTAAGGCCCAAGAATCACTTGAGCCCAGGTGGCGGAGGTTGCAGTGAGCCGAGATCACGCCACTGCACTACAGTTTGGGTGACATAGTGAGACTTTCTCAAAAAAAAAAAAAAAGAAGAATTCTTAACTACTTAACTTGTATGCATTCTCAAATCTGTCTTCTTCTAACCTTCACTGTCACACTTGAGTTCAGACCTTCATCCGCCCCTCTACTTCCATCCTCATTGCAGTTCATTCTCCACTCAACAGACAGTGTGGTCAGCCTAAAATTCAGATGGCTCTTGATGAGAAAGCCCCGATTCCTGAGCTTGATGGACTCCATCTAGTGGAGTCTCACCTGCACTAGACCCAGCTCCCCCACCTCTATACTCCATCATGGTGAAAGCTATGCTTGGGTTCTCCAAAACACCACATTTCCTCTGGTCTCCAGGCCTTTAAACAGCTGCTCCATATTCCTGGTCTGATCTGTTTTTCTCTTACTTGCCTAGTTGGCTGACTCCATCAGGGCTTGACTTCAATGCCTTCTCCTCTGGGAATCCTTCTTTGACCTTCCTCTTTTGGATGGGGACTCATCCTATTCTGCTTTTATGAACCACCGTGTATTTCCTAGCAATATTTCACATTTTATCATTGCCTTTTTACTTGCCTGACTCCAGTGAGTAAGCTGTGAACACCTCGAAAGCAAGCACTGTGTCATTCATTCATGATGTCAACAAATATTTATCAAGCACCTACTATATGCCAGGCATTCTTCTAAGAGCTAGAGATAGAGCAGTGAACAAAAAAGTTAAGCAAACACACCCCTGCCTTCATGCCACTCTCATTCTAGCCAAGGGAGCCAAACAACAAACTGGGTAGGTAAGGAAAATAGATGGTTTAATAGAAGATGATAGGTGTTTGCAGAGAAGTAAAGCAAGGAGAAAGATAGGGAGTAAGGGGTGGATGTGAAATTTTAAATAAGATGATCAAGGGAAAGTCTCAGA
This sequence comes from Homo sapiens, assembly GCF_000001405.40. NCBI lineage: Eukaryota > Metazoa > Chordata > Mammalia > Primates > Hominidae > Homo > Homo sapiens. Next base: position 71,701,190 of record NC_000007.14, read on the forward strand.
AAGAATATGACATTTGGCCGGTCACGATGGCTCACGCCTGTAATCCCAGCACTTTGGGAGGCCGAGGTAGGCAGATCACCTGAGGTCAGAAGTTCAAGACCAGCCTGGCCAACCTGGTGAAACCTTGTCTCTACTAAAAGTATAAAAATTAGCTGGGCATGGTGGCAGGTGCCTGTAATCCTGGCTACTCTGGAGGCTAAGGCAGGAGAATCACTTGAACTCAGGAGGTGGAGGTTGCAGTGAGCCAAGATCACGCCATTGTACTCCAGCCTGGATAACAGAGTGAGACTCTATCTCAAAAAAGAAAAAAAAAAGAATATGACATTTAAGCAGAAACTTGAAAGAGGTGAGAGAGTGAGCCATTCAAACATCTGGAGGAGGCACTCCTGGGTATCTACCCAAAGAAAAAGGAGTCATCCTATCAAAAAGATGCCTGCACTTGTATGTTCATCACAGCACTATCCACAATAACAAATTCATGGAATTAACCTAAGTGCGCATCAAGAGTGGATGGGATAAAGAAAATGTGGTGTATGTATATATATATATATGTGTATATATATGTATATATATGTGTATATATATGTGTGTGTGTATATATATGTGTGTGTGTGTATATATATATACACATATATATACACATATATATATGTGTATATATATATACACATATATATATACATATATATATGTATATATATATATACACATATATATATATACATATATATATGTATATATATACATGTCATGGAACACTATGCAACCATAAAAAAGAATAAAATCATATCCTTTGCAGCAACATAGATGTAGCTGGAGGCCATTATCCTAAGTGAATTAACAAAGGAACAGAAAACCTAATACCACATGTTCTCACTTATAAGTGGGAGCTAAACATTGGACATAGAAATGGAAACAATAGACACTGTGGACTACCAGAGTAGAGAGAGAGGGAGGAGGGTAAGGGTTGAAAAGTGCCTACTGGGTACTATGTTTACTATTTGGGTGATGGGTTCAGTAGAAGCCCAAACCTCAGCATTATGCAATATATCCATGTAACAAATATGTACACTACCCCCTGAATCTAAAACTTTTAAAAATAGAAAAACAGAAAGATACCTAAAGGAAGAGTATTCAAGAGAGAAGGAACAGCCAGTGCAAAGGCTCTGAGCAGGAGCAGGCATGGACGGTTCACAGATCAGCAGGGAGGCGCATGTGGCTGGATTAAATAAGATGATCAAGGAAAAGTCTCAGCAAACAATATGACATGTGGCTGGAAGTTCTGGAAGCTCAGAAAGCCATTATTGGATTGCAAGACCCATCGCAAGGATCTTGGACTTTTATTTTGGGTGAGATTGGAAGCTTCCAGAAGATTTTCAGCAGAGAGATGGCACACCCTGACTCCAATTTAAAGTAACATGATTTTAAATAATATAGTATTTTAAAAGCAGTCACTCTGGATGGTGTGTTGATAAAAAGCTGAGGGAGGCAAGGAGGGGGAACTGGGGAACCAGTTAGGAGGCCATTGCACTAACCTTATCAAGAAAGGAAGTTGGCTTAGAACAGGGAGGTAGCTGTGGAGGTGGAATCTGGATATGATTTGCTAATGGATTGAATATGGTGGATCAGAGAAAGGGGTAAGTAAGGTGTTTGGCCTAAGCAACTGTAAGGATGGAGTTATCATTACCAAGAAGGAATAGATGCTGGATGAGTGTATGGGTGATGGTGGTTACACAAGAGGATCAGTTCAGTTGGGTCATCTAAATTTAAAATGCTTATTAGACATCCAAGTGGTATGTCAAGTAGGGAGCTGGATATACAAAGTTGGAATTGAGAGAAATTTTTGGTTTGGAGATAGAAGTTTCAAACAGCCAAATTAGCATGTAAATGCTATTGAAAGCGCTGAGGATGGAAAACTCTCCAAGAAAGTGACTACATATAGGAGAAGTTATATCAACTGTACTCAGCACAGCGCCTGGGGGCAATTGAAGTTTATAATTTATAGATCCTGGTTTATTAGGCTGTTCTTGCCTTGTTTTAAAGAAATACTGGAGACTGGGTAATTTATAAAGAAAAGAGGTTTAATTGGCTTTTGGCTGTACAACATCTGCTCAGCTTCTGGTGAGGCCTCAGGGAGCTTTTGCCCATGACGGAAGGTGAAGCAGGAGCAGGCACATCAATGGGCAAGAGTGGGAAAAAGAGAGTGAGGTGAGAAGGTCCTAGACTTCTAAACAACCAGATCTTGCATTAACTAACTAAGCAAGAACTCATTTATCACCAAGGGGATGGTGCTTAAACCATTCATAAGGGATATGGCCCCATGATACAGTTACCTCCCATCAGACCCCATCTCCAACACCGTCAATCACATTTCAACATGATATTTGGAGGAGACAAACACTCAAACCGCATCACCTGATAACCTTTAAAAGAGCAATTTCAATAAAGTAACAATGGCAGAAGTTAGGTTTCAAGGCATTAAAGGTATAAGAGAGAGGAAATTCAAATTAAGAGATAAGTAGAGCTGTGGCTAGAGTCATAAAGATCCGGTTATATTTGTAGCTTGATTGAAGAAATGAAAGAAAGGAGTGAATAATGGCTTAGGGTACCTACAGTGTGGGAAGAGGGTCAGAGACCGAAGGAAATGAGAGTGAAGGAAGACAGGTTTTTGAGAAGTAAGGGAGACAACTTTTCAACAAAATGGAAAGTAATATTCTCTGAAGGCAGTAAGGGCCCAGGACACCAGGATAGGAGATTGAGGAGGAAGAACACATTTTTAAAAATCTAGACTCTGGCAGGGATGGAAGGCAGTGTTGGTTGACAGAGAGTCACATGAGGCAAATGAAAAGATGAGAAGGGCCCAGGCACAGTTGGAACACAGGTCTCCAGTGGGTGTGGTCAGTTGGCACCTGTCCCTGGCTGTGTGAAAGCAAAGACCAAGGAGACCCGTAAAACCTGTAGTTCAGAGTGACCATGAGGTACCTGGGTGGTTGGTGTGATCACAGAGGTGTATTAAACACACTACTTGCACTGGCAATGAACATTCTGAAAAGGGAATTAAGAGAACAAAACCATTTACAATAGCATCAAAAAGGATTAAATGCTTAGGAATAAATTTAGCCAAAAAAATGCAAGACATGTACACTGAAAATGAGAAAACATTATTGAAAGAAATTAAAGATCTAAGTAAAAAAGATATCCTGTGTTCATGGATTAGAGGACTTAAGAGTGTTAAGATGGCATTTCTTCCTAAATTGATCTAGAGATTCAATGCAATCCCTATCAAAATGCCAACTGCCTTTTTTTTTTTTTTTGCAGAAATGGAAAAGCTAATCCTAAAATACATATGAAATTCAAGGGACACAAAATAGCCAGAACAGTATTGAAAAAGAACAAAGTTGCAAGACTCACACTTCCCAGTTCTAAGACTTGCTACAAAGCTATAATAATCAAAGCAGTATAGTGTGGCACAAAGATAGACGTGGAGATCAAAGGAATCACATTTAGAGTCTAGAAACAAACCCTCACATTTATAGTCCATTGATTTTTGACAAGAGTGACAAGACAATTCAATAAGGAAAGAATAGTCTTTTCAGCAATGGTGCCGGGACACAGATATCCACATGAAAAAGAGTGAATTTGGACCTCAACCTTATACTATACAGAAAAAAAATTCAAAGGGCATCAAAGACCTAAATATAAGAGATGAAACTATAAAATTCTTAGAAAACACAGGGGTAAATCTTCATGGCCTTGGATTTTGCAATGGTTTCTTAGATATGACTTCAAAACCACAAATAACCAAAGAAAAAAATAGCTACTTTGTATTTTACCAAAAAGAAAAACTTTGATGCTTCAAAGGACATTATCAAGCAAGTGAAAAACAACCCACAGAATGGGAGAAAATATTTGTACATCATATGTCAGAAAAATGTCTTAGTATCCAGAATATGTAAAGAACTCTTAAAACTCAAAAATAAGAAGACAAATAACCCTTTTTTTGATGGTCAAAAGAGTTGAATAGACTTTTTTTTCAAAGAAGATATAAAACGGTCAATAAGCAAATGAAAAGATGCTCAACATCTTTAGTCATTAGAGAAATGCAAATTAAAACCACAGTGGCCACTTCACACTCCTACTAGGATGACTAGAATCAAAAAAAGCAGACAATAACATGAGTTGGCCAGGATGTGGAGAAATTGAAACCCCGGTTCATTGCTGGTGGGAGTGTAAAATGGTACAGCTGCTTTGGAAAATAGTTTGGCAGTTCCGTAGAAAGTTAAACATAGAGTTACCATATGGCCCAAGGATGAGTAATTCTACTCCTAGGTGTATACCTCAGAGAATTGAAAACATATGTTCATATGAAAATTGTACATGAATATCCACAGCAGCATCATTCATAATAGCCAAAGAATGGAAACAACCCCAATGTCCATCAGCTTGAAAATGAATAAACAAAATGGTCAAAATGAGGAGACCACACCTTGAAGAGACACATTAAAGCAGCACATACATCCAGTTGCTCCAAAGACCTGAAAGGAGAGGTCTGGGGGCTGGAAGACATTGTGCAGGAGAGAGAATCACACTGAAGCCTAGGAAAGTTGAAGCCAGAACATTCTAGAGGAAGGCCAATCAGTAGCATCTCCAGGCAGAGAAATACACCTAGACAAAGACTTAGAGGCAGGAAAGCCTACTGAACGTGCAGAGGACAGGAAGAAGAGACGCTCAAGGAAGGAGCATGAGGGATGAGGAGTCATGGTAGGTGGACAATACCCCAAAGGCTCCTGGTTCAGGACTGGGGCAAACTTTGGACATTTGGTTGACAGCAGATCCAAGGGTTCGCTACCCACCTGCCTCATGGTAGAAAAGCGGATGTGAGATCTGTTTGCCTAACTTTAGCCCCATCATTCTTCAGACCACAGTACTGGCTTCTAACTTTCTCAGAAAAGGAGGCAAGTATTGGTCCCTTGGCCAGACCAGCAGAACCTATGCACATGACCCAGTATTTTCAGTGAGATAAACACCTTCCCCTGGAAAGGAAATCCCACTCAGGGGCCCTCCTCACCTGCCCCAGCCTACCCTGCATGGCTGCATGGCTTAGGACTGCCATGTGGCCTCTGCAGGTCCTGGCATTCTAGGTCTCATTGTTTCACTCCCTAACAGACCTCAGAAAGGAGAACCTCTAACTCCCAGTGGCATTTAGCTTCCCTCTTTAAACATCTGGGTCACAGATATGCTCAGTTAATTAATGTTCTTAGTGCTGCTCATCTGCCTGCTGGATAATAGATTGATTCATAATTTCAGTAAGCAGCTGTGTATATCTTTCCCTGAACATAAAGGCAGCTTGCTGTCATTCATCACTTTGCATTTGGAGAATTTAAATATATTCAGGCAGACATTGTTTAGGGACGGGGAGGGAGGGCTTCTGATTTTCTTACCATTTTGCTTCTAACAATGACTTTGATTTGGAACTAATTGGGGTTTAAAGCACACGTTAACCACATCTCTCTCAAGGGCACTTAATAAACTCCCTGTCCCTTGTTCAAGGAGACCAGCCAGGCCCTCCTTTTGGGATAAGAGCCAAGAGCTTCTGAGTACCTTTCACCAAGAAATGAGAACCCCATGCAGAGAATCTTATCTGCCAGAAAAGAGCCACTCCTGTCCCTGAGCAGAGCTACTTATTTCATTCCTGGGCAGAATATGCTCAAGCTTTCTGGAGGAGGTGGGGTTCTCCTGGCAATCTGGGAGGGGGCTCTTCTGCTGCTCAGCTGCTGGGCCATGGCAGCCAACCATGAGGTATTCGGTGACCAAAAGAAAGCGGCCAGCACCCAGCCAGGTGACCAGATGTCTTCATGCCTCAGTTTCCTCATCTATAAAATGTAAAGAATAATAAAACATATCTTGCAGAGTTGTTGGGAAAATTGCATTATTTATTCTCTTTACAATGGTTAGAAATGATGCAGAGTATTTTTTTTTAATTTATTAGGCAACAGCTGTGTAGATGTGGCTGCCTTTTCAAATGATGCCATTCACCACAGTTATGTGCTCAACCCCAAACACGTTTTGAGCACTTGGTCTGTGATTTGCTCCTAGTAAGGAAGGAAATTAATTAGGCACAGCCCCTCCCTCTCAGGAGTGTGAAAGATGGATGAATGAATGCATTTTTTTTATTTTGGAATATGATTCTTAAACAATATAATTTTCCTTCCCCAGGAAAGTAAAGGCAGCAGAGGCGAGGCTACTAGCCTAGTACAGGCCCTGTTGTGGGAAGGTTGCCGGGCAACACCTTCCCTGTATCAGTCAGGAATTGCTGCATAACAACTACCCCAAAACGTAGTGGCTTAAAACAATATGCATTTTTTATTGCTCACGAGTCTACAGGTCAGCTGGATGGTTCTCTGATCTGGACTAGGCTTGGCTGATCTAGGCTGGACTCATTCGTGCATCTCCTATCAGCAGCTGGCAGGTTGGCTGAGGGCTCCCTGATCCAGGTTGGCCTCATCCATTTGGTTAACTGGTGGTTAACTAGCAATTGGTTGGGCCACATGACTCTCATCCTCAAACAGGCCAGCCTGGGCTTACTGTTCCAAGAGACTGAAAGGATTCATACAAGGCTAAAAGTCTAGTCTAGGAACAGGCACAGCCTCACTTCTGCTCCATTCCATTGGCCAAAGCAAGTCACAGGGCCAACCAACATTCAAGGGATGGGGGAACAGACTCCATTTCTTGATGGAAATTGCTTCAAAGCCATCTTGCCATGGGTGTATAGAAGGAATAGCGGAGGATGTGGTCAGTTTTGCAACCTACCACAATCATCCAGCATTTGTTGTTGTACATAGAGCATAAAGCAAGTACTAGGATTATGTTGCCCACTTGCAGTATTTTTGCTCTGCTCTTTCATTATTATAAATTCTGTTGCAATAAATACCCTACCCATGAATTTTTTGTTTGCAATTCTGATTATTTCCTTCTGATAGAGTGTATTAGTCCAGTCTTATGCTGTTAATAAAAACATACCCAAGACTGGGTAATTTATAAAGAAAAAGAGGTTTTAATGGACTCATAGTTCTACATGGCTGAGGAGGCCTCGCAATCATGTTGGAAGGCGAGGGAGGAGCAAAGGGATGCCTTATGGGGTGGCAGGGAAGAGAGCATGTGCAGGGGAACTGTCCTTTATAAAACCAGCAGATCTCATGAGACTTATTCATTATCATGAGAACAGCATGGGAAAAACCTCCCTTCATGAATCAATTACCTCCCACCGGTCCCTCCCACAACACATGAGGATTATGGGAGCTACAATTCAAGATGAGATTTGGGTGGGGACAGAGCCAAACCATATCATGGAGTTCTACAAATGGATTCTTTTTAATTTCTATTTTGATTCAGAGGAGTACATATATAGGTTTTTAACAAGGGTGTATTGCATGATGCTGAGGTTTGGGGTATGCTTGAAATCGTCACCCAGGTAGTAAGCATAATACCCAATAGGTAGTTTTTCAACTCTTGCCTTCCTTTCTCCCTCCCTCCTTTTGGCATTCCCAGTGTCTGTAATTTCCATCTTTATGTCCATGAGTACCCAATATTTAGCTCCCACTCACAAGTGAGAACATACAGTGTTTGGTCTTCTGATTCTGCATTAATTCTCTTAGAATAATGGCCTCCAGCTGCATCCATGTTGCTACAAAAGACATGATGCTGTTCTTTTTCATGGCTGTATTGTATTCCATGGTGTATAGGTACCACATTTTCTTCATCAAATTCACCATTTATGGGCACGTGGGTTGATTGCATACCTTTGCTATTGTGAATAGTGCTGCAATGAACGTGTAAGTGCATGTGTCTTTTTGGTAGAATGATGTCTTTTCCTTTGGGTAGATACCCAGTAATAGGATTGCAGGTCAAACAGTAGTTCTACTTTTAGTTCTTTGATAAGTCTCCAAACTTCTTTCCACAGTGGATGAACTAATTTACCTTCCCACCAACAGTGTATAAGCATGCCTTCTTCTCTGCAGCCTCATCAACCTCTGTTATTTTTTGACTTTTTAATGATAGCCATTCTTGCTGGTGTGAGATGGTATCTCATTGTGGTTTTGATTTGCATGTGTCTGATGATTAGTGATGATGAGCATTTTTTCACATGTTTGTTGGCCACTTGTATGTCTTCTAGTGAGAGTGTCTGTTCATGTCCTTTGCGCATAAAAGTGGATTAATTGAATCAAAGGCCATGAACATTTTAAAAGAACGAAGTATATATTTAGAAATCTCCTTTTTGAAAGGTTGTAGTAATCTACCCTCCCTCCAGCCCAATAGTGAGAGGGCCCATCTTAGACTTAGGTCACCAAAATGTGGTGAATAATCTCTGATTTTAGTTTCAGTTTTTGGGTTTTTTTTTTTGTTTTTTTGGTTTTTGTTTGTTTTTTGAGACAGAGCCTCACTCTGTTGCCCAGGCTGGAGTGCAGTGGCACAATCTCTGCTCACTGCAACCTCCGCACCCCCAGGTTCAAGCAATTCTCCTGCCTCAGCCTCCTGAATAGCTTGGATTATAGTTGCTCACCACCACACCCAGCTGATTTTTGTAGTTTTAGAAGAGACGGAGTTTGGCCATGTTGGTCAGGCTGGTCTCGAACTCCTGGCTTCAAGTGATCTGCCTGCCTCAGCCTCCCAAAGTGCTGGGATCACGGGCATGAGCCACTGAGCCTGGCCTAATCTCTTTTGTAAAATGTGGTATCTTATTATTTTAGATTTTTGTTTCTTTTCATACCTATGAGGTTGAGTACTGTTTAATGTCTGTTTCTTCAGTGAATGGCTTCTTTGAGCCTTTTGCAGCAGGGTAGATTTAGTCAATCCCCCTTTGTAAGTGGGGAGGAAATGGAGACTCAGGTTACTTGTTCAAGGTGGCCCAGCCAGCTGAAAGTAGAGCCATTTAGAAATTAGACATCCAGCTTCTTCATCTATTCCTTCTCCCCGATGTTGCTGAACAGAAGACTAGGTCCTAAAACATTGACTGAGGATATGCTTAGATAAAAGATCAGGGCCGGGCGCCGTGGCTCATGCCTGTAATCCCAGCACTTTGAGAAGCCGAGGTGGGCAGATCACGAGGTCAGGAGTTCGAGACCAGCCTGACCAACATGATGAAACTCCATCTCTACTAAAAATACAAAAATTAGCCGTGTGTGGTGGTGCGCGCCTGTAATCCCACGTACTCAGGAGGCTGAGGCAAGAGAATTGCTTGAACCTGGGAAGCGGAGGTTGCAGTGAGCTGAGATCGTGCCATTGCACTCCAGACAGGACAACAGAGTGAGACTCCATCTCAAAGAAAAAAGGAAAAAAGATCAGAGAGTTGCCCTGGGGACTCTGTATCCAGGCTCAGAAGCCTGGGTGGCTTTCTGGAACAGGGCTGTCCTGTGAGGTGAGCATATGGCCTGAGTGACAGGCTGGGATGGTGGCCAGGACTGCAGTATTGACAAACAGCAGGAGTAAAGCCGAGAGACCTGAGCCCTGCTTCCTCCCATGTCTCACTCCTGCCTCCCACTTCCATTCCCCTGCTGCTCTGGTCTCTCGACAGCTTGCCCGCTACACCAAGGAAGGCTTCCTGCACTTGGGTGCCCTGGGGACCACCACACTCCTCCCTGACACCCGCTGCCTGGTGGACAACTCCAAGAGTCGGCTGCCCCAGCTCCTGGACTGCGACAAGGTCAAGAGCAGCCTGTACAAGCGCTGGAACTTCATCCAGGTGAGTGCTGTATGGACAGAGCCAGCACCCAGAGTAGCTGCAAGAGGCTGCAGACCACAGAGGGGAATCCTGCTTCCCCAGGGGTCCCCAGCAAAGAGCGACCCCGAACCCAGGTCTCCCTGCCCCGGGCTGGGCTTGTGGACCCAAAGCACTTCCTGGGGGCAGCTGTGGAGTTTCTGCATGGAGTAGCATTTCTGATTCCTATGTCAGTGCTAGGCTGGTTGAGCTCTGATCAATCCTGAGATAGGAGTGAGGGGGGACTTCCTTGAAATCCACTAAGTACCCACAGCCAGTGGGGTTGAGACCATCAGACCAAGAATATCCCAGGAAACTCAACATCCTGACCCCCTCCTGACCCCATCCCCCACCCCCCACCAACGCTCCTCACCTGATTCAGATACTCCAACTGGGTGAAGCTTATTTAGGTTCTGACTTCAGAGTCCCCAGAGGAGGTCCTCATGCTTCCCTGCCCCAGTCTCATGCAAAGAATTTTGGTGGAATTGATTCTCTGCAAGAAGCTATGTGCCAGGCGCCATGATAGTTAAGCCTCTCTCTCTCTTTCTTTCTCCTATTGCACTCTCTCTCTCTCCCTCTCTCTCCCTCTCTCCCTCTGTCTCCCTCTCTCTGCCTCTCTCTCCCTTTCTCTCTTTCTCTTCTCTGTCTTGTCTCTCCTCTATCTCCTGTCTTCTCTCTGTTCCTCTCCTCTCTTCTCTTTTTTCTCTCTCCCCTTTATCTTTCTCTTTTTCTCTCTCTCCTCTCTATCTTCTCTCTTCTCTCTTCTCTCTCTTCCCTCTTTTTCTACCCCTCCTCCCTTTCTTTGTCTTCTCTTTGTCTCTTTGTCTCGTTCTCTCTCCTGTCTCTTTCTCTTCTGTCTCTATCTTCTCTCTTTCTCCTCTCTTCCCTCTTTTTCTCTCTCTCCTCTTTCTGTCTTCTCTTTGCCTCTTTCTCTGTCTCTCTCTTTCTCTTCTCTTTTTCTTTTTCTCTTTGTCATTTTCTCTCTCCTGTCTCTCTTTCTCCTCTCTCTATATCTCTCGCTGTCTCTCTCTCCTCTCTCTCTTCTCCTCTCTTCTCGATTTTGCCCCCTCCCAGAATGGAGCCATCATGAACAAGGGCACGGGACGCTGCCTGGAGGTGGAGAACCGGGGCCTGGCTGGCATCGACCTCATCCTCCGCAGCTGCACAGGTCAGAGGTGGACCATTAAGAACTCCATCAAGTAGAGGGAGGGAGCTGGGGCACTGGAGCCTGGCCCCCAGGACATGGCTGCTCCCCCCAACATCTGGACCAGCTGCCCTGGCGGAGAGACAGCAAGGGGCCGGCAGGTGCTCGATGGGCCCCCCAGGGCTTCTCCAGGGCAGCACAGGGACCCCGGATGAAGACTCTGTCCCCCCTCAGGCATTCAGCTGCCCACAAGTTTCCTGCACCCTGGAAAAGCCCCCCACCCTTCCTCTGGGAAACTGACAGCTGTCTTCCACAGCCTCTGATGTGGACCTGGTACTGAGGAGCAAGACTGTCCAGTTCTCCTCCACATCTCCCATCCCAGAATCAGGATCTGGGACTGGCAGGGTCCCCTCCTGTGTCTCATCTCTTGCAGCAGCAGCTGCTGAACTCCAGCCATCAACACGGTGGGAGGCAGCGGGGGCTTCAGCCATGTCCTAGCTCCCCGCCCTAAAAGGAGGCAGTGAGGACCAGGCACTATTTCCTCCGAGGTTACTTCTACCCAGATGACACCTGCCTGTTCACGCCCCAAGGCAGCTACTGCCCCTAACCCTTCCCACCAGGGTAGCTTTGGGCACTGCAGCTCTGGACTTTTCTGGCCCCTCCTGAGATGACCTGATGGAGCTGATGCTTTCTCTCCTAATCCCTGGGCACTAGGCTCTTATCAGTGTGCTTGGGCCAGCTCTCCTGCCTGTGTCTAGAGGAAGCCAGAGACAGAAATAGGCTAAGCCTGCAGTAGGATCTCAGCCACAAGGGCCCCGCAGGATGGAGCTGGGTCAAGGACCAGGGAGCCCTGACTCCCAGAGGCTGCCACCGGGGAGAAGCAGCGGTCCTCCATCCAGAACCTAAGGGCTGAAGCAAAGGCTGCCAGGACCCTTGAAGATGCTTTTGGCTCACCTCATTTCACCCCACGCTCTGCTGGCTGGCAGAGGAGAAGGCAGTCGTTTCCTCTCTGAAGAGTATTTTTTTCGATTGCCCTCTGGTTAGGGTGCACATATAAATCAGAGTTAATATATGAACGCGTGTGCATGCACAAGTGTGTGTGTGCCTGCGTGCTGTGCGTGGCAGGGTGTGTGTGTGTGTGTCTGGCTGTGCGTTCCGGAGTGTGTGACGATGCTGACCTAGCTGTGTGGCCTTGGGCTTGCTGCTTCATTACTCACCTGGATGGGGACGAGGGATGAGAAGGGTGTGGGTTTGGCCCCATGTCACTGGCCGGAAGGATGTGTCTCAGCCCTGCCCTGTGGGGTGCCCCCGATGGGAGGCTGTCCCATCTCCCAGTCCCCATCTCTTTTTCCCCACACTGTCCCTGGCCAAGCCCTGCCCAGAGCTGAACCCTGTAGCTGCCCCCTTGCCCTGTGTGGGATTCGCAGTGTCTCATTTGGTGACGTCTTACTGGTGATCATCTCCTCACCCCATCTCCCACCTTGTGGAATAAATACATGTTAGCACTTCCCAGAGCAGCCTCCTTTGTGTCTTGATTTCTCCAGAACTGGAGGTGGGGAGGGGAGTGATGGAGACATAGGAGGAGAGCTTCTTTGGCTTTGAGGGTTTAGTGTTACTTATTTATCTATTTATTCGAGATGGGGTCTTGCTCTGTGGCCCAGGCTGGAGTGCAGTGGTGCAATCATGACCCACTGCAGCCTCAAACTCCTGGGGCTCAAATGATCCTCCCACCTCAGCCTCCTGAGTAACTGAGACTACAGGTACACATCACCGTGCCTGGCTAATTTTTTAAAAAAGATTTTTGTAGAGATGGAATCTTGCTATGTTGCCCAGGCTGGGCCTGAACTCCTAGCCTCAAGAGATCTTCCCACCTTCACATCTCAAACTGCTGGGATTTCAGGTGTGAGCCACTGCATCCAGCTAATTAAAAAAAAAATTGTAGAGCGGGGTCTTGCTATATTGCCCAGATTCGTTTCAAACTCCTGGCCTCAGGCAATCCTTTCACCTCAGCCTTCTGAGTAACTCGAACCACAGGCACAGGCCACTAGACCTGGCTGATTTTTGAGAAACAGGTTCTTGCTATGTTCCCCACTCTGGTCTTGAATTCCTGACCTCAAGTGATCCTCCCACCTCAGCCCCTCAAAGTGCAGAGATTACAGGTGTGAGTCAGTGCACCAGGTCTGGGTTTGCTCTTAGTAAAGGCAAAAGGCCCCCGCACACTGGGGCTGACTAAGGCAATGCCGTTCTACCCTCACACTCGCCTTTTCCCCCTTAAAGCAGGACAGAACTGGACACCTGACCCTCGCTTACTAACCCTTGTGTGTCCCAGGTTAGGAACGTCAGGTTGGCACAGAAAGCTGTAAGGAAGGGACGACTTACCATGGGACTTGGCCTGATCCAGCCGCTTCCTGCCACTATCCAGAAAATTCCACCTTTTTTGTTTTTTTTTTTTTTTGCTCTTCTCACCCAGGCTGGAGTACAGTGGCGCAATCTTGGCTCACTGCAACCTCTGCCTCCCAGGTTCAAGTGATTCTCCTGCCCCAGCCTCCTGAGTAGCTGGGATTACAGGCGTCTGCCACCACACCTATTTATTTTATTTTTTTTTTTAGTAAGAGACGGGGTTTCACCATGTTGGCCAGGCTGGTCTGGAACTCCTGACCTCAAGTGATCCTCCACCTCGGCCTCCCAAAGTGCTGAAGTTACAAGTATGAGCTACTGCATCTGGCACCCCCTCTTTTTTAGGGCCACACAGTGGCAGGACAAGATGGCCCGCTTTGCTTGTTTATGTGGCGTGGGGGATGCTGGCTCAGGACCCCTGAGACTCTCTGGTACCAGCACATGTGCTCTGAGCTCTGAACCTTGGTTACAAGGTCCAGTAGCCTGGAGGTGCTGTTCACATCAGCACCATCTGTCAGCAGCTTCCCCCCATGGGATCAGGATACCTGGGGAGACTGCTCAGAGCATGAGGTCAGCATCCCAGGGCAACACCCTCTTGACCCCATGGGGTCCCATCTGGGCTTGATGGCACTGGGAGTGGCCATGGACCAAGGGAGTGAAGAAGAATTAACAAAGCAAGAGAAAGGGAGGAAGAGAAAAGAGAAGCAGGACCCTGGTGGGAAGGAAAGGATTGGTCTTAAGTCCTTTGGGAGAATTTAAAAGCTCTGGATGGCCGGGCGTGGTGGCTCACGCCTGTAATCCTAGCACTTTGGGAGGCTGAGGCAGGTGAATCACTTGAGGTCAGGAGTTCAAGACCAGCCTGGCCAACATGGTGAAACCCCATCTCTACTAAAAATACAAAAATTAGCCAGGCGTGGTAGCGTGACCCTGTAATCCCAGCTACTCGGGAGGCTGAGGCAGGAGAATTGCTTGAACCCAGGAGGCGAAGGTTGCAGTGAGCCAAGATGGCACCACTGCACTCCAGCCTGGGCGACGGGGCAAGACTCCGTCTCGAAAAAAATAAATAAAAGTTCTGGAGATCGTAGGAGTTCGAGACCAGCCTGGACAACATGGAGAAACCCCATCTCTGCTAAAATATACAAAAATTAGCTGGGCGTCGTGGCAGGCACCTATAATCCCAGCTACTCAGGAGGCTGAGGCAGGAGAAACTCTTGAGCCCAGGAGGCGGAGGTTGCAGTGAGCCGAGATTGCACCACTGCACTCCAGCCTGGACGACAGAGCGAGACTCTGTCTCAAAAACAAAAACAAGGCCAGGCACCATGGCTCATGCCTGTAATCCCAGCACTTTGGGAGGCCAAGGCAGATCACGAGGTCAAGAGATAGAGACCATCCTGGCCAACATGGTGAAACCCAATCTGTACTAAAAAAAAAATACGAAAATTAGCTGGGCATGGTGGCGTGCGCCTGTTGTCCCAGCTACATGGGAAGCTGAGGGAGGAGAATCGCTTGAACCAGGGAGGCAGATGTTGCAGTGAGCTGAGGTCACACCACTGCGCTCCAGCCTGGGTGACAGAGTGAGGCTCTGTCTCAAAAAAAAAAAAAAAAAACAGAAGAAAACAAAAAGTTCTGGAGACCCCATGTCTCTGCACAAGGATGGCCAGGGCAGCAAACTCCAAGCCTTGAGCTGAAGGGAAATCTCACACTCCTTCATTATGTCAGTCATTGGCGTCATCTATAGTTTGAGAAGTGACAGATCCATTTCCTGACCTGAGCACCCTCCATGGTCCCCTCTGCCGTGGGGGAGAATGCAGGACAGGACAGGAGGCTGGGCTCTGGCTATGTCACCCTCCTGCCCTGCCCAGCCCCTTCCCCTCACACCAGAACTCCTGCCCTCCCCTAGCTGTGACCATTTCTTTCTCTTTCCTCTAATTTTTTTTCCACTCAATGTATATGGCAAGAAAAAAAAACAAAAAATGTTGCAGATGGTAGTCCTGGTAAATGCTCAAGCCGTCGAAGCCAATGCCTTTGAATCTCTGTTATTTCAGACATCTCACATGTTTTCTTTCTGGTTAGATGGATGCTGGGGGCTAAGGAAAGAGAAGAATCGGAAAAGATAGTATCAGCACACTGGGGGCCAGACACTGCCCTTATAAGCCACTCCAAGCCTTTTTTGTGAGTTTCTGAAGCCATTTTTTTCATCTGATATTTTTTCTACCATCCTTGAAAAACAACCCGGTTTCATAAAGTGAGGGAGGCCCCTGAGCAGAGCAGATCACTCATCCAGGGCTGCAGTGAGTGAGTTATCATTGATTGACGTGCTATTTCTCCTCCTTCCTCTTTGCCAATGCTTTTCTGGGAAGGGTAGGGTCACAGCCAGCCAGGAAAAGGCTTGCAAGGGGCTTGGAGCCTGTGTAGGGAACTAGGCAGTTCATGAAGCTTTCCCAGGCTTCAATAAGCCCAGCGGCTGAAGCCAGGAGCCCAGTCCCTGCTGAGTGTCAGGATGTCAGCCTCATGTTTCCATCTGAGCTCCCTGTGCCTGCCAATGATCAGTTCCTGATGTCCCACAATCATGTATGTCTGAGTGTCTTGGCTTCCCTGTTTTTTCACTTCTCAGATAAGTCTCCTTAGACCCAAGTTTGGGGATCACTGCTCAACCTCAAAGTGCAGAGGTGCATTTCAGTTCTGTTCAACAAATATATTTGGACACCTCTGTGGTTTGCTCCTTATGATTTCTTTTTTCTTTTCTTTCTTTCTTTTTTTTTTTTTCTTTTTTTTTTGAGACAAAGTCTTGCTCTGTCCAGCCCAGGCTGGAGTGCAGTGGCACAATCTTGGCACACTGAGACCTCTACCTCCCGGGCTCAAGCGATTCTCCTGCCTCAGCCTCCAGAGTAGCCGGGATTACAGGCACCTGCCACCATGCCAGTCTAATTTTTGTATTTTTAGTAGAGATGGGGTTTCACCATGTTGGCTGGTCTCAAACTCCTGACCTCAAGTGATCCGCCCAACTCAGCCTCCCAAATGCTGGGATTCCAGGCGTGAGCCACTGCACCTGGCCCTTATGATTTCTTGGAAAAGGAAAGGAGAGAGAGAGAGAGGAAAGGAGGGAGAGAGGAGATTGAGCTAAAATGTGTTAAGTGCGAGGCACTGTGATGAAGAGAGAAGCAGCATGGTTTTTGCCCTTGGAAGCTCCTATTTAAGAGAAGAAAACAGACACTGTAGCAGGACGAGTCGCAGATAAAACTCCTCAGACACCAGATGAAAGAAGGAAGAGGTTTTTATTCTGCCGGGAGCGTCGGCAGACTTCGCATCTTAAGAGCCGAGCTCCCTGAAAAAGAAATTCCTAGCCCTTTTAAGGGCTTACAACTCTAAGGGGTCCACATGAAAGGGTCATAATAGATCAAGTAAGCGTGAGGAACGTGCCTGGGGGCTACATACATCAGCTAACAGAACAAAAAGTTTTACAGTGCTTTCTCATACAATGTCTGGAATTTACAAATAACACCAGTAGTTTTGGCCGGGGGTTATTATTATTATTATTATTATTATTATTATTATTATTATTATTATTTTAACCACCAGGGCCAGGTGGTGGCGCCAAGGTCGTCTAGCTATTTATCTTACTTCTGCTTCTTTCCAACTTTTTGCTTTCTCCCTTTTCTCCTGTCTTATAAACTAGGGAAAAGGGAGGGTTGGGGAGAAGCTGGGAAGGACAACAGGAGAAGTGGTGGTCTCATTCCAACACAATATATTGGGCTTCTGCCCTGTAGCCCAAGCAGTCATGAAATGGGGTCTATGCCTATTGGCATGAATAGGGCTCCAGGCATATTAGAAAATTCCAGTGTTCTTTCCCCCAAAGAGGCCCCAGCCGATGGATGGACCTCACACATGTGGCTTCCAGCTTGACCTCCTCTGCTGGGTATTGATACAGCCTCCCATTACTGATTAGCCAAAAACAAGGAACCAAGAACGGAAACAAGGAGAGCCAGACAGGGATCAATCGATAATGCTGTGGATGGTTCCAGAAGACAGGATACTGTCCAGCCTCACCAGAGATTATTATCATCCTTAATACATGGTTGATGGGCTCATATTCCTCCAGGAACACAATCGCATCTTACCCACTCCCCTAGTGGACGCCCGCCTACCTGTCCAAGTAATCAGTCAGTATCTGCTTGATAAACTCTAGAGACAGGTTGTTCTAAGGCAGGAAAACTCTTTCTGACAGTGAGCCAAGCATGATCTGAATCTCAAGAATGTCTTCCCACTGTCCCTCCCTCTGGAGGCTGAAGACAAGACTAAGCTTTCTGTCATCTGATGAGATTTAAACCTACAGTGAAGGCTGGGCAAGGCACCTCACACCTGTTATCCCAGTGCTTCCGGAGTACAAGGCGGGAGGATGCTTGAGGCCATGAGTTTGAGACCAGACTGGGCAAAATAGTGAGACCTCTGGCCGGGTGTGGTGGTCATGCCTATAATCCCAGCTCCTTGGGAGGCCAAGGAGGCTCGATCACCCAAGGTCAGGAGTTCAAGATCAGTCTGGGCAACATAGTGAAACCCCGTCTCTACTAAAAATACAAAAAAATTAGCTGGTGATGGTGGCACACGCCTGTAATTCCAGTTACTCAGAGGCTGAGGCAGGAGAATCGCTTGAACCTGGGAGGTGGAGTGTTGCAGTGAGCCGAGATTGCACCACTGCACTCCAGCCAGGGTGACAATGGGAGACAGAGCAAGACTGTCTCAAAAAAACAAAATGATACAATACAAACAACAACAACAACAAAATCCAAATAGTGAGAACTTGTCTCTACAAAACAAAAAATTTAGAAACTACCCCGGTTGCAGTGAGCTGTGATTACATCACCACACTCCAGCCTGGGCATCAGAATGAGACCCCTGTCTCTAAAACACACAACAAATTTAAGCTATAGGATGCCTCAAAGTCAGTGGGCCCCTTTAAGCTTGAACACAGCTGCCATAACTATAAGGGGAACAACCTCTATTCCGTGGGCAGCACCTTGATCAGTGGATAGAATTCATTTCTGCCACCTGGAGAAATGGTTAACTTTCTTGGCTAGAGAAGCCATATGCCATTTCCTGCAGGATGGGGTGTATATTGTTGACAATTTTAATCTAGTGTGTCCTTTTTTTCTTTTTTTTTTTTTTTTAAGAGGCAGTGTCTTGTTCTGTCACCCAGACTGGAGTGCAGTGGTACAATCATAGCTCACTGCAGACTTGAACTCCAAGGCTCAAACGATCCTCCTACCTCAGCCTCCCAAGTAGCTGAGGCTACAGGTGCACATACTGATACAGGAGTTAAGAAGAAATTACTTAGGTAGATAGTAAGGGCAAAGAAGTCCTCGGTAATGTTTTCCTTTTAATAAAAAGCAACCCCCAAATGATTTTCTTTTCTAACAAAGAGCAGCCTGTGAAATCAAGCTTCAGACAGAGACAAGCAAGCTGGAAGCTTGCACTGGTGAATGCTGGCAGCTGTGCTAACAGGATAAGGCTACCTGGGAATCGGCATGTCCAACATGGCGGCTCCATCTTCCCTTCTCTTTGCCAAATCATGTGGACAGTAAGGAGAAGACAATATGGCACCAGCCAGGCAAAGACCCCATTTGCATAATAAGGTTAGAATGGGGTGACCAGCCTCCCCTGGCACACTATGTAAACGTCACACCTGGCCGAACCAATATGTGGGCCTTATGGAAATCAGACACCATCTCCTCAAGCCTGCCTATAAAATCTGGTGTAGTCCAAGGGCTGGGTTTTCTTTTTCAGGAATCCCTCTCTCACAAGGGAGAGACCTGTTCTCCTTTCTCTTTCTTTTGCCTATTAACCCTCTGCTCCTAAACTCACTCCTCCTGTGTGTCTGGTCCATGTCCTTAATCTTCTTGGTGTGAGACAATGAACCCTGGGTATTTACCCCAGACAATGACACCGCTTCAATACCACCTTACCCGGCTATTTTTTTTTCTTTTGTAAAGATGAGATCTCACTATGTCACCCAGGCTGGTAGTATTTCTTAAATAAAGTAATAAGTGGCATCCTTCTAAAGAAAAAAAAAACTCTCACAGACCCTCAGGGCTGACCTAATTTATTTTTTACTATAGTGTTTCTCAAATATGTGTAAACATAAAATGGCTTCTACTCATAGGTCTGTTGCAGCTATAATATAAGAATAAATTTACAAGTCGATATGAACAAACCAACAAAGTAGATAAAATTTCAGTTAACAGTATTCATTTAACCTGGTGGCACTGTCACTCACCGAAATGGAATCGTTGCTGCTTCAGATGTGAATGTGGAACCAACTGAACCAGCAGAGGTTCTTCTGTGCCTCATGATAACCTGATTCTCCCTCTAGTTTCCTGTACTCTGGAGTATTTTGGAAATGTTTACTCACCATTCATTTACCCCATATTTATTGAGCACCTACCGTCTCTCTAGGGTGTAGTAAATTAGTAAGCAAAGAGGATAGAAATCCTGCTCTCTGGGAATTTATATTCTAGCAGCTTTCCTGAGCAACAAACACATTTCTATTAAAATCTCCACCCTCGGCCAGGTGCAGTGGCTCATGCTTGTAATCCTAGCACTTTGGGAGGCCAAGGTGAGTGGATCACCTGAGGTCAGGAGTTCAAGACCAGCCTGGGCAACATGGTGAAACCCCATTTCTACTAAAAATACAAAAGTTAGCTGGGCGTGATGGTGAGGACCTGTAATCTCAGCTACTTGGAAGGCTGAGGCGGAGGTTGCAATGAACCGAGACTGTGCCACTGCACTCCAGCCTGGCCTGGGCAACAAGAAGGAAACTCCGTCTTGACAAAACAACAATAACAAAAAAAAAACCACCACTCTCTTCTTGCTTTTACACCACTCTCTTCTTCTTTTTATGACAATTCCCGTAGAACAACTTAGCCCCAGGGCTGTTGGCACACAAACACATGAACTAAAGCCACGTTCAGTACTCATCTGGGCCATCCAGGTAATGCAGAAGATGCTCATATTAATTTTTTTTTTAGAGACAGGGTCTCACTCTGTCTTCCAGGCTGGAGGGCAGTGGCATGATCTAAGCTCACTGCAACCTCTGCCTCCTGGGTTCAAGCGATTCTCCTGCCTCAGCCTCCTGAGTAGCTGGGGCTACAGGTGTGTGCCACCACACCTGGCTAATTTTTGTATTTTTAATAGAGATGGGGTTTCACCATGTTGGCCAGGCTGGTCTTAAACTCCTGACTGCAAGTGAATGGCCCATCTCGGCCTCCCAAAGTGCTGGGATTACAGGGGTGAGCTACTGCACCTGACCTAATTTTCCGATAATCACCAAAATAAAGACAAAAAAACTTTGAAAATCTTACAGACATCTTGTACATGCGAAAGTCAGAGGCTGCCTAGATGCCTGCAAATCCCTAGTTGGAGAAGCACAGGTTGAGTCACTTTCCATTACACACACGTCCTTTTATCTTGTTGAGAAGTTTGATAAGGAGGTGCTACCAACAAACCAACTGCAGCTCTTATCTCTAAGAGAAAAAATTACCCACAGAGTGGGTGTTTCTAACTCTTGCTTTTCTTCCTATCTTACCTTGTGGGGAAAAGAACTGTCTTAGTCCATTTGAGTTGCTGTTATGGAAAACCTGAGGCTGGGTGCTTTTATAAAGAAGTGAGGTTTATTTGGCTTATGGTTCTGCTGGCTGCATAAGAAGCATGGTGCCAGCATCTGGTCTGGTTAAGGCTGTGGGCTGCTTCCACTCATGGGGGAAGGTGAAGGGGAGCTGATGTGTGCAGAGATCACCTTGTGAGAGAGAGAGAAGGCAAGAGACAGAGGAGGAGGTTCTAGGCTCTTTTAAACCACCAGCTCTCACAGGAATAAATACAGCAAGAACTCACTCATTACCCAAGCTAGGACCAAAACACCTCCCAACCAGGCTCCACCTCCAACTCTGGGGATCACATTTCAACATGAGATTTGGAGGAGGCAAATATCCAGACTGTATCAAGAATAAAATCTCACAGTTTGTTGGGTAGGACATTGGAAAGCATGGTCAGAGTGAGGTATAGGGATACTTGGTGGACTTCATCTATATCGATTGTACTAATCTTTTTCCTGAATACATAGTTCATTGGTAGCTAATATTATATCTGCTCCTCCAGTCCTGAGAGTGTGGGCTCTCCTTCACTGTGCCACTTGGAAAGGCAGAAAAAGGTAAAGCTTTTGGTGGGACAGTTGCAATAGGCCCTGGGCAACAGCATGAGCTTTGGGTATTGAGATTTCTACAGAGGCCTGCGGCACAGCCACTGGTTAGTTATGAAGCGGAGCACTTGTAATCCCACCATGAAGATAAAAAAAGGAAGATATAGGCTGCTCAGTTTTTCAGTTATTCCCCAGGCATTTTGCCCTTGAAAATACACAAAGAATGAAATCTCCAGTCCTAGCCCAAGGCACCAAACCAAACTTCTGGTGCCAGAGGCTACACCTCTTGATTTCTCTGCTTCGATACAAGATGCAACCTCTTTGATTCAGAATTTGTGATACTTGAGTTTAACATATGCCTAAACATTTGCTCATATAAATAAGGCTCAGAAAATGAAAAATTTTTTTAAAAAGCTATTTACCTGTGTGTCTTCTCAGTGCTTCAGAGGCCTCCCTTGGGATGGATCCTATCTGTCTGCTATTTGTACCCACTTCATTGAAGAGTGTTCTCCGCCTGGGGCTCATGTGGGAACTAGAGGAAAGTTCCAGTTCAGGTGTACCCTGAGACTGCGCTGATATTACCACTGTTTTATAATTCAAATTCCCTTTGCCCCCAAAAGCTCAGACCCAACCTACTATAAATGTGCCCAAATTAATGGGGTTCTAAGTACTTATCAAAGCCATTACCATAATTATTTTATTTTATTTTATTTTTCAGAGATGGGGTCTTGCTCTGTTGCCCAGGCTAGAATGCAATGGCACAATCATAGCTCACTGCAGCCTTGAACTGCTGGGATCAAGCAATCCTCCTGCCTTAGTCTTTGGAGCAGCTGGGACTACAGACACACACCACCATGCCTGAATAATTTTTAAATTTTTCGTAGAGACAGGGTCTTACCGTGCTGTCCAGATTGGTCTTGAACTCCTGGCTTCAAGCCATCCTCCTGCCTCAGCCTCCCAAAGTGTTGGGATTACAGGCATGAGCCGCCACGCCCAACCTCACAATTCATTTAGAGGGTAGAATCTGGCACTGGCCCCTGGAAAGAAGCTGTTTTTCTTTCTGGAGAGTTTGCGTGAGGTTCTAATCGGTAACCAGCCGAAGGCACAGTGACAAAGCAAAGGAAACCTGCAAGAGGTTGGGAAGAAAGAAAACCAGAGACTCCTGATTCCCATCCGCCCTGCCAGCCTCCAGAGACTGAGGCAGGAGGATCGCCTGAGCCCAGGAGGTCAAGGCTGCAGTGAGCTATGATCACACCACTGTACTCCAGCCTGGGCCCCAGAGCAACACCCTGTGGATTAGTCTGTTCTCACACTGTTATGAAGAACCTGTATGCAACCATCCATGACGACCCTCCGTGCTCTTCCGAGCTCCCCCAGTGCATGTGACAATATCCCAGAGGTGTCATCCAAACTCGTGCCTTACTCTTGACTGCTGTGAGATAAGTATGAGTGATAACAGCTTCCTGGAAGAAAGCCCCTCGATCTTTACGGAGGACATAGCCACTGCTTTCCATTGGTGTCTTGGGAAGAACTTGCTGTTGTGTTATTGTTTTGCTTTGTTTTAAGATATCTGCTTTTTAAAAGAATTTCCCAGAGGGGTGAAGAAGTTGAGCACCAGAGACCAGATGGGGAAGGTGACTATTTCTCTCAAATACAGGGAAGGCTTTTGGTTTTGTTTGGGATTGTTTTGTTTGTTTTGTTTTTATTGCTTTCCCTGGATTTATCTTGTGGGTATGCTGATTTATCAGGCTGCTGTTAACTGCATTGCCTGGGGATATTTTCTGATAGGGTAGATTCAAGCATGGTGCCCAGTGAGGAGGGCAGAAAAGGATAATTGTCACTGTTAACCATAAGTACCACCATGATTTGAGCACTTCCTATGTGCCAGGCACTATGCAAAGGGTTTTTTGTTTTTGTTTTTTTTAAACAGAGTTTTGCTCTGTCACCCAGGCTGGAGTGCAGTGGTGTGATCTCGGCTCACTGCAACCTCTGCCTCCCAGGTTCAAGCGATTCTCCTGCCTCAGCCTCCTGAGTACCTGGGACTAACAGGCGCGTGCCACCACACCTGGCTAATTTTTTTTTTTTTTTTTTTTTGTATTTTTAGTAGAGAGGGGGTTTCACCATGTTGGCTTGGATGGTCTCCATCCCTTGACCTTGTGATCCACCTGCCTCAGCCTCCCAAACTTCTGGGATTACAGGCATGAGCCACCACACCCGGCCTGCATAGTTTTTTATAAGCACCTTCTCTTTTCATCCTCCCAGCAAGCTTATGGGCAGGTGCTATCATTTTCTCTTTATAGATGGGAACACTGAAACTCAGGGAGATTAATAACCTGTCTCAATATCACATAGTCTGTACCTGGCAGGTTTGGGTTTCAGACCTCAGTCTATCTCACTCAGATCTCTTGTTCTGGGCTGGGCATGGTGGCTCATGCCTGTCATCCCAGCACTTTGGGAGGCCAAGGCAAAAAGGTCAGTTGAGGCCAGGAGTTCAAGACCAGCCTGGGCAACATAGCAAGACCCTGTCTTTACCTTAAAGAAAAATCTCTTGTTCGGTACCACTAGGCTATACTGCCTGCCATGTGACTTTGCTTTGCTGTCCCTGTTCTAACATGAAAACCTTAGATGAGAGAGGAGGAGGGGAGTGAGGATCTGCAGGAATATGTCTAGATACATTGCTGTGGACCCTTAAATGCTAAAGGAGCAGAGATTCATTGGTGTGTGTGTGTGTGTGTGTGTGTGTGTGTGCGCGCGCGCGCGCGTGCGCGCACATGCACTCAGGCCCTGGGAGGAGCTTCATTCCAAAGGAAAAAACAACTGCTTTACAACAGCCAAGTGCTGTCTCAACCTCCAACCTCCTGTCACACTTCTGCGTCTGTCTTTCACCTTAAAGTGCCAACAAATGTGCACTTTAAGGATTCTCAAAGAGTGACGAGTTCTCCCTGAAATAGCTCAGAGAGTCCTCCGTAGGCTGAGAAAATAGTCTGACTCACGTGAGATTAAAAAGTTTTTTGGTAAATTGCAAAATAATTAAGAAGTTCATTCAAGAAAAAATGATAGTTCAGGTAAGTAATAATGGAAATAAAATAGCATCAATAATCCTACCACCCGGAGAGATTTAAACTACGGTTTTACGTCATTCTGAACCTCCTTTCCCGCTAAGACTTGCGTGTAGATGCATACAACCTCATATACATACATGATACGCAACAGGGTCAGGACACAATTACCTTTAATGGAATAACTTTGAGTTCCTGCATTTTCGTCATCAAAACCAGCTGTACTAGGCCGGGCGCGGTGGCTCACGCCTGTAATCCCAGTACTTTGGGAGGCTGAGGTGGGCGGATCACGAGTTCAGGAGATGGAGACTATCCTGGCTAACACGGTGAAACCCATCTCTACTAAAAATACAAAAAATTAGCCAGGCGTGGTGGCGGGGGCCTGTAGTCCCAGCAACTCGGGAGGCTGAGGCAGGAGAATGGTGTGAACCCAGGAGGCGGAGCTTGCAGTGGGCAGAGATCGTGCCACTGCACTCCAGCCTGGGCGACAGAGCAAGACTCCGTCTCAAAAAATAATAATAATAATAAATAAATAAACCAGCTGTACTAATGCAAACTAGAGGAGCTAGGGCTGAGCGAGCATCTGATATAAAATGAGATAGGCTTTATTTAAGTTGCATCAATGAGTCAGCAGTTTCCATAAGAAGCCTATGGGGTCTTAGGGTAGAAAATCCAGGATAAAGTCCTGGTGTGTGGCTCATGCGTGTAGTTCTAGCACCTTTAGAGGCCAGGGTGGGAGGACCACTTGAGGCCAGGAGTTTGAGACCAGGAGTTTGAGGCAACATAGCAAGACCCTTTCTCTACAAAAAATTTAAAAATTACCCAGGCATGGTGGCGAATGCCATATAGTCCCAGGTACTGCAGAGACTGAGGCAGGAGGATTGCTTGAGCCCAGGAGTTCAAGGCTACAATGAGCTATGATCACACTACTACACTCCAGCCTGGGCAACAGAGCAAGACCCTGTGTGTTAGTCCATTCTCACACTGCTGTAAAGAACTACTCGAGACTGGGTAGTTTATGAAGAAAAGATATTGACTCACAGATGCACCTACAGGAAGCTTGGTTGGGAGGCCTCAGGAAACTTACAATCACGGTGGAAGGTGAAGGAAAAGCAGGCACGTCTTTCCATGACTGGAGCAGGAAAGAGAGAGAGACAGTGAAGGGGGAAGTGCCACACACTTTTAAACAACCAGATCTCGTCAGAACTCACTCAGTATCATGAGAACAGCAAGGGGGAAATCCGCCCCCATGATCCAATCACCTCCCACCTGCTTCTTCCCCCAACATTGAGAATTACAATTCAACATGGGATTTGGGTGGGGACACAGAGCCAAACCATACCACTCTGCCTCAAAAATAAGAAGAAGAAAAGAAAACCCAGGAGGCACCTTGAAGTCCACTCAAAGGAGAACAGCTGGGGTGTTAATGAGCCTGGAAGTCACATCTTAACAATGAAGAAATCAAGAACCAAGTGCGTTGGGCTGGGGGGAATCTGACTTGGGCAGATCATCATCAGTGCCTTGAACAATCAGTGGGCCATGGTGGGGGTGTGTGTGCAGACGAGAACATCATTGGGAGATATGAATTTGTTCTTTATGACCTAGAGAATGGGAGTGGGACCAAATGGATGGAAGCCAGGCGATGGTTTTGACTCAATGAAAGAACCTGTTTTCTAACAGAGCCATGCTCCCAAAGCTGGGATGGAGGTTTCAGGAGGGAGGGAGCCCTGTGTGCCTGGAGAGGTTCAAGCCTTGACTGCTACTGCTAGTCCCATGCCTATGTGACCCCACTGTTCTTAGGTGACCCTTCTGACAGCTCCCTGTCCCAGCATCCAAGTGCTGATAAGAATGTGAGCTGTGTGCTCAGGTGACAGAAATGAGTGTCCAAGAGCCTTCTTTTCAAGGAGATGTGCACAGCAGCTGGGAGATGAAAGCTGTATTTGTTACATGTCACTTGTAGAGAGGAGAACCAGACTTGACAGTTCAAAGTTTATTTAACTGGATGACTCTCAAAGGGGAAAAGAAAACACACTATTTATTTTAAAAAAATACTTAATATTTAATCATGGGCAAATTCAAATGTGCCTTCCCAAGTCTTTTGTTTCAAGAAAATGCAACAGGCGTATTTTAGGTCTAGCAGACGGAGAAGAAATGATCATAGACTCTTGGCTGTTTCAAAATTTCTTCTTGAGAAGAAGCAAATCTCATATATAGAAGATTTCCAAATAAATTATGTAGTTACTTTATGTAAAGGAGGGGAAACACAGCTCTTCACTCCTTAAGTGTGGGCTGTACATAGTGGCTTTCTTCCTAAGAATGCCCTATGAAAAGGTAGAAAAAAAGGTTTACCGCGGAGAAAGCTGACAAACGCTGTGTTAGCCGGGTGATCAAAGTCAGCATCAGCTGTCAAAAATCTTGTCCATAACATGTCCCATTGATGCGATGTGATGAAAATTGTACTTCCCCTCTGCAATCTTCCTCCCCAAAATCCATAACTACAGTTCAATCATGAGAGAAACATCAGACAAATTACAATACAGGGGCACCCTACAAAATATCCGACCAGTACTCCTTAAAACATCAAGGTCATTAAAAACAAGAAAAGCTTGAGAAAAATGTCACCTCTTAGCCAAGAGGCACCTATGGAGACGTGACAAATAAATGTCATGTAGTATCCTGAATGGGATTTGGAACTGAAAAAAAGGATATGAGGATTCACGAAAATCTGAACAAGCAATAGGCTTCAGTTAATAACGATGTATCATTCAGCTTGGCAAACATGGTGAAACCCTGTCTCTACTAAACATGCAAAAATTAGCTGGGCGTGGTGGCATGTGCCTGTAATCCCAGCTACTTGGGAGGCTGAGGCGGGAGAATCGCTTGAACCCGGGAGGTGGAGGTTGCAGTGAGCCGAGATTGCACCACTGCGCTCTAGCCTGGATGACAGAGTGAGACTCTGTCTTAAAAAAAAAAAAAGATTTATCAGTATTGGTTTATTAATTCTAACAAATATATCTAACCCGTGTAAGATTTTTATGATAGGGGAAGTTTGTGTGTGTGGTTGCGGGGGATAAATTATGAGAACTCTTTCTACGATCTCAGTCAATTTTTCTGTAAATCTAAAACTGTTCTAAAATAAAGTCTAATACTAATTTTAAAAAACATTCCATGGGCATTGTCTCATGCAATCATGTCAGGCAGCCCTGGCCAATTCTGGATGCCTGGGTCTGAGAAGTGGTCATCCATTTGCCCAAGAGATATCACTGCCATTTTCTAACACTGGGCCATTATTAGCTATAACAAAGGAGCCAGTGGCCTTGGGGTGTTCTTCTCAGCAGAGCCATAAAAGTGCAGTGATACAGACACTTTAGTCAATACCATTAATAGCTATTACAGAAAAGCCAATTGGGACTTGGATCTGTGGGAATCCATCTTTCTGCTCCCTTAGAGAATAAGAGGATGTGTCAGAGACTGCTGGCTGCCTACCCAAGTTCCCCTTCTTCTTGAGTTGGATAATTCTACCCCATATTGCTGTGTTCCGCAATGCATGCAGCTGGAAAACCACAGTTCCTGGCCTCCCTTGCAGACAGGGGTGGCCAATGAGAGGTAAGTGGATGTCATTGGGTTGAATTATGGGAATGCTCTTTAAAGAGGATAATTCAGCTGGGTGATACACCCTTTGGCCCTTGCCTTCTCTTTTTACTGCTGCCTGGAATACAGACATAATGGCTGGAGCTGCAGCAACCATCTTGCAAACTATTTTGCAAAGATAAAAGTGGCTTTGAAATGGTGCAGTAGAAATATCAAGGCTCAGCCTGGCACAGTGGCTCACGCCTGTAATCCCAGCACTTTGGGAGGCCGAGGTGGGAGGATCACGAGGTCAGGAGATCGAGACCATCCTGGCTAACACAGTGAAACCCCGTCTCTACTAAAAATACAAAAAATTAGCCAGGCGTGGTGGCAGGCACCTATAGTCCCAGCTACTTGGGAGGCTGAGGCAGGAGAATGGCGTGAACCCGGGAGGTGGAGCTTGCAGTGAGCCAAGATCACGCCACTGCACTCCAGCCTGGGCGACAGAGTGAGACTCCGTCTCAACAAAAAGAAAAAAAAAAGAAAGAAATATCAAGGCTCCTGATGAAGCTACCATACTAACTCTGGCTTTGCCTACTTAAGAGTTTCTTTACAAGAGAGAAAAATAAAGTGGAAAATGAACCTTTGGTTTATGCCAGTCATCTGGATTTCTTCATATGCCATTGAACATCATCTTTATTGCTCCAGGAGCAGATTTCTGCTGATTCAGAAACAGTGTAGTCTAAAATTCGGGTACAATGGTTTGACCTGAAGATGAAGATGTAGTGTTGGGTGGAAACATTCCGGAGCTCATAATTTTGTAGGTGAGTTAGAAATAAATCAACCACTGCCCCACACAAAAGCCACTCACTGAAGCAGATCAAACACTCTGTCAAATCTACAGCCTGAGTAGAAGCAGGCCAGAGGAGAGAAGATTCTCCCAGGCTGTGGTTAGGCAGCATGAGGACACATGGGCCACGTACGAGATGAAAAAAGGATTGGGAGGCTGAGGTAGGTGGATCACAAGGTCAGGAGTTTGAGATCAGCCTGGGCAACATGGTGAAACCCCGTCTCTACTAAAAAAAATATAAAAAATTAGCCGGACATGGTGGCAGGTGCCTGTAATCCCAGCTACTTGGGAGGCTGAGGCAGGAGAATTGCTTGAACCCAGGAGGCGGAGGTTGCAGTGAGCCAAGATCGCACCATCGCACTCCAGCCCAGGCAACAGTGCGAGACTCCATCTCAAAAAAAAAAAAAGAAAAAGAAAAAGAAAAAGAAAAAGGAAAGAACTTCTCAGTAGACAAGTCCCTGACAATTTCAGTGTCAGGAGAGGTGACATGGAGACGAAGAACCTAGGTAGGGCCAGACTCCCTAGGGCCAATATATATTGAGTAGTTTGAGGCTAGGCCTATACTATGCATTCTAAGATTGGAGCCACCATCAGTAGATATAGCTCTCAATCTCCTTAGAAAGTAAGTGGAAACATGCGATATAATTTTCCCCAAGAGAGGCCAGGCACAGTGGCTCATGCCTGTAATCCCAGCACTTTGGGAGGCCTAGGTGGGCAGATCACTTGAGGTCAGGAGTTTGAGACCAGCCTGGCCAACATGGTGAAACCTTACCTCTACTAAAAATACAAAAAAATTAGCTGGGTGTGGTGATGTGCACCTATTATCTCAGCTACTTGGGAGACTGAGGCAGGAGAATCACTTGAACCTGGGAGGTGAAGGTTGCAGTGAGCCGAGATCTCACCACTGCACTCCAGCCTGGATGACACAGCAAGACTCCATCTCAAAAAAATATATAATAATAATAATAACTTTCCCCAAAAGAATGTGAGTAGATATCACAGGTAGCTCTTTGGGGCTGCGCTTTTGTGGGGTGACTTTGCCTTGACCACGCTCCCTTTCTCCTTCTGGGCTGGATGCAGAAAACAACAGGGCCTTAGGGGATGGTAGAGCCATAAGGGGGAAGGAATCTAAGTCCCTAAATATCTGAATGAAAGAGACCCTCCTCATTGACCTGAATACCAAACCAGGATTGTTTTGTTGAGCCATTTCATGTCTGGGGTTATTTGTTACTGCACTTTAGCCTGCTCTAGCTATAACACAACATCTTTTACATATTGTGTTAGTTATCTATTTCTGCATAATAAATTCTCCCAAAATCCAGTGACTTAAAACAACAGCATTTATCACCTCATAGTCTCTGGGGGTCATCTCCTGAAGGCAGCTTTGGGGAGTCCTTTGCTTCAGGGGCTCTCCCAGGCTGCAATTAAGATGTCGGGTACAGCTGGAGACATTTGAAAGCTCAACTGAGGGAAGATTCCTTTCCAAGATTCACGATTGTTGGGATGATTCAGTTGGCCTGAGACCCTCTGTTCTTTACTGGCTGTTGGCCAGAGGCCAGAGGCCTGAGTTCCTCACCATGTGGGCCTCTTTGTAGGGCAGCTCATGACAGTACAGTTTCATCAAAGCACGTGAGCAAGGAGCACCTTTGAGAAGAGCTGGCCCGACGGAAATCAATTTTGTGTAGCCAAATCTCAGAAGTGAAATCCCATACTTTTGCCATAATCTTTTTGCTAGAAGTGAGTCTCTCAGTTTGGCCCATCGCAAAGGGAGGGGATTATAGAGGGGTGTGAACAACAAGAGGCAGCCGTCGCTGGGAGCCATTTCAAAAGCTGTCTACAGGCAGGGCAGGACGACTCACGCCTGTAATCCCAGCACTCTGGGAGGCCAAGGTGGGCAGATTGCTTGAACTTAGGAGTTTGAGACCAGCCTGGACAACATAGTGAGACCTCGTCTCTACAAAAAATACAAAAAATTAGCCAGGTGTGGTGGCGTATGCCTGTGGTCCCAGCTACTCGGGAGGCTGAGGTTGGAGGACCGCTTGAGTCCAGGGAATCCAGGCTGCAGCGAACCATGATAGCACCACTGCAGTCCAGCCTGTGCGACAGAGCAAGACCATCTCAAAAAACAAACTAAAACAAATCAAAAACCCCACACTGTCTTCCACACATAGTAGTCTCACAAGACCCCTGTTTAGATACAAGATTTAATCTAATTTGGAGAGGCCCATTTAAACAAGGAAACAGACCCAGAGAGGTTCAGTACCTTATCCCAGGTGACTCGGGTCATTGGTGGTAGAAGGAGAATGTTCTGTGAGATGCTAGCACCTGTGGATTTGCACACCACCACCTACAATGCAGGCTGCATTGTGCCCTGTGGTGAGTCTGCCTGGAGGAGGAGTCACAAAAGGGCCTGCAGTATTTGACTATGGAAGCAATTATTAAAGAGGCTGCCCACCCACTGCAATCCCTGCGGATTCCCGGATTTCATGAGCTGCAGGGCTGGCCTCCAGCCTCAAAGAGCTGCAGGCCTAGGAGAAAATCATGAGTGTGTGTGTGTGTGTGTGTGTGTGTAACAGAGAGAGGGAGAGGGAAAAGGAGAAAGAGGCAGAAAGGGACAGGAGAGATGAAAAGAGATAAAGAGATACAGAGAAACAAGTACAGAGTGACAGGGAGAAATAAATAAGGAATTAGAAAAATAGAGACAAGAGAGAAATATTTACAGAGAAAGCCAAAGAGAGTGGAAGGAAGGGAGGAAGGAAGGAAAGATAAAAGAGGGAAAGAAGGATAAAAAGAAAGAAAAGGGAGAAGGAGAAAGAAAAGGAAGGAGAGAGGAAAGTAGGAAGGAAAGAGGGAAGAAAAATGAAGGAGGGAAGGAGGGAGGGAGGGAGCAAGGGAAGGAGGGAGGGAAGGAGCAAGGGAAGGAGGGAGGGAGGGAGCAAGGGAAGGAGGGAGGGAGGGAGGGAGAGGGAGACACAGGGAGTGCCAGTCTTGCAAGGGAGGGGTGCGGGCTGGCTCTCCCAGCACCTGCAGGCGCAGCGCCCCCGCTGGAAATCTGAACTGCATTCTGGTCGTGGCTTCCCCCTAATGTCCTACCTAACCTGTTGAAGGGAATGCAAATTTTAAGGTATACAGCGACAGCAAGCTGTGAAGCGGCCTAGGCTGCCCAAGGCTAGGTCTGGCCGGGTGTTTGGAGCACCCGCAGGCCCCCCGAGGAGGGAGGCGCCCTGAGCAGGTGTCTGCTCCTTGGACGTCCCGCGCGGGAGCTCAGCTGGGAAGCCGGGCTCTGAAGACCGATGCTCTAGCGCCCCCTGCTGGCGCCTGGCCTTGATTCCGCTGCTTCCTTTCCCCTGAAATGAAGGAAAGCAGGAGGGTTGTGAGGCTTCATTGATTTCTCCCCGGCGGAGCAGCGATGCGGATGGGGATGAGGGGTGGTCAGAGGAGACCAGAGCTAGCGAACACGTTCCCTTCTATGACCTGGCCTGTGCTGCGACGCATGGTACCAGCCCTGGGTTGGCCTTGTACCTCCAGGCATTTGGGGGCCTTCCAGAGGCAGGAGGACGGCTTGAAACCAGGAGTTCCAGATCAGCCTGGGCAACATAGCAAGACCCCATCTCTAAAAAAAAAAAAAAAAAAAAAAAAGAATTATCTGGACATGTTGGCCCACCTGTGGTCCCAGCTACCTAGGAGGCTGAAGTGAAAAAATGCATCACTGTAAAAAAAAATCTAGAGTTTAAGACTGTGAAATGTTATTAGTCCTTTCTCACACTGCTATAAAGATATTACCCAAGAGGTGGGAGGATCACTTGAGCCCAGGAGTTCGAGGTTGCTGTGAGCTATGATGGCACCACTGCACTCCAGCCTGTGAGACAAAGTGAGAACTTGTATCTTTTCAAAAAAAAGAAAGAAAGAAAATAAATAAATAATGTATACTTTATTAGAACTATATGTACTTTTGATTAATGCATTAAATAGACCATAAGTGATGGGTCTACTCGCTATAATTTCAAAGTTGTATGAGCATCAATGTTATTACAAGATTTCTGCAGCACCTATAATTTGACAAAAAATCTGTGATTTCTGTTGGTGACAAAAGGTCAGGTTCTGTTTTGTCTACAGTGGTTTGTTGTTTACATTCATAATTAAAGGAAATGTTATCTTTCATTTAGAGGTAAACGAAACAAAGGGAATAATTTTCCCATCCAAGCTCATAGATTCCCTGAATCCTACACATGAAGCCCTGATGAGTCCCATGAACTTGTTAAGCTGCAGAGGGCTGGGCACCATGGCTCATGCCTATAATCCCAGAGCTTTGGGAGACCAAGGTGAGAGGATCACATGAGGCCAGGAGTTCGAGACCAGCCTGGGCAACATAGCGAGACCTCATCTCTATTTTTATTTTTATTTTTATTTTTATTTTTATTTTTAGAGACGGAATCTCACTCTGTCTCCCAGGCTGGAGTGCAGTAGTGCGACCTCGGCTCACTGCAGCCTCCGCCTCCCGGGTGCAAGTGATTCTCCTACCTCAGCCTCCTGAGTAGCTGGGATTACAGGTGTGCGCCACCATGCCTGGCTAACTTTTGAATTTTTAGTAGAGATGGGGTTTCACCACATTGGTCAGGCTGGTCTCAAACTCCTGACCTTGTGATCCACCCGCCTCGGCCTCCCAAAGTGCTGGGATTATAGGTGTGAGCCACCGTGCCTGGCCTTTATTTTTAAAAAATAAATAAAATTTTAAAAATAAAAGAAGCCGCCGAGGTAGCGTTCTTGCTCACATCTTACCTTGCTAGGGCACAGCAAGATGTCAGACACCATCCTCAGAGGTGAAACCCCCAAAAGTATTAAAGGCAGGTAGCAATTCAAAGTATGGATCCCCTGGTCACTAAGAATAGTAACAGTAATCCATTTTTAAAGAATAGCAACCAAAATGCCTTACATGCTGGATACCATGCAAGGGACTTTATCTCATTCCATCTGTCCACCCCAGACCTCTTAACTATCCCAGGTAACCTGACGATATCCCAGGCTCATTTCCTGGGTTATCACAGCCACCTTTCATACCTGGGTCCCTGGAGGGGGCTCAGGTCAGAAGAGGGTATGAGAGCCTGTTTGTCACCTAGGATGTGCTCCAGAGTGATTCAGCCACGCCCTGGCGAAATCTCTGCAGGGGGTTTTCTAGACTCTGTCCTGATAACAGAACCCTCCCATTTTGTCTTTGCTTTCAGCTTTCTTGATTCTAAGCTTCAAATTTTGCCATATACTGGGTCAAAGGTACGTACCTGTAATCCCAACACTTTGGGAGGCTGAGGTGGGAGGATCACTTGAGGCCAGGCATTCAAGACCAGCTTGGGCAACATAGCAAGATTCCATCTCTACAAAAATAAAAAAATTAGCCGGGCATAGTGGTGTACACTTGCAGTCCCAGCTACTCTGGAGGCTGAGGTGGGAGGATGGCTTGAGCCCAGGAGTTCGAGGCTGCAGTGAGCTAGGATTGCACCAACGCACTGTAACCTGGGCAACAGAGTGAGACTCTGTCTCAGTAAGTAAATAAATAAAATAAAATAAACGCCCACCTCTGTGGTCATATCCTTCAGATACAACAGATCAAGTCTTTGGGTTGCAGAGCAAGGATCAACTCTTGTGGCTATCACGAGAGCGCTGAGGTCATGAGCCATCCAGGAGCTGGTTAACTCTGCCCATCAGGACACTCAAGCAAAGGCCAATCCTGGTGGCCCACATCCCAAAGGCAAGCATGAGCAGGGAAACCCTAATCTGCATACAATCGCTTTTACGACAGGGCTGTGTGCTTCAGCAAAACTCTAAGTTTAAATATGGCATTCAGGGCCCCATGAACACCATAGAGAGAAATCCAGAGACAAGCCACTGAGTAGAGGAGATTTGTGCATTAAAATCTTCTTGCCACCAAGGTCCTGCCTGGGTCTCTGACGGTTTCCCATCGCCTAGGTTTCTGAAGCAAGCACTGCAGCAGTGCCATCTAGTGGGCAAAAGGCAAAGTGTCACAACTGAGAGGATCCTCCAAGAGGAAACAGAAGTTGTGGAATTCAGGGGCAAGGACACGGTTGACCTAGACTCAGCTTGACTGGACTTTAGATGGGCTTCTTGACTCTCACCCCGACCTCCCTTCTCTTCTACCATTAACTTGAAGAAACACTGCCAGGCATGGGGGGTGCGTACCTGTAGTCCCAGCTATTCAGGAGGCTGAGGCGATGAGGCAGGAGGATCGCTTGAGCCCAGCAACCACAGATGACCCAATCACAGAAAAAAACATTTGCAAACTCTGGAACAACTCAATGTACTTGGCACATCCCACCAAGCAACCTTACCCCAACATCCTCCAGGACTTTTGCACTAGGGCACCCCAGTGCTTATGCTTAGAAGCCCTCCAGCCCATGGTGTCAGCAGAGTCGGGGTTAGCTTCCCCTATCATCTTGAATAACATCTTCCTTACTGGCGTAACTCTGACTCATGCAAATTCTCTTCAACATAGCTTTTCTGAGCACCCACCCTAGAGTGAGGTCCACTCCCACACCCTCAGGATGCTTCAGAAGCAACAGAGCTCCCCTTCTCCTATTCATAAGATAGACATTCTGCCTATAGCCCCTGCTCTCCCAGGCTACCCCCGCCTCCCCCCGCCTCCCCCCACTCAGGCCCATGGTACAGAAGTCAGAAGTTTACAAAGTCAGGAACACAGCTGCCCTGGGAGAAGGTTTCATTGCCTAGGTTCTCACTGATTTTTTTTCCCCTTTTCTTTTTGAAGCTTTCTTCTGGCCAAGCGTGTTGGTTCATGCCTGTAATCCCAGCACTTTGGGAGGCTGAGGCGGGTGGATCACCTGGGGTCAGGAGTTTGAGATCAGCCTGACCAACACAGTGAAACCCCATCTCTACTAAAAATACAAAAATTGGCTGGGTGTGGTGGTGGGCACCTGTAATCCCAGCTAGCTAGGAGGCTGAGGCAGGAGAATTGCTTGAACCCAAAAGGCAGAGGTTGCAGTGAGCCAGAGATGGCGCCATTGCACTCTAGCGTGGATGACAGGAGTGAAACTCAATCTCAAAAAAACAAAAACAAAACAAAAAAACCTATCTTCTCTGTTATTCATGGGATTCCCGGTAAAAGGAGAGTAGTCAAGTGTTGAGGCCATTCCCGCATCAATGACTGTAAAGGTTTCTCAGTACACACAGAGGTTACTATTCTGAAATGCAGGCAGTAGTGTGTCCGGAATTGGTGGGTTCTTGGTCTCACTGACTTCAAGAATGAAGCCGCGGACCCTCGCGGTGAGTGTTACAGCTCTTAAGGTGGCGCGTCTGGAGTTTGTTCCTTCTGATGTTCAGATGTGTTCGGAGTTTCTTCCTTGGTCTCGCTGGCTCAGGAGTGAAGCTGCAGATCTTCGCGGTGAGTGTAACAGCTCATAAAAGCAGCGTGGACCCAAAGAGTGAACAGTAGCAAAATTTATTGCAAAGAGCAAAAGAACAAACACTCCCCACTATGGAAGACGACCCGAGGTGGTTGCCAATACTGGCTCGGGCAGCCAGCTTTTATTCTCTTATCTGGCCCCACCCACATCCTGCTGATTGGTAGAGCCGAGTGGCCTGTTTTGACAGGGCGCTGATTGGCGCGTTTACAATCCCTGAGCTAGATACAGAGTGCCGATTGGTGTATTTACAATCCCTGAGCTAGACATAAAGGTTCTCCAAGGCCCCACCAGAGCAGCTAGATACAGAGTGTTGATTGGTGCACTCACAAACCTTGAGCTAAACACAGGGTGCTGATTGGTGTGTTTACAATCCCTGAGCTAGACATAAAGGTTCTCCACGTCCCCACCAGACTCAGGAGCCCAGCTGGCTTCACCTAGTGGATCCCACACCAGGGCTGCAGGTAGAGCTGCCTGCCAGTCCCGGTGTCGTGCGCCCACACTCCTCAGCCCTTGGGCGGTAGATGGGACTGGGCGCCCTGGAGCAGGGGGCGGCGCTCGTCTGGGAGGCTCGGGCTGCACAGGAACCAACGGAGGCAGGGGAAGGCTCAGGCATGGCGGGCTGCAGTCCCGAGGCCTGCCCCGCGGGAAGGCAGCTAAGGCCCGGCGAGAAATCGAGCGCAGCGCCGGTGGGCTGGCACTGCTGGGGGACTCAGTACACCCTCCGCAGCCGCTGGCCCGGGTGCTAAGTCCCTCATTGCCTGGGGCCGGCAGGGCCGGCCGGCTGCTCCGAGTGCGGGGCCCGCCAAGCCCACGCCCACCCGGAACTCCAGCTGGCCCGCAAGCGCCGCGCGCAGCCCAGTTCCCGCTCGCGCCTTCTCCCTCCACACCTCCCTGCAAGCTGAGGGAGTCGGCTCTGGCCTTGGCCAGCCCAGAAAGGGGCTCCCACCGTGCAGTGATGGGCTGAAGGGCTCCTCAAGTGCCGCCAAAGTGGGAGCCCAGGCATAGGAGGTGCCCAGAGCAAGCGAGGGCTCTGAGGACTGCCAGCACGCTGTCATCTCTCAGTAGGGCCAAAGACTTTCTCTTCCTGGAACACCACCCACCAGCTCACTTAAAAAACATCTAAGCAACATCAGGTTTCATGGTCCCCGGTCTCACTTGTCAATCCTGAAACTTCTAAAGTTTAGGTAGCTGGAAGTTGTATTAAGAGTCATCTCTAGAGGCCAAGTACAGTGGCTCATGCCTGTAATCCCAGTGCTTTGGGAGGCCAAGGCAGGAGGATCGCTTGAGCCCAGGAGTTTGAGGCTGCAGTGAGCTATGATTGCACCACTGCACTCCAGCTTGGGCAACAGAGGGAAACCCTGTCTCTAAAAAAGAATTTAAAATGTTTAAACATAAAATAAATTTTTCCAAAAGCAAATTTGGGGCCAGGCCCGGTGGTTCACTCCTGTAATCCCAGCACTTTGGGAGGCCGACGGGGGTGGATCATGAGGTCAGGAGATTGAGACCATCCTGGCTAACACAGTGAAACCCCGTCTCTACTAAAAATACAAAAAAAATTAGCCGGGCATGGTGGTGGGCGCTTGTAGTCCCAGCTAGTCGGGAGGCTGAGGCAGGAGAATGGCATGAACCCAGGAGAGACGGAGCTTGCAGTGAGCCAAGATCGTGCCACTGCACTCCAGCCTGGGTGACAGAGCGAGACTCCATCTCAAAAAAAAAAAAAGCAAATTTGGTTAGTTAATTCAAAGTTATAACTTTTCTCTCAACTTTTCAAACATAACCATATGTAGTCTGACAGCAGGAGGCGGTGTCTCTGGCATATATGTTATCCTGGGGGTCACTGCTGGCCTCTCTTAAGATGTCTGTCATCCTGTACCCGGTGGATGGTCTCAGAGAGCAACTGTGAGTCGTGCTGGCATCAACCTCTGTTAACCAGGGGCACCCATAGTGGATGGCCACCTTGTCCTGTCCCCAGGCTTTTTCTATGTCATTGTTCCCTTCGCTGATTCCAGGTCCTTACAGTGGTGCTGGCAGAAACTTCCAGGCCCTGCACAGGCCGTGAGTAGCTGAAAGCCTCACCTGCCCCCAGGGGCCGGGCCTCTATTTCCACAGTCCTCTGGCTGCCACACGTCGGCATAGGACATTCTGCAAGGAACCTATTTTCCCACTAAATTCCAAAGCCCTCTCTGTTTCAGCTTCTACTTCTATCTTTCCACCTTTCTTCTTTCCCGCCTTCTCCAAATCTGTCCTCCACAATTCCCTAGTTGAAAGGTGAAAGGCAGCTGTCATTTCTCTGCGGGGAACGGGACCTCTTTGATATCAAAGCCTCCCAACACCAGCAGCCACAGTGAATGTCTATATTCAGACCACCCAGCATGGCTCTTGCTGTTGTAAAGAGAGGCAATTGGAATTCAGAAACCCTTTGCTCTGCCAACAAAAGCCTACAACAGCGAGTTTCCTATTGGCTCAGAAAAGTATTGTTTGAAACACAGAACTAAATGAGAATGCTTTATCCTGGGCTACATACACCCCCTCTTGGAAGCAGTGAGTCCTCTCGTTGAATAGGTGAGGGAGAGACTTGGCCCAGCTGAGAATTAGGGATAACTGATGTTAAAGTGAACTAAATATGGCCTGAGAAGGACTCCGTGTTTCTATATTTGAGTCCTTGTGGATGAACCATAACCTAACTTAATAGGTAGACAAGATTGAAAACCTAACAGGAATATGTGCCTGTAACAATAGTTGAGTCTTGGCCAATTCCAGTGGCCATGCTTCAACCAGTCATGCGCTGCTGAGTGTCCAAACTCTGTTCAAATAAGGCAAATGCCAAGCTGGATGTAACCAATTCAGCTGTTTCTGAACCTCGCTTCCGATTTCTGTATGTCACTTTTCTTTTTTAGTCTATAAATTTCTTGTGACCATGAGGCACCCCTGGGGTCTTTCCGACTCTGCTGTGATTCTGGGGGCTGCCTGATTCACAAATCATTTTCTTGCTTTCTTTTTTTTTTTTTTTTTGCTCAATTAAACTTTCTTAAATTTAATTTGTCTGGAGTTTTCTTTTAACGCTGGGAATGAAAATACGTTGGTTTATTATCTAAGAAAATGTGATCCTTTGTTAAAATTTTGCACGTATGTCCATTTTAGGGAAAGAGAAAGTTCATAGCTTTCATCAAATTTGCAGAATATCACGTTATGGAAATGTTAAGATCAGCTGTTTGTAAACCTCTATCTGGCTAGTCTTGGACAGTATAATTTGCCTTATGCTTTTAGGAAGCACATTACTGTTTCAATACATAAAAATTAATTGTGATTACTTTGTTGCGTGTTGGCGTCTCCCAGCATCTTTCTGTGACAGACAGGGCTGCATTATGGCCTGGATTGTACAGAAGAGAAAGTCAAAACACAAATTTTCTCATTTTGATCCAGCAGCTAGTGCTGTTGGCCAACTTTAAAGACGCCCTAGGCAGGGTGTGGTGGCTCACGCCTGTAATCCAAGCACTTTGGGAGGCCGAGGTGGGTGGACTACTGGAGGTTAGGAGTTCAAGACCAGCCTGGCCAACATGGTGAAACCCCATCTCTACTAAAAATACAAAATTAGCCAGGTGTGGTGGTGTACACCTGTAATCCCAGCTACTCTGGAGGCTGAGGCAGGAGACTTGCTTGAACCTGGGAGGCAGAGATTGCAGTGAGCCGAGATCGCACCATCGAGCTCCAGCTTGGTAACAAGAGTGAAACTCTGTCTAAAGAGAAAAAAAGAAAAAAAAAAAAGCCCTCACAATTTAGACAGCAAAAGGGCCTTGGAGATGATTATCTATCTTGGCCAAGCCTGTTGGTTTTCAGGGGAGGAAATTAAGCTAAAACAACAACAAAAACCAAGAAAGGTCTCATCTCCTCCATACCCCATCAGTATTGGTACAGAAACAAAACTAAATGGTCTGTTAGTCGAGGAAATGGAACAGCAACAATTTTGAAGATGGGGACAGAGAAATCAATGATGTCCCATCTTAGAAACTGAAAAACCTCTTGCCAGTTCCTTCGTCTGAAACTGTTATTGTCAGCAAAACCATAGCTGTCAAGATCAGGGCTTGAGAGGAAACATCAGATTGGGAGCTGGAGGTGGTTAAAAGTAACATTAAGTATATATTTTAAAACACAGCTAATAAAAATTCTATAAAGCATCTCTTCTCAAAACAATTCAAATTCTTCAGTAACAAAAACTTCCCCTTGTAGATAATGATTTTCCTGAATCACTATCTTAAATTGTTCAGAAAATGCCAACAGGCATCATGATTCTCCATGTTTGGTTAAGGCAGAGTAAAACACAGTGTTTTCTTGTTTGTTTGTCTTTAAATATTTGTAACAGTCCCTGACAGCTTGAAAGTTAATATCTTTTCAATTACATTCTCCTTTTTTCCCTCCCTCTCCTCCCTCCCTCACTCCCTCCCTTCCTTCCTCCCTTCCTTCCTTCCTTCCTTCCTTCTTTTCCGCACCTCCTTTCTCTTCTTCCCCATGAGTCTCTGCTAAATGCTATGAATGAAAATGTGGCCTATTTATCATTCACTGCAGTACGTAAATTCATATCGCTGGGTTTGGTCTTGTAACCACAGATTCAGAGATTGTCATAGAGTAAAGCTCTCTCGGTGCCAATTCCTAATCTTTCCAGAAAGCTCTTTTCTTGAATGTTTTTCTTTATGGGCACTCAACTGAACTCTCTACAGGTTTTTTTAAAAATCAAAATTTTAAAAATAATTTTTAGCTTTTATTTTAGATTCAGGGGGTACATGTGCAGGTTTGTTACTAGGCATA
Organism: Homo sapiens; assembly: GCF_000001405.40. Lineage (NCBI taxonomy): Eukaryota > Metazoa > Chordata > Mammalia > Primates > Hominidae > Homo > Homo sapiens. The sequence continues at coordinate 71,742,385 of NC_000007.14, forward strand.
TTACATGATGCTGAGGTTTGGGGTACAAATAATATCATCACCCAGATACTGAGCATAGTACCCAACAATTGGTTTTTCAACCCTTGTTTGCCTCCCTCCCTCCCCCTCTAGTAGTCCCCAGTGTCTATTTTTGCCATTGTTATGCCTGTAAGTACCCAGTGTTTAACTCCCACTTACAAGAGAACATACAGTTTAGCTCCCACTTATAAGAGAACTTATAAGAGTAGCTCCCACTTATAAGGGAACATGCAGTATTTGGTTTTCTCTTCCTGCATTAATTCACTTAGGATAATGGCCTCCAGCTGCATCCACGTGACTGCAAAAGATATTAATTTGTTCTTCTTTATGGCTGTGTAGTATTCCATTATGGTGTATATGTACCACATTTTCTTTATCCAATTCATCACTGATGAGCAACTAGGTAGATTCCGTGTCTTTGCTATTGTGAATAGTGCTGTGATAAGCATACCAGTGCAGGTGTCTTTTTGGTAGAATGATTTATTTTCTTCTGACTATATACACAGTAATGGGATTGCTGAGTCAAATGGTAGTTCAGTTTTAAGTTCTTTGAGAAATGCCCAAACTGCTTTCCACCGTAGCTGAACTAATTTACATTCCCACCAGTAGTGTAGAAGCGTACGTTTTTCTTTGAAGCCTTGCTAGCATCTGTGATTATCTGACTTTTTAATAATGGCCATTTTGACCAGTGTGAGATGCTATTTCATGGTAGTTTTGATTTGCATTTCTCTGATGATTAGTGATGTTGAGCATCTTTTCATGTGTTTTTTGGCCACTTGTATGTCTTCTTTTGGGAAGTATCTGTTCATGTATTTTACCTTTTTTTTTTTGAGATGGAGTCTCTCTCTGTCGCCAGGCTGGACTGCAGTGGCGTAATCTGGGGTCACTGCAAGCTCCGCCTCCCGGGTTCACGCCATTCTCCTGCCTCAGCCTCCTAAGTAGCTGGGACTACAGGCGCCGCCACCACGCCCGGCTAATTTTTTGTATTTTTAGTATAGACGGGGTTTCACCATGTTAGCCAGGATGGTCTCCATCTCCTGACCTCGTGATCCACCCGCCTCGGCCTCCCAAAGTGCTGGGATTACAGGCGTGAGCCACCACGCTCAGCCTTTTTTTTTTTTTTTAGATGGAGTTTTGCTCTTCTTGCCCAGGCTGGAGTGCAATGGTGTGATCTCAGCTCACTGCAACCTCCACCTCCCGGGTTCAAGTGATTCTCCTGCCTCAGCCTCCTGAGTATCTGGGATTACAGGCTTGCACCACCACGTCTGGCTAATTTTGTTTTTTTTTTTTTGTTTTTTTTTGTTTTTTTTTTAGTAGAGATGGGGTTTCTCCATGTTGGACAGGCTGATCTCGAACTCTCGACCTCAAGTCATCTGCCCGCCTCGGCCTCCCAAAGTACAGGGATTACAGGCGTGAGCCACCGCACCTGGCCGGCCTTTACCATTTTTTAATGGGCTGTTTGTTTTTTGCTTGTTCAAGAGTTTAATCTGTTTAAGTTCTTTATAGATTTGGGATATTATACCTTTGTTGGGTGCCTACTTGTGAATATTTTCTCCCATTCTGTAGGTTCTGTGTTTACTCTGTTGGTAGTTTCTTTTGCTGTGCAGAGAACATGCTGTACAGAAGCTCTTTAGTTTAATTAGGTCACACTTGTCATTTTTTTTGTTTCTCTTGCAATTGCTTTTGAGGACTTAGTCATGAATTCTTTCCCAAGGCTGACGTGAAATGGTGTTTTCTAAGTTTTCTTCTAGGATTCTTATAGTTTTAGGTTTTACATTTACATCTTTTTTTTTTTTTTTTTTTTTTTTTTACGGAGTCTCGCTCTGTCTCCCAGGCTGGAGTGCAGTGGCGCGATCTCGGCTCACTGCAACCTCTGTCTCCCAGGTTCAAGCAATTCTCCTGCCTCAGCCTCCCGAGTAGCTGGGACTAAACGCACGTGCCACCACACCCGACTAATTTTTTTTGCATTTTTAGTAGAGACAGGGTTTCACCATGTTGGTCAGGCTGGTCTCGAACTCCTGACCTCAAATCGTCTGCCTGCCTCGGCCTCCCAAAGTGCTGGGATTACAGGCGTGAGCCACCATGCCCTGCTACATTTATATCTTTGATCCATCTTGAGTTAATTTTTATATATGTATATAAATATGTATGTATAAATATATATATATATTTTATATATAAAGGTAGGGGTCCAGTTTCATTCTTCTGTATATGGCTATCCAGCTATCCAGCACAATTTATTGAATAGGGAGTCCTTTTCCTATTGCTTATTCCTGATGACTTTGTCGAAAATCAGACGGCTGTAGGTGTGTGGCTTTATTTCTGAGTTCTCTATTCTGTTCCATTGGCCTGTGTGTCTCTTTCTGTACTAGTACCATGCTGTTTTGGTTACTGTAGCCCCATAGTAAAGTTTGAAGTCAGGTAATGTGATTTTTCTGGCTTTCTTCTTTTTGCTCAGGATTGCTTTGGCTATTAGGGCTCTTTTTTTGGTTCCATATGAATTATTTTAGAACTGTTTTTTCTAGTTCTGTGAAAAATGATGTTGGTACTTTGATAAGAATAGTGTTGAATCTATAAAATGCTTTGAACAGTATGACTATTTTAATGATTTTGAGTCTCCTAATCCATGAGCATGGAATATTTTTCCTTTGTTTGTGTCATCTATGATCTATTTCAGCAGTGTTTATAATTCACCTTTCACCTCCTTGGTTAGATGTACTCTTAGGTTTTTTTTTTTTGGGTGTGGTTATTGTAAATGAGATTCTGTTCTCCATTTGGCTCTCAGCTAGAATGCTACTGGGGTATAAAAATACTAGTGAATTTTGCACATTGATTTTATCTCCTGAAACTTTACTGAAGTTGTTTATTAGTTCTAGGAGCCTTTTGGCTTTCAAAGAGTCTTTAGGGTTTTCTAGGTATAGAATCATATTATCAGCAAAGAGAGCTAACTTGACTTCTTCTTTTCCTATGTGGATGACTTTTATTTCTTTCTCTTGCCTGATCGCTCTGGCTAGGACTTGCAGAAACAAAAAAATAATAATAACAAAATTAGTTTGAGCATAAAACCAAGTTGTTTCAAAACTCCGGGTGGGAATTCATACACATACTATGTACCCACAAAAAGTAAGGATTAAAAACAGAAGAAAAATAATAAAATTTAACAGTGGTGTGGTGTGGAGGTGGGGGGAGCTCCAGGTGGGGAAGGCTTGCCAGTGCCTTTTACTTGGCTTGTAACCTAGGCAGTCATTCCCTTGCTAGAAGTAAATAGTCATTCTTTCCTTTATAATGTGGTATGGTTTGGCTGTGTCCCCACCCAAATCTCACCTTGAAATGTAGCTCCCACAATTCCCACGTGTTGTGGGAGGGACCCGGTGGGAGATAACTGAATCATGGGGGTAGTTTCCCCGATACTCTTCTCCTGGTAGTGAGTAAGTATCATGAGATCCGATGGTTTTATATATAAAGGGGTTTCCCCTTTTCCTTGGCGCTCTCATTCTCTCTCCTGCCTGCTGCCATGTAAGACATGCCCTTCGTCTTCTGCCATGATTATGAGGCCTCCCCAGCCATGTGGAACTGTGAGACCATTAAATCTCTGCTTCCTTATAAATTACCCAGCCTCGGATATGTCTTTATCAGCATCGTGAAAACAGACAAGTACGTAATGCCTAACTGCATGCTTGCTTAGGGTTTTAAAAACTCCAAGAACTAGCCTCGAAGTAAAACCAAGGCTGTGAAAGGTCCACCCCTAGAAAAATGCTGAGGAGTTCATCTTCAATCTTGCTGCAGTCTAGCTGATACCAGCTGGGCCACCAGATGGCCCATTACTCAAGATAATCACTGGAAAAAGACATGCTGACTTGCATGTAGGCAACTTCTATACAAAGTTTGCCTAACTGCCTCCCTTTAAAACCTCTTCAGCCAGCCCAAGAAAGGGGAGATGGCCTTTGCAATGCAAGTCTGCCATCCCCTTAGGTTATCGGCTCCTGAATAAACCTGCTTTTCCTCCCACCAACCCTTGCCTCTCAAGTTTTGGCTTTGAAGCAGTTAGTAGCTGAATCTGAATCAGTTACAGGCTCATGGAGTCACCAGCAGATTTCGTTTTTGAACCTGGGGAGCTCTTAAAAATTTAGATTCCTGGAGCCTCACTCCAGCCCTATTAAACCAGAACCTTCCAAGCCTGGGCACCTTTGCTTTCTTCAAGTTCTGCTGGTAATGCCTATGCAACTAACCTAGCATAAGCTAGTAAGAACCAGGCCTGATGTGGTGGCTCACACCTTTAATCCCAGCACTTTGGGAGGCTGAGGCAGGTGGACCTGAGATAGTTTGGGGTTAGCCTGGCCAACATGGAGAAACCCTGTCCCTAATAAAAATACAAAAATTAGCCAGGCATGGAAGCACACGCCTGTAATTCCAGCTACTCAGGAGGCTGAAGTGGGAGAATAGCTTGAACCTGGGAGGCAGAGGTTGCAGTAAGCTGAGATGGCACCAGGCACTCCAGCCTGGGCAACAGGAAAAAAAAAAAAAAAAAGAACCCTACAAAGGACATGAACTCATCATTTTTTATGGCTGCATAGTATTCCATGGTGTATATGTGCCACATTTTCTTAATCCAGTCTATCATCGTTGGACATTTGGGTTGGTTCCAAGTCTTTGCTATTGTGAATAGTGCCGCAATAAACATACGTGTGCATGTGTCTTTATAGCAGCATGATTTATAGGGACATGGATGAAATTGGAAACCATCATTCTCAGTAAACTATCGCAAGAACAAAAAACCAAACACTGCATATTCTCACTCATAGGTGGGAATTGAACAATGAGATCACATGGACACAGGAAGGGGAATATCACATTCTGGGGACTGTGGTGGGGTCGGGGGAGGGGGGAGGGATAGCATTGGGAGATATACCTAATGCTAGATGACACGTTAGTGGGTGCAGCGCACCAGCATGGCACATGTATACATATGTAACTAACCTGCACAATGTGCACATGTACCCTAAAACTTAGAGTATAATAAAAAAAAAAAAATTAAAAATAAAAAAAAAATAATAAAAAAAAAAAGAAAAAGTTAAAGAAACTACAATCACTTAGTCTGAAAAACAATGAATAGTTTTAACATGAATCTTTAAGAAGCTAAAACACAGTGACATACTAAGTAGCTGGTATCCATTTTTGAGAGTCAAGAGTGAAAAACGGGAAACTGAGACTGTCATTTTCAATAACTAACTTTGGGAACATCTGCTGCTATCACAGAGGGAAAGTCATTGAGAATTCTGAGTAAAGATCAAAATCAGAATACCATTCTCTCTCTCCTGCCCTTGATGACTTTTATGTAATATATTCCCAGTGAGCTATTGTAGGCTGAGATTGACAGGAATCAGCCAGAAGATGGATTAACAACAGATAAACAGGTTGACTGAAATGTAAATAGATGAAGATTAATGCAGTGGAGAGCATGAACAACATGCAGGAAGAGATAAGACTCAAAATAAGTAAATTGTAATTTTAAAAATTTCGCATGCTGCAACAATTGTCTGAAATAATAAAAATCTGGGAGACCTGGCAAAAAAAAAAAAAAAAGAACCAATGAGAGGTAATACCATTTTGGGTGGAGATAGTTCTAGGAGTGTGTAAATTGTGTGGGCATGAGTGCTGTGCAAGGTAGGGGTGGGACAAGAGCAAGTGCAATTTCCTTTGTCCTCCAACTTGGCTACTTAGGCAATCTCCCTGCTTGCAATGATTTTGGTCTGGCTTTGGTGGCATACACAACAGGGCATGTCCTTGACCCTCGAAGCCTTAATCTCCAGTCAGCGTGAAGCACAGCATCCTGATAGCAGATGTATTAGTCTAGCTTTCCAGTGAAACAGAACAAATGAAATGGATGGATGGATGCATGGATAGATATGTCTGCGAAAGGACTGTATATACAAAGCAGCCCACAAATGCCAAAAAAGCAAGGAAACCAAAAAATGAGGCAGACAAATTCAGTCTGTTGGTATTCGGTGATTTATTAAGAGAGCTTACAAACAGGCGGGGCGCAGTGGGTCACACCTGTAATCCCAGCACTTTGGGAGGTGAAGGTGGGCAGATCATCTGAGGTCAGGAGTTTGAGACCAGCCTAACCAACATGGTGAAACCCATCTCTACTAAAAATGCAAAATTAGCCGGGCATGGTGACGCAAGCCTGTAATCCCAGCTACTCAGGAGGCTGAGGCAGGAGAATTGCTTGAACTTGGGAGACAGAGGTTGCAGTGAGCCAGGATCATGCCACTGCACTCCAGCCTGGGTGACAGAGCAAGACTCCATCTCAAAAAACAAACAAACAAACAAACAAACAAAATGTACCTGGTGTCTTAGTGCTGGCACTTTCCTGCAGGCAGATCTGCATCCATTCCTTGGGAACAAAGACCCAGAGATGCCAACAGAGTCTCTGCCTCTCACAGCCAGCCTCCCCAGGGCACCTGGTGTTGCACAACTCACGTTTATTCCCTTATGTGATTTAATCACTTAGTCCTTGTCTATCAGGGTTTCCAGGGTCTGTAGGCTTCACGAGTGCTCTCATTGAAGTTGAGGGAGGGTGGTATGGAAAGTGCTTGAGGGAGATCCACCCTCTCAAGGTTCTTCAGAATCTAGCTTTGAGTGGCTTATATTGTTCTCATTTGATTCCCTGTGCTACTGGACAATGAAATGTGGCTGGTGCAAGGCTATTTAAAAAATTCAGGAAAATTGTTCTAATTTTTCTTATCATTTAGGTACTGCTGGTACTCAAAATCCCACAGATAACTTGGAGGTTTTCCAAGTGTGGTCCCAGGAGCTGCAACATCAGAACTGCTACAGGACCACTAGGGTCATAGGCCCACTGGACAGCAACAGACCAATTACATGGAGACAGCAGAGTTTGCAGCAGAGAAAGAGTTTAATGAGTGCAGAGAAGCCGAGTGAGGAGACAGGAAGAACCCTCAAATCCATCTCCCCAAGGAGTTCTGGGCTTGAGATTTTAAGGGAATCATGAAAGGCAAGGGGCTGGAGAATTGGGGTTGTTGATTGGTCAAGGAAAGCGGGAATAATATCATCAGGCTGTGGAAAATTCATTCTTTGGTGAGTCGGCTCCTTGTGGAGTCCTTCAGACCAGCTGATGTCAGTAGTTTCACTGGTACGCAGGACCTGAAAGAGTATCTCAGAGGGAAAACTTAACATTTCACAAAGCTTAAGTTGTTATCTATAGAGCAGTTAGGGGGAACTATAATCTTATGACAGGAAACAGCTATGAAGAAGCAGGTCAGAGAGCAAACTGCCTTTATGATGAACGCTGAATGTGCTGTAAGCTTGGTTTATCTTCATTTCTTCCCTGACTAATTTTATAAAGTGTATAGGGAGGGTTTCAGAGTAACCTGGAAACATGTTAGAAATGCAAATTCTCAGGCTTCACCTCAGACCCACTGAATCCGAGACTCTGGAGTGGGCTCAGCCATCTGCGTTTTTGCTTGTTTTTGTTTTGTTTTTTAGAGACAAGGTTTCATTCTATCACCCAGGCTAGAGTGCAGTGGTACAATCATACTTCACTGCAGCCTCCAAATCCTGGGCTCAAGTGATCCTCCCGCCTCAGCGTCCCAAGTAGCTGGGAATACAGGTACACATCACCGCACCTGAATATTTTTTTGTTTTTGTAGAGCTGAGCTTTCACTGTGTTACTCAGGCTGGTCTCAAATCCCGACCTTAAGCAGTCCTCCTGCCTTGGCCTCCCAAACCACTGGGATTACAGGTGTGAGCCACCACACCTGGCCTCAATCTGTTTTAACAAGCCCTGCAGGTGATTAGGATGCACTCAGCTTTGAGGACCACTGAGGTTGCAATTTAGCCTTCTCGAGGAACCATCCTCCTAGGGCTTTCTTTGAGTGTCCAAATCCCTTAGATGAAGGCAGAGATCAAATCAGTAGGGGACTGAGGGTTCATTAAGATAGAGAGTGATACCGGGAGCCCGGAAGCAGGCAACAACCACAGTTTCTTACATACCCTAACAGGTAATAAACTCATTCACATGCTTTCACTGAGTCTTCATAATGTGGCATTTTAATGATGTAAGCAAGCCAGGAGCTTTGAGCTTCCTGTACCAGGTAAGGACACTAAGACCAGAGAGAAAGACAGGCTAAGGCTAGGATCTGGGGACAGGCAGAACCTGGGTTCACCTCTGCCATGGAGGTTTGCTTGGAGAAGAAACAGGCAGGATTCAGTCAGAATGGCGATTGTTAAAAAGTCAAAGCCGGGCGCAGTGGCTCACGCCTGTAATCCCATCACTTCGGGAGGCTGAGGCAGGCGGATCATGAGGTCGGGAGTTCGAGACCAGCCTGGCCAATATGGTGAAACCCCATCTCTACTGAAAATACAAAAATTAGCCAGACATGGTGGCACACACCTGTAATACCAGCTACTTGGGAGGCTGAGGCAGGAGAATCGCTTGAACCCGAGAGGAGGAGGTTGCAGTGAGCTGAGATCATGCCATTTTACTCTAGCCCAGGCAACAGTACCAGGCTCCATTTCAAAAACAAAACAAAACAAAACAAAAGTCAAGAAACAACAGATGCTGGGGAGGCTGTGGAGAAATAGGAACACTTTACACTGCTGGTGGGAGTGTAACTTAGTTCAACCATTGTGGAAGGCAGTGTGGCAATTCCTCAAGGATCTAGAGCCAGAAATACCATTTGATCCAGCAATCCCATTACTGGGTATGCACCCAAAGGAATATAAATCATTCTATTATAAAGATACATGCACACGTATGTTTATTGCAGCACTATTCACAATAGCAAAGACATGGAACCAACCCAAATGCCCATCAATGATAGACTGGATAAAGAAAATGTGGTACATATACACACCATGGAATACTATGGAGCCATAAAAAGGAACAAGATCATGTCATTTGCAGGGACATGGATGAAGCTGGATGCCATCATCCTCAGCAAACTAACGCAGAAACAGAAAACCAAACTCCGCATGTTCTTACTCATAAGTAGGAGCTGAACAATGAGAACACATGGACACAGGGAGAGGAACAACACACACCGGGCCCTGTTGGGGGTGGGGGCGAGGGAGGGGAGAGCATCAGAATAAATAGCTAGTGCATGCTGGGCTTATTACCTAGGTGATGGGTTGATAGGTGCAGCAAACCACCATGGTGTACATTTACCTATGTAACAAACCTGCACGTTTTGCACATGTATCCTGGAATTTAAAGCAAAATAAAATAAAAAAGAAAAGAAAAGAATAGGCAGAATGGTATTTCTAGGGCAGTTACAGTGGGCAGTGTTGGATGGCGGAGGACGTGGCCCTGTCCTTGGTACACACAGGTGTGAGGGGATAAGGTACATTCTACGATGCTGGCTGTAGCAGAGGCTAGCCAAGGTCACCTTTCTCTTTTTAAATTTTATTTTATTTTATTTTAGACTCAGGGGCAGCATGTGCAGGTTCGTTACATGGATATATTGTATCCTAGTGAGGTGCAAAGGTCACCTTTCTTTGGTTTTGGCTGCAAAATTATTAACGCAGCCCTGTAGTCATACGTGTTGCCTCAGCCGACCTCACTGTACCTGGAATTCTGATTTTTTTTTTCCAAAAGGAAAAACGTTCAATGTTATTTTATTAAATGCAGAAGATAAAACGTTTCGCAGCACCGGGTCCAAGGAAGTGCAATACAACAGCAAAATGCAATGGCCGCAGCAGCTCAGTGATGGGCCGAGACTCGTCCCGTGTGGCGGAGATGCTGGCATCCCCCCTGTGGCTCCAAGCGCTGAGCTTGGCGGCGGGGACCTGGCGGCCCCGGCTCGGCTCGGGACAGGCAGGTGTGGGGAGCCGGCGGGTTGGAGGGCGTTTTGACGCTAGAGGGCGCTCGGTGCCCGGCGAGGGAGGCGGCCCAGGCCGGCGGGGGAGCGCGCGCCTCTGCACTTGCACCCAGCTCTCCGCTGCCTCCTGCCCTGTCTGCTCCCCAGCTCAGGACACTGTGGTCACAGCAATAGGAGCGGCGGTGCCTGGGCCGCTCCGAACCTAGGTCACCTGCTGGAGGAGGGAGAGGTCGCCTGCTGCTCTGCAGGAGGGCTTCCGTCTGCAAGGTGAGCTGGGCTGGCTGCAGCGCCTCCTCCTCCTTGCAGCCCTCCCTGCTACACCCCGGGCATTTCTTGCAAGCTCTCTGCCAACGCGTAAGACACCTGGGAGAACTAGGAGTTCATCCCCGGGGCCTGATGTGTCCAGGCTGTTGGTGTGGAAAGGAGTCTGTGCCAACAGACACCCGGGGTCACTGCCACCCCGGAAGCTGCTCTCACCCTTCCGAGGACCGGGAAAGCAAGTGTCCAGCAATGGGGAGCCTCTCCATTAGCCCGGCGGCCTCCTTGACTGCCAATCAGCAAGCCTGAGAGGTAGTGCCAGCAGAAGAACCGTTCGGGGGGCCGGGGGGTGCACCTCCAGCTCGGCCAGTCCTGAGAAGGGGCAGCTGTGGTAGCCAGGGCAAGTCACCCATCTTTCTGCAGTTCAGACCTCACCTGCAAAGTCTTAATTTTAGGATAGGATTTTCTAGATTGCTAGGGAAAAATATCTATGAAAATAAAGCCGATCTAAGGAGAAAAGGGAAAGAAGAAATAAAAAAAGCAAGGGAGAAATGGGAGGGCAGGAAGGGGGAGAAATGGAGGATGTCTCTGTCTCTGTCAAAAACCTAACTTTTGTCAAGATCATCATCCCTGGGCCCTCTCCTTAGTGCCAACCACTGGCATTTTAAATTTTGTTTGTTTATGTTAGAAATGGGGTCTTGCCGTGTTGCCCAGGCTGGACTTGAACTCCTAGGCTCAAGCAATCCCCCTACCTTAGCCTCCCTAGTAGCTGGGACTACAGGTGCACACCACCATCCCCAGCTTCTTTCTCTTTTTTTTCCTTCCTTCCTTCCTTCCTTCCTTTCCTTTCCTTCTCTTTCTTTTTCTTTTCTTCGTCTTTTCTTTCCTTCTCTTCTTTTCTTTCTATTCTTTCTTTATTTTCATTTTCTTTTCTTTCTTTCCTTTCTCTTTTTCTTTCCCTTTCTTTCTCCCCCTTTCCTTTCTCTCTCTCTGTCTCTGTCTTCTCTTTATTTTTTCTCTTTCCTTTCTTTCTTTCTTTCTCTTTTTTTTTTCGCTTTCTTTCTTTCTTTCTTCTTACATTTTCTTTCCTTTCTCTCTTTCTTTCTTGATGGGGTCTTGCCATGTTACCCATTGCCCAGACAGGATTCAAACTCCTGGATTGAAGGAATCATCCTGCCTTAGCCAGCAGAGTAGCTGAGATTCAGACGCACATCACCACAGCAGACAACCACTGGCCTTTGAATGCATGGTCTCGCCCCCACATGTCTCATGCCTGCTCCTCTCCTCTACCTAATTCCTCTCTATTCTCTTTCCTCCACACTGTTCTCGGAGCTTCTAGAGGAAGCCTTGATGGAAGAAGCAGCAGCCTTCCAGCTTGGCCTCTGCCACAGATTCCCCAGGGTGCACCTGTCCCCAGGCCTCAGTTTCCCCATCTGCTAAAAAGCCTTCTGTGACTTCTAAGTACTTTTCTGCTCTGACATTTCAAATAGTCAAACAGTCCAGGCTCTCACATTTCCCTGGCTCAAACATTAAAACTGCCTGGGGAGCCTTAAAATATTATGGCCTGGGCACTTTCCTCCCCCTCCTCATTGAGAAGTAATCGGTCTGCGGTGGAGCGTTGCAGCAGTATTTTTTAAAAGTTCCCCAGATGATTCAAATGTGCAGCCAGGGTTAGGAACCTCTGGCATCATATTCCTGCTCTGAATGATTTGCATGTTCCTAGGAGACCCCTGGAAACCGTGAATTTCGCCACTCAGCTTATCTCTGATGTTGGAATAGCAGGCAGGGACAAAGGTTTGGGGTGGTATTTTCAGACAGCCCCCTCAAAGGCTTATGGGTCCCTTGAAACCCTCTGCAGCCCTAGGTAGACAATGGGCATTAGAAGGAGAGGAAAGGGGTTTCTCTCTCTCTCCCTGCCTCTATGCCCCTTACTTCGACCACTTCCTGCCTGCTTCTCCCCTCCCCTCCCCTCCTCCCCCTCCTCCCGGTCTGGCAGCTTCCACCATCTGGAATTGCTTTCCTGCCTCAGCCTTTCTCCCTAGCTTCTGTGTTCTCTTTCGTTCCTCTCTCTCTCTCTCTCTCTCTCTCTCTCTCTGAGACAGGGTCTCACTCTGTCACCCAGGCTGAAGTTCAGTGGTGCAGTCTCGGCTCACTGCAACCTCTGCCTCCTGGGATCAAGCGATCCTCCCATTTCAGCCTCCCGAATAGCTGGAACTACAGGCATGCACCACCACGCCCAGAGGATTTCTTGTATTTTTAGTAGAGACCGGGTTTCACCATGTTGCCAAGGCTGGTCTTGAACCCCTGAGCTCAAGTGATCTGCCTGTCTTGACCTCCCAAAGTGCTGGGATTACAGGCATGAGCCACTGTGCCCAGCAACTTCCACGTTCTCTTGAGACCCTTCCTTCTCCAGGATAAGTTCCTTCTCCCTCTCTCAGTCCTCAGCCTGAAGTGGCAACCAGAACCCCGCAGCTAAGCCCTGTGGGGTGATGAGTCCCACAAAGGGAAAAGTCCCTCACGAGGACATTCCAGGGCCCATGCATGGAGCAAACACATCAGTATCTTCATTGCCTGGGCTGAAGCCGGACTCAGACTCATTCTGGGAACTGTGAGATTCTGTGGCTGTCTGGAGGCTGAGAGGGAAAGTTGTGCACTGTGGGTAAGAGGCAAGGCCAGGGCTTGGGGACCTGGTTCCTGTCCTAGTTCTGCCATTAACTGCTTGGTGCATAACCTTGAGCTCAGTACTTCTCTCTGGGTGATATGGTTTGGCTATGTCCCCACCCAAATCTCATATTGAATTGTAGCTCCCATAATCCCCATGTGATGTGGGAGGGACCTGGTGGGAGGTAATTAAATCATGCTATTCTTGTGATAGTAAATAAGTCTCACAGGATCTGATGGTTTCATAAAGGGGAGTTGTCCTGCACACACTCTTTTTGCCTGCCACCATGTAAGAAGTGCCTTTGCTCCTCCTTCATCTCCCGCCATGATTGTGATTTTTTTAACTGGGTAAAAATCTAGGTTGATACTTTGTTCTCAGTCTTTTAAAGAAATTACACCACTATTTTCTAGACTGATTCCTGATGTCTTCAGTCATTCTTTTCTCTGGTTCTTTGTGTATAATGTCTTTTTATTTTATTTTATTTTTTTGAGATAGAGTCTTGCTCTGTCACCCAGGCTGGAGTGCAGTGGTGCGATCTCAGCTCACTGCAGCCTCCACCTCCTAGGTTCAAGCAATTCTCCTGCCTCAGCCTCTCGAGCAGCTGGGACTACAGGCGCATGCCACCACGCCCAGCTAGTTTTTGTATTTTTAGTAGAGACGAGGTTTTGCCACATTGGCCAGGCTGGTCTTGAACTCCTGACCTCAGGTGATCTGCCCACCTTGGCCTCCCAAAGTGCTGAGATTATAGGCGTGAGCCACCACACCTGGCCTATAATGTCTTTTTTCCCCCTGGATGTTGAATTTTTTTAATCTTTATTGCTTGATTTAAGCAACTTAGTGCAAAATCCTTCATGTTTCTTGTGTTTGGGATTCACTGAGCTTCTCGAATCTATGGTTTATAGTTTTCATCAAATTTGGAAAAGTTTTAGCAACTCTTTCTCCCCAGATTTACTCAGGTACAATTGACAAATAAAAATTGTACACATTGAAGTATACAATGTGATGTTTGATATATGTAGATATTGTAAAATTATCACCACAATCAAGCTAATAGACATATTCATCACCTCATATAGTTTGTGTGTGTGTGTGAGAACACTTAAGACTTATTTACTCTTTCAGCAAACTTCCAGTGTACAATCCAGTATTATTAACTAGAGTCAACATGCTAACCACTAGTTCTCCAGAATCTGTTCATCCTGCATAGCTGAAACTTTGTATGCTTTGACCTGTATCTCCCTATTTCCCCGACACACAGCCCCTGGCAACCACCATTCTACTCTCTGCTTTTATCAGTCTGACTATTTTAGATTCCACATATAAGTGAGGTCATATAGTATTTTTCTTTCTGTGTCTGGCTTATTTCACTTAATATAAGGTTTTCCGGGTTCATTCATGTTATCACTAATGCCAGGCTTCCATTCTTTTGTATGGCGGAACAATATTTCATTGTGTATGTACTGCACATTTTATCCATTCGTCCATCAATGGACACTCATGTTGTTTCCATATTTTGGATATTGTGAATAATGCAGCAGTGAACATAGAGTGAAGATATCTCTGTGAGACACTGATTTCATTTCCTCTGGATATATACCCAGAAGTGCTGGATCATATGGTTACTATATTTTTAATTTTTTGAGGAGTCTCCATAATGTTTTCCAAAATGGCTGGACTAATTTACATTCTCACCAACATTATGCAAGGGTACCTTTTTCCCCACATACTTGCCAACACTTGTTGTTTTGCTTTTGAAAATAACCAATCTAACAGGTATGAGGTCATATCTTGATACAGTTTGGCCATGTCCCCACACAAATCTCATCTTGAATTGTAGCTCCCATAATTCTCACGTGTTGTGGGAGGGACCCAGTGGGAGGTAATTGAATCATGGGGGTGGTTTCCCCCATACTGTTCTCGAGGTAGTGAATAAGTCTCACGAGATCTGACGACTTTATAAAGGGTTTCCCCTTTTGCTTGGCTCTCATTCTCTCTCTTGCCTGCTACCATGTAAGACGGGTCTTTCACCTTCCACCATGATTGTGAGGCCTCCCCAGCCATGTGGAACTGTAAGTCCATTAAACCTCTTTTTCTTTATACATTACGCAGTCTTGGGTATGTCTTTATCAGTAACGTGAAAACGGACTAATACATATCTCATTGTAGCTTTTATTTACATTTATCTGATGATTAGTGATATTGAGCACATTTTCATACACCTGTTGGCCATTTGTATGTCTTCTTTGGAGAAATGTTTATTTAGGTCTTTGTCCGTTAAAAAACGAGGTTATTTTGGATTTTTCTTTGGTTTGGGGAGGTTTTCTGTCTTTGGCTATTGAATCGTTTGAGTTCCTTATATATTTTGGATATGAACCCATAAACAACTGTATGTTATTCAAATATTTTGTCCCAATCCACAGGTTGTCTCTTCCCTCTGTTGTTTCCTTCGCTGTGCAGAAGCTTTTTTAGTTTGATGCAGTCCTATTTGTCTATTTTTGCTTTCGTTGCCTGTGCTTTGAGGGTCATATCCAAAAATCATTGCCCAGGCCAATGTCATGGAGCTATTTATCTATGTTTTTCTTCAAGTAGTTTTAAAGTTTTAGGTCTCATATTCAAGTCTTTAATTGATTTAATTGATTTTGAGTTGATTTTCGTATGTATTGTGATATGAGGGTCCAATTTCATTCTGCATGTGAAAATTCCATTTTCTCAACGCCACGTATTGAAAACTGTCCTTTACTCACTGTGTGTTTTGGGCACCTCTGTTGAAAATTAATTGATTATAAATGTGTAGGTTTATTTCTGGGCTCTCTGTTCTGTTTCATTGGTTATTGCATCTATTTTTATGCCAGTGCCATGCTATTTTGGTTAGTAAAGCTTTGTAATATATTTTGAAATCAGGTAGTATGATGCCTTCAGCTTTTTTTCTCAAGATTGTTTTAGTTTATTTGGGTCTTTTGTAGTTCTATACAAATTTTAGAATTAATTTTTTATTTCTGCAAAATATTTCATTGGAATTTTGATGGGGATTACATGGAATATGTAGATCACTTTGGGTAGTATGGACATTTTCACAATATTAATTCTTCCAGTGCATGTACAAAGGATGGCTTTCCATTTATTTGTGCCTTCTTCAATTTCTTTCATAAATGTCATACATAGTTTCTGGTGTACAGATCTTTCACTTCCTTGGTTAAATTTATTCCTAAATATTGTATTGTTTTTGATACTATTGTAAATAGAAAGTTTAAAATTTCTTTTTCTAGGTAGTTTGTTCTTAGTGTATGGAAACACAACTGATTTTTGCATGTAAATTTTGAATCCTGCAACTTTACTAAATTTGCTTATTTGTTCTAACAGGTTTGTGGTGGTGTATCTAGGTTTTCTATATATGAGATTATGTTGTCTGCAAACACATACCATTTTACTTCTTTCTCCATGACTCAGATACCTTTTATATATTTTCTTACTTAATTACTCAGGCTAGAACTTACAATACCATGTTGAACAAAAGTGGTAAGGGTGGGAATCCTTGTCTTGTTACTGATGTTAGAGGGAAAGCCTTCAACTATTCACCATTGAGGATGATATTATCTGTGGGTTCATCATACATGGGCTTTACTATGTCGAGGCACATTCCTTCTGTACCTAATTTATAGAGAATTTTTTTTTACCATTAAAAAATGTTGTCAAATTTTGTCAATTTTTTTTTTTTGCCAGTATTGAGATAATGATCTGAATTTTTTTTTTTTTTTGACAGAGTCTCACTCTGTCACCCAGGTTGGAGTGCAGTGGTGCGATCTCGTCTCACTGCAGCCTCTGCCTCCCGGGTTCAAGC
Organism: Homo sapiens; assembly: GCF_000001405.40. Lineage (NCBI taxonomy): Eukaryota > Metazoa > Chordata > Mammalia > Primates > Hominidae > Homo > Homo sapiens. The sequence continues at coordinate 71,759,003 of NC_000007.14, forward strand.
AATTCTCCTGCCCCAGCCTCCCAAGTAGCTGGGACTACAGGCATGACCCACCATGTCTGGCTAATTTTTTGTATTTTTAGTAAAGATGGGGTTTCACAGTGTTATCCGGGATGGTCTTGATCTCCTGACCTCATGATCTGCCCGCTTCAGCCTCCCAAAGTGCTGGGATTACAGGGGTGAGGTGATCTGATTTTTATTCTTCACTCTGTTAATGGGCATATCTTAGTACTGATTTATATATGTTGAATCACCCTTGCATGCCAGGGATATATCCCATTTCATTGTGGTGTATGATCTTTTTGATGTGTTATTGAGTTCAGATGGCTAGTATTTTGTTGAGGATTTTGACTGTAATTTTCTTTTCTTACAGTGTTCTTTCTGGTTTTAGTATCAGGGTAATACTGGCCTTATAAAATGAATTTATAAGTGTACCCTCATCTTCAATTTGTTGAAAGAATTTGAAAAGGGTTGACATTAATTCTATTTTAAATGTTTGGTAGAATTCACAAGTAAATACATCTGACTCTGTGCTTTTCTTTTTTGGGATATTCTGATGACTGATTCAATCTCCTTATTCATTATTGGTCTGTTTTCTATTTCTTTATGATTCAGTCTTTGTAGGTTGTATGTTTCTAAGAGTTTATCTGTTTCTTCTAGGTTATCCAATTTGTTGGTATATAATTATTTATAGTAGTCTCTTATAATCCTTTGTATTACTGTGGCATAAGTTGTAGTGTCTCTTCTCTCAATTATAATTTTCCTTTTTTTTTGAGCTGGAGTCTTGCTCTGTCACCCAGGCTGGAGTGCAGTGGTGTGATCTCGGCTCACTGCAACCTCTGCCTCCTGGGTTCAAGCAATCCTCCTTCTCCTGCCTCAGCCTCCTGAGTATCTGGGATTACAAGTGCCTGCCACCACACCTAGCTATTTTTTTGTTTTGGTTTGTTTTGTTTTAATAGAGATGGGATTTCCCCATGTTGGCCAGGCTGGCTTCGAACTCCTGACCTCGAGTGATCTGCCCACCTTGTCCTCCCAAAGTGCTAGGATTATAGGCGTGAGCCACTGTGCCTGGCCTCATTTCTAATTGTTAAATTTGTGTTTTCTCTCTTTTTCCTTGGTAATTCTAATTAAAATTTGCCAGTTTTGTTTATCTTTTTTTTAAAACTTGACTTTTTACTTTTATTAAACTTTTGTTCTTGTAGTCTCTGTTTCATTTATTGCTGCTTTAATTTTTATTTCCTTCCTTCTGCTGACTTCAGGCTTACTATGTTCTTATTTTTCTAATTCCTTGAGATTTAAATTTGTGTATTTTAGAGCTTTCTTTTTTTCACATAGGTGTTTATCACTATAAACTCCCCTCTTCGAACTTATTTTGCTACATCCCATAAGTTGGCATGTTGTGTTTCAATTTTCATTTGTCTGAAAGTATTCTTTGATTTACCCTTTGCTTTCTTCTTTAACCCATTTGTTGTCCTGGAACATGTTGTTTACACATATTTGTGAAAATTCAAATTTTTCTCTTGACATTGACTTTTAGTTTCATATCAAAAAAGATAGTTGATATAATTTCACTCCTCTTAAATTTGTTAAGATTTGTTTCGTGCTCAACATACGATCTATACCAGAGATGGTCTGTGTACACTTAATAAAAATGTGTAGTCTGCTGCTATTGTATGAAATGTTCTGTACATGTCTGTTTGGTCCACTTGGTATGTAGTGTATTCAAATCTGTTGTTTCCCTACAGAATTTTCAGTCTGGATGGTCTATTCATTGTTTACAGTTCCCTACTATTATTGTATTGTTGTCTCTTTCTTTCTTCAGTTCTATTAATATTTGCTTTATATATTTTTGTGTTCCAGTGTTGAGTACATATATATTTAAAATTAGTATAACCTCTTGATGGATTAATCCTTTTATTATTACACAATGAGCTTCATTAGCTCTTATAACACTTTTTGATTTAAAGTCTATTTTGTCTGATATAAAACAGCCAAACCTGCTCTCTTTTGGTTATGATTTGTGTAGAATAACCCTTTCTATATATATATATATATATATAATATTATATAAATATAAATATATACATATATAAATATATAATATAAATATATATATTTATATATGTATATATTTATTTATATATATTTTATATATTATATATTTAATATATATATAATATATAATATATATTTAATATATATAAACAATATATAAAATATATATTATCTATTATATATTTATATAATAATATATAATACATAATATATATTTATATATAAATATATAAAAATATATAATATATATAAAAATATATAAAAATATATAATATATATTTATATATAAATATATAAAAATATATAATATGTATATAAAATATAGGTTTGCTTGATGGTGTCTCATAAATCTCATAGGCTTTCCCCATTCCTTTTTATTCTTTTTTTCTTTTGTCATCTCTGACTGGATAATTTCAAATGATCTGGCTTTGAATTCATAGATTCTTTCTTCTACTTGGTGGAATCTGCTGCTGAAGCTCTCTATTGCATTTTTCATTTCTCCTATTGTATTCTTCCCCTCTAGATTTTGTGTTTGGTTCTCTTTAATAATTTCTATCTCTTTGTTGAACTTCTTATTTTGTTTATGTATTGATTTCCTGATTTCATTGAGTTGTTAATCTGTGTTCTTTTGTAGCTCACTGAGCCCTTTAAAACAATTATTTTAAATTCTTTGTCAGACAGTTTTGAGATATCCATTTCTATAGGGTCAGTTAATGGAATATTATTGAGTTTCTTTGGTGATGTTTTTGTTCACTGATTTTTCATGTTTCTTGAAGTCTTGCATTGGTGTATTCACATGTGAAGAAGCAGTGACCTCATCCAGTCTTTACTGACTGGCTTTAGAAGAGAAAGACCTTCACCAGTCAGCCCAACTAGTAATTCGGTGTCTCTCAGACATTTTCATTGATACACTCTAGTCCTCTTATTCTGTCTTGAGGAGAAGGTCTTAGGATTGTATGCCTTCTTTCAATTATGCAAAGGCAGCTGGGTGCTGAGAGTGTCCTGTTCATTTTTCCCAGGGCAGTTCTTTAAAATATGCAAGGTTAAATGCCTTTCCCAATCTAGCAGGGCTGAGACAGCTGTCTATCTGTGCTTGTGCATGACCTGCAGATGCTTGAGTGTGCTATCAGTGGGAATGCACTCAGGGTATCAGCTGTGGGAGGAGAAGGGCACACGAAATACTGGGTGAGTGCATGAATTAGTTGGGGAAATCGCCAGGTGCTATGTCCTAACTACGTTCATGGGCAGGCCTCTTGCTGGAGAAGAATGTGAGGTAGTTAGTAGAAACAACAGCCTTTTGTTGAGTTCTGTGTCCCGGATGGTTTGAGCCCCTGTCTCTTATTGTTGCTTTTATCTGGTCCCAGACTATTCAGCTGTGCCAATCTGCTTCGTGTTCTGGATAAGACAAAAAAGAAGTGGACCTCTTGGACAGCATCCCACATGGTTGGGGAAAACAGGCACTCACTATGCTTTCACTTTCCCCTGTGGCAGAAACTGCAGGCCAAGGAGTTCTCTTGGCACTGAGCTGTGCTGCTTTGGGGGTGTGGTGACATGAGTAAAGTGAAATTGTTCTTCTTACCCTTTTCAGTGCATCTATTTTCAGATTTTTTGCTCCAGTGAGGTGCTGGGACCTCTCTGCTGGACTCCCAGGCTCTCACAAATGGACTCTCATCTGTGGGGGGTTCTCAAAATCAGTGTTCCTGTGGGTGAATGAGTGCTGAAAACTCCTATTCTGCCATCATGCTTGTGTCACTCCCCCTCACCTTTTTTTTTAAAGACTTATTACTTTAGAGCAGTTTTAAGTTCACAGCAAAATTGAGTGAAAGGTACAAAGATTTTCCATTTATCCCCTGCCCTCACACATGCACAGACTTTCCCATTATCAACATCCCTAACAGAGTGACATATTTCTTATACTTGATGAACTTACATGGACACATCGTTATCACCCAAAGTCCATAGCGTATATGAGGCTCCATTCTTTATGTTGTATAATCTATGGTTTTGGATATTTGCCCTAAAAATCCTCTGTGCCTTCCCTATTCATTATTATCTTCCCTTTAACTCCTGGCAACTACTGATCTTTTTATGGTTTCCATAGTTTTGCCTTTTTTAGAATGTCATATAATTGGAATAATACATTATAGTCTTTCCAGCTTTGCTTCTTTCATTTACTAGAGTAATATGCACTTGAGGTTTCTTCATATCTTTTTATGGCTTGCTAACTCATTCTTTTTAGTACTGAATAATATTCCATTGCCTAGATGTACCACAGTTTATTCGCTCACCTATTGAAGAAGATCTTGGCTGCTTCCATGTCTTTCCAACTATGAATGAAGCTGCTATAAACCCCCATATGCAGGTTTTTGGGTGGACATAAGTTTACACTTCCTTTGGTTAAATTCCAAGGAACAAGATTCCTGAATCATATGGCAAGAGTATGTTTAGTTTTGTAAAAAACTACGTAACTGTCTTCCAAAGTGGTTGTACCATTTTACATTCCTACCAGCAATGAATGAAAATTTCTTTGCTTCACATTCTTGATGTTGTCAATATTCTGGATTGGAGTTGTTCTTATAGGTTAGTGGTATCTCATTATTTTAATTTGCATTTCCATGATGACATATGATGTGAACATCTTTTCATATCCTTATTTTCCATCTGTATATTTGCTTTTGGGAGGTATCTTTTAAGGTATTTGTCTCTTTTTTTAATTGGGTTGTTTGTTTTCTTATTGTTGCATTTAAGAATTATTTGTATGCTTTGGATAATAGCCCTTTATTAAATAAGTCCTTTGCAAATATTTTCTTCCAGTCTGTGACTTCTTTCATTCTTTTGACAGTGCCTTTCACAGAGTATAAATTTTAATTTTAATGAAGTTCAGCTTATCACTTCTTTCTTTTATGGATTGTGCCTTTGATATTGTATGTAAAAAGTCACTGCTAAACCCAAGGTCATCTAGATTTTCTCATATGTTATCTCCTAGGAATTTTATAGCTTTGTCTTTCACATTTAGGCCTGTGATCCATTTGGAGTTAGTTTTTGTGAATGGTACAAAGTCTGTGACTAGATTCTTTTTTGTTGTTGTTTTTGCATGTTGGTGTCCTGTTCTTCTAGCACCACTTGCTGAAAGACTATTTTTTTCCTCCATGTTATTGTTTGTGCTCCTTTTTAAAAGAAAAGTTGACTATATTTATGTGTGTCTATTTATGAGCTCCCTATTCTGTTCTACGAATCTATTTGTCTATTTTTTTATTAATACCACACAATCTTGATTACTGTAGTGAGGTACTGCCAGTCCTCTTTTTCTCAATTCATAATGTGATGGCCACTATGAGTCTTTTGCTTCTTCATAATAAATTGTAAAACCAGTTTGTCAATATCACAACATAATTTGCTGTGATTTTGATTGGAATTGCATTGACATTATAGATAAAGTTGGGAAGAACTGACATCTTGACAGTATTTAATCTTTATATCTATGAACATGGAATGGCTCTCCACTTATTTAGCTATTATTTGATTTCTTTCATTAGAGTTTTGTAGTTTTCCTCACAGTGATCCTGTACACACTTCACTATATGTATTCCTAAGTATATTATTTTGGGGGGTAACAATGAAAGTGGCATGTGTTTTTAAATCCAGTTTCCACTTGTTTTTTGCTGGCATATAGGAAAGTGATTGATTTTTGTATATTAATCTTGTATCTTGCAACCTTGCTATAATCATTTATTAGCTCCAAGAGTTGTTTTTGTCAGTTATTTCATATTTTCTTCACAGACTATCATGTCATCTGTGAATAAAGACAGTTTCATTTCTTTCTTACCAATCAGTGTACATTTTATTTCCTTTTTATGTCTTATTACATTAGGTAGGACTTGTAGTATGATGTTGAAAAGCAGTGGTGGGAAGGGGTATCCTTGCCTTGTTCCTGATCTTAGTGGGAAAGCCTCATGTGTCTCACCAGTAAGTATGATGTTAGATGTAGGTGTTTTGTAGGTAGTATTTATCACATTGAGGAAATTACTTTTTATTTCTAGTTTACTGAGAGTTTTTATCACGAATAGGTACTGGATTTTGTCAAATGCTTTCTCTGCATCTACTGATATAAACTTGTAATTTTCTTTTTTTTTAACATTTAGAATGTAGTTTATTTAAACACTGTAAATAGAGCCTATAGTAAAAATATTTTATTTAATAATAATAAACTAATTATGGATTTTATTGCTGTCTATGAAACTAGAAATAATAGTTATTGTAATCCTCCCTCCCCCACCCAAAAACCCCACATACTTTTCTCTCAAAAATGTCATGTTGTGAGGCTGAGGATCTGGTGGATGTTGAGAAACTAGAAATGCTTTGACCACACTGGGTCTCCTAATAGCTGGCCATGTACAGGAATAGGTCTTCATCTATAGGTGAAAGGTAATTCAATCTCCTGGTTTGATTTATTTTGGTTTATCATTATTGTTTTATAATTTAAACTTTTATTTTAGGTTCAGGAGGTACATGTGCCGGTTTGTTACATGGGTATATTTCATGAAGCTAATGTTTGGGGTATGAATGAGTCTATCACTCAGGTAGCGAGCCTAGTACCCAATAGGTAGATTTTCAGCCCTGTTCCCCTCCAGTAGTCCCCAGTATCTACCCAATGTGTGGCTCCTACTTATAATTGAGAACATGTGGTATTTGGTTTTCTGTTTCTGCATTAATTCACTTAGGATGATGGCCTCCAGCTGCATCCATGTGGCTACAAAGGACATAATTTCATTCTTTAATGCAGCATAGTATTCCATGATGTGTATATATATCACATTTTCTTTATCCAATCCACCACTGACAGGCACCTAGGTTGATTCCATGTCTTTGCTATTGTGAATAGTGCTGTGATGAACATACGGATGCAGATGTCTTTTTGGTAGAAGGATTTATTTTCCTTTAGGTATACACCCAGTAATGGGATTGCTGGGTTGAATGGTAGTTCATTTTAAGTTATTTGAGAAATCTCCAAAGTGCTTTCCACAGTGGCTGAAGCAATTTACCTTCCCACCAATAAAAATTAGCTTTTCTCTGCAACCTTGCCAACATCTGTTATATTTTAACTTTTGCTTCTTTAGAAAGTGATGTGATGGATTACATTAGTTGATTTTTCAAATACTGAGCCAGCCTTGTGTAACTTGGATAAATTCCACTTGATTGTGGTACATAATTATTTTTACACATTGGTGGATGACACTGGCTAATTCTTTAGAGAATTTCTGCATCTATATTTATGTAAGTTATGAGTTGGTCATTTTTTTCTTGTAATATCTTTTTTTGTTTTGATAGTAGGGTGATGCTGGCCTCATAGAATGAGTTAGGAAGTATTCCCTCTGCTTCAGCCTTCTGAAAGAGATTGCAGAGAATTGTTATAATTTTTACCTTAAATATTGGTAGAACTAACCAGTAAACAAACCCATCTCAGTCTTGTCCATTTCCTCTATGCTGTTATTTTCACAAATTACACCTTTATATTTTATGTGCCCAATTAACACAGATTTATAATTCTTGCTTTATGAGTTGTCTTTTTGGTCAGACAGAAAAAAGAGTTACGAACAAAACATCCATTTATATTGACTTTAGTTTTGCTCGATATAAAATTTTGGTTCACAGTGTTTTATCTCCTTTCAGCATGTTGAATATGTCATCCTAACAGCTTTTGACCTTCTTGGTTTCTGATGAGAAATTAGCTGTTAGACCCAAGCCTGTGTTCCTCAGATGAGGTAATGGAGAGAACAGTGGATATCTCTAGGATAGAGGGCCTCCGAGTCCCCCAAAACCACAGACATGGGTAGTAAAGGAAAGAAAAGGGCACTTATTATGTGAGAAAGGAAAGATGTAGGCCATTCTATTTTAAGCTGGCTGTAGACTCCCCATTGGTTGTAGCTTGGCAGAATTACTATGGTTCAAAAGGTAGCATGTAAGTTAATCATCTGTTGAATTTCTTCTTCAGTCTTTCAGGTTCTGTGGTTATCAGAAATTTTCTTCTCAACTTTTATCTTTGGTTTCCAGTGTTAAATTTTGTCCCTCTATTTGTACATCTTCATGATTATTTTAATGGAAACACAGGAAAGAAAAATAATACATAATAAGAATATCATGAAGCATTTTCATATATATAAGTTGGAGTCTCGCTCTGTCACCCAGGCTGGAGTGCAGTGGTGCCATCTCGGCTCACTGCAAGTTCCACCTCCCAGGTTCATGCCATTCTCCTGCCTCAGCCTCTCGAGTAGCTGGGACTACAGGTGCCCGCCACCACACCCGGATAATTTTTTGTATTTTTAGTAGACACGGGGTTTCACCATGTTAGCCAGGATGGTCTCGATCCCCTGACTTCATGATCTACCTGCCTCGGCCTCCCAAAGTGCTGGGATTACAGGCATGAGCCACCACGCCCAGCCTGAAGCATTATATTTTAACTTCATTTATTTATTTACAGACAGGGTTTTGCTGTGTCACTCAGGCTGGCATGCAGTGGTACAATCACAGCTCATTACAGGCCCTAACACCTGGGCTCAAGCAACCCTCCTGCCCAGCTTCCCAAATAAATGGAACTACAGGTGCACACCACCATGTCCAGCTAATTATAAAGAATTTGTTTTGCAGAGATGGAGCCTTGCTATGTTGTGCAGGCTGGTCTTGAATTCCTAGCCTCAAGCAATCTTCTCACCTTGGCTTTCCAGGTATGAGCCACCATGCCAAACCTGCTTATGTCTTCTTGAATGGCTTTTACACCACAAATACATGATAAAGTAAGGAAAAGCGTAGAGAAAGTTACTACTGATGGAAAAATAGAAGATGGTTCCTGAGAATAGTTGTCCCTCTTTGCTTCATGGAGTGGCAGACAAGAACGGGCTTGTCAGGAAGAGCCAGGTTCTAATCCCTTTGGGTATATACATCTCTGTGGTTCTGCTAAAATATATTTGGAAACTAATCAAGTTGTGTTGTGAGGGTCTCTCATATTTCACATCAGTTTTTACACTAAAGGTTTCTGTCCTGACAAGTGAGTATAAACTGATTCTCAGGTCTTTCAATATGGTGACAGGTGTTAATATGTAGTTACACTTGAAAATGGCTCAATGCTAAGACACTTTCATACAAATTCTGAAGCCTCCAAGCTTGCTGAGAGAAGGCAGGGGCAGTGGTTTTGCCAAAGTGATTCAACTGAAGACATTTTTGCTTTTATTTTTAATTTTTTTTTATTTCCTCCAGTAAAGGAGTTCAAAGCATATTTTATTCTGAAAGTCAAGCAAAGAAAATTCCCTCCAATGACATGGATATTTGATCTTATCCTTCTCAGGCAAGATAAACTATTCTTTGGTGGGGGCTGATACTAAAACTCTTGCCAACATTCTATTTGGGTTTAATAGGATAGATTACCTTAAAGCTTCCTAGAGTCAAAATAAGCAACTAGCAGAGATTGCTGAAGACAGACCTATAAAGTCTCCCAGAAATCATAGAGAAAACTCAAGTTAAGGAGCAAAACCACATAAGTTCAACTTGATTTCAACTCTCACATTTCCTGGAAATCGTGCATGAAAACCCAGGTTTGGCAATAAATCTGTTAAATAATTGAGCTGAGGTCAAGATGAACAATGTGTGTGGTGGGGCAGAGGGGGTCGTGGCTGAGAGTGCAAGTGACCACATTGCTTGGGTGTGCACATTGTTAAAGGGCCTTACAGGAGTTCAAGGCCAGCCTGGGCAACATAGCAAGATCCTATCTCTAAAAAAAAAAAAAGAGTATGATTTTTGTTTTTCTTTTCTTTTCTTTCTTTCTTTCTTTTTTTTTTTTTTTGAGACTGTCGCCAGGCTGGAGTACTGCAACCTCCGACTCCCGGGTTCAAGTGATTCTCCTGCCTCAGCCTCCTGAGTAGCTGGGATTACAGGTGTGTGCCACCACGCCCAGCTAATTTTTGTATTTTTAGTAGAGACGGGGTTTCACCATGTTGGCCAAGATGGTCTCAATCTCCTGACCTCGTGATCCGCCCGCTTCGGCCTCCCAAAGTGCTGGGATGTTTTTCTTTTTTTAATTAGCCAGGGGTGATGGCATGTGTCTGTACTCCCAGAGCTTTGGGAGGGTAAAGCAGGAGGACCGCTTGAGGTCAAGAGTTGAAGGCCAGCCTGAGCAGTACAGTGAGACCTCATCTGTACAAAAATAAAATAAACGTAAATTAGCCAGGCATGCTGGTGGGTCTTAAAGTCTCCACTTTTAGCTACTTGGGAGGCTGATGCAGGAAGATCACTTGAGCCCAAGAGTTCCAGGCTGCAGTGAGCTACGATTATGCCACTGCACTCCAGCCTGGGGGACTGAGCGAGACCCCAACTCTGAAAATGAAATAAATGTATAGAAAGAAAAAGTGGCCTTGAAATGAATCATACTGAACTGAGTGGAGCAATGTTCTTGGAATGCAGTTTTGATCCCACAGCCACTACTGCTGTTTATTTGAACATTGGAAACCACTACAGAGTTTCTCCTTAAATTCTTTGGGAAATCAGTGGATACAAAGGAAAAAATGGCAAAATCAGCAGTAGGATTTCTTTTAATACGGGCAATTGAGGCACCGTGATTTTTCTTTCTTTTCTTTCTTTTTTTTTTTTTTTTTTTTTTTTGAGACAGAGTTTCACTCCATTGCCCAGGCTGGAGTGCAGTGGCTACAATCTCTGCTCACTGCAACCTCCGCCTCCCGGGCTCAAGCGATTCTCCCACCTCAGCTTCCCGAGTAGCTGGGATTACAGGTGCACACCACCACACCCGGCTAATTTTTGTATTTTTAGTAGAGATGGGGTTTCGCTGTGTCACCCAGGCTGGTCTTGAACTCCTGACCTCAGGTGATGTGCCCGCTTTGGCCTCCCAAAGTGCTTGGGATTACAGGCATGAGCCACTGTGCCCAGTCGGCTGTGATTTTTCTCCATGACACTAACCAGTTTACCCTCTCAGGGACGGCTTTGATTTTATTCCCGCCTTCCAGCCTGCCATTGGCATGAAACTCACTCACGTGCCCAGCTCCTCTACAGCCAGGCTGATGCTGGGTCTAAATGATACCAGAGAGCGTGAAGGAAACTGAGCAATTTTCTTGAACACTGGATGAGTCTAAGGTTTGAACAGTGGCAAATACCCAAGACAGGCTGCAGTTTCCTCTCTGGTCAGGAGGTAGAGAGGGAAGGAAGAAGTGGATAAGAGAGGTTTGAATGCAGACTTCTCTGGGTGGGTGCCTTATTCTCTAGTTTATAGAAGGGCAGACAGACTTGTGGCTTGCTTTTCTGCAGCAAAAGCCATACAGCCCAGATATCTCTAGTTGCCTATCTGATATTACCAGCGTGCCCTTAAAGGCATGACTGAAACCAAATGCAATATCCTCCACCTCTCCTGAAACCAGAAGCCTGGAAGCCTGCCAGTAGCACCAAGTAGCCTGGATGTTATACCTGAGTCACTGCCTCCTTCAAGACAGGAGAATCACCAGGGCCCACGGGATCTCCTTCCTCAATTTCTCTTGGGTCCGCCCTGTTCTCTATAACTCACCCTCACTTTCTGAGTTTAGGCCACCCACATTTTCCCCCTGGATCAATGCAAAATCCTCATAACTAGTCTCAGGCAAGTGTGCCAAGCCTTTGGACCTTGGCACACACTGATCCCTCTGTCTGGAATACACTGTCCCCACACTTCCTGATTAACTTTTTTTTTCTTTTTTTTTTTTTTTTTTGAGACGGCGTCTCGCTCTTTCGCCCAGGCTGGAGTGTAGTGGCCAGATCTCGGCTCACTGCAAGCTCTGCCTCCGGGGTTTACGCCATTCTCCTGCCTCAGCCTCCCGAGTAGAGTAGCTGGGACTACGGGCGCCCACTACCATGCCTGGCTAGTTTTTTGTATTTTTAGTAGAGATGGGGTTTCACTGTGTTAGCCAAGATGGTCTTGATCTCCTGACCTCGTGATCCACCCGCCTTGGCCTCCCAAAGTGCTGGGATTACAGGCGTGAGCCACCACGCCCGGCCTCAATGTTTTTGTTTTTGAGACAGAGTTTTGCTCTTGTCGCCTAGGCTGGAGTGCAGTGGTGTAATCTCTAATCTCGGCTCACTGCAACCTCCGCCTCCCAGGTTCGAGCAATTATCCTGCCCTCCCTAGTAGCTGGGATTAGAGGCCCCCACCACGCCTGGATAATTTTGTATTTTCAGTAGAGATGCGGTTTCGCCATGTTGCCCAGGCTGGTCTCAAACTCCTGACCTCAGGGGATCCACCAGCCTCGGCCTCCCAAAGTGCTGGGATTACAGGCTTGAGCCACCGCATCCGGCTCCTGATTAACTTCTTTTCCTGGAAGCTTTCCTGCCTCTCCAAGAATCCTCATACAAAAAGTACAGATGGGATCTGTCTGTGAAGGCGAATTTTATGCATCAACTTGACCACACCACAGGATGCCCAGATTAAACATGTTTTCTGGATATGAGGGTACTGCCAGATGACACCAGCATTTCAATTGGTGGACTGAGTAGGGCAGATTACCCTTCCTAATGTGAGTGGGCATCATTCAATTCACTGAGAGTCTGAACAGAACCTAAAGGTGGAAGAGGAGGAATTTGCCCTTTTTCTTCCTGCCTGCTGAGCTGGGATGTCTCATCTCATCTTCCCCTGCCCTTGGACTGAGATTTACACCATCAGCTCTCCTGGTTCTCAGCCCTTCAGACTCAGAATGGAATTGATACCACGGGCTTTCCTGGATCTCCAGCTTGCAGGGAGCAGATCACAGGATTTCTCAGCTTCCTAAATTGCGTGAGCCAATTTCTCATGATCACTCTCCTTTCTCTGGAGAACCCTGACTACTATAGCATCAATTTCAGGAATAGAGTTACATTCAGAGAGGGAGAGGAAGTGAGAAAGCTAGACTAAGCTGGGGCATTAGCAGCTTCTCTAAGGTTTTCTTTCTTTTCTATTTTTTTTTGATGGAGTCTCATTCTGTCACCTAGGCTGGAGTTCAGTGGCGCGATCTTGGCTCACTGCAACCTCTGCCTCCCAGGTTCAAGCAAGTCTCATGCCTCAGCCTCTGGAGTAGCTAGGATTACAGGTGCATGCCACCATGCCCAGCTAATATTTTGTATTTTTGGTAAAGACAGGGTTTCCCCATTTTTCCCAGGCAGGTCTCCAACTCCTGGCCTCAAGTGATCTGCCCGCCTCAGCCTCCCAAAGTGCTGGAATTACAGGCATGAGCCACCGTGCCCGGCCTCTAAAGTTTTATTTCTTGAAAAAGAAATAGAGCCGAGTGCGGTGGCTCCTGCTTGTAATCCCAGCATTTTGGGAGGTTAAGGCGGGAAGATGGCTTGAGGCCAGGAGTTGAGGACATGCCTGGGCAATATAGCAAGGCTCTGTTCCTACAAAAAAATAATAAAATATTAGCTGAACATGGTGGAGCATACCTGTAGTCCAAACTACTTGGGCGGCTGAGATGGGAGAATTGCTTGAGCCTGGGAGGTAGGGGCTGCAGTGAGCTATGATTATGCCATTGCACTCCAGCCTGGACAATAGAGTAAGTCCCTGTCTCTTAAAAAAAAAGAAAAGAAAAAAGAACAGAAAGAGATAGAGATGAAAATTCAGAAGGAGAGAATGAGAGAGAGATCTCTGTTAAATGTGGGTGATAAGAATGCTGCTGTTATTTTATGTGTTTGAAATATTTCATAATTAAAAATAAAACTTTTAAAATGAGCAATGCTCCCTCTCTTTTATTGCTCTAATCTTGTGTGATGAATCCTTCCATAGGACTTCTGAACCTGGGCTGTTACTTTAGGTTTTCTTGAGTGTTCTTTCTACGAAAATGTAAACTGCCTGTGGGTTGTTTGTATCCCTCCCACATCCTATCAGTGCCTGGCAGATGCTTGCTGGTGACTCGAATGAATCTCTAAGGTGTCTGCTGTGTGGTGAAGGCTGGGGCTACTGGGTGTTGTTGGCAGTCAGCAGATGTGTGTGGAAACCTGCAGAGAGGAGAGAGGAGGAAGTTCTGTAGGGAATTTGGCAGAATCCATCTGGATTAGTCCATTTTCACACTAGTGATAGAGACATACCCGAGACTGGGTAATTTATAAAGAAAAAGAGGTTTAATGGAATCATAGTTCCACGTGGCTGGGGAGGCCTCACAATCATGGTGGAAGGTGAAAGGCACGTCTCATATGGCGGCAGACAAGAGAGAATGAGAACCAAGCAAAAAGGGAAACCCTTTATAAATCCATCAGATCTTGTGAGACTTATTCACTACTATGAGAACAGTATGGGGGAAACCTATGATTCAGTTATCTCCCACTCGGTCCCTCCTACAACACAAAGGAATTATGGGAGCTGCAATTCAAGGTGAGATTTGGCTGGGGACACAGTTAAACCCTATCACCGTCTATTCCAGCCCAGGGGGGTGATGGGTTGAGACTGTGAAGACCTTGGATCCAGCCAGGGGGACTGATGCTGTGGTTCTCAGGGAAGGTGACTGGCTTGTCTCTTGGCCAGAGGAGAGCCCAACTCCATAGCACCAGATGCTGGCTGAAAAGTGCCCTCTGGGACTAGATGAAGAGGCTGTAGATCACCTCCCGTCCCAGCTTATCAGAGAGGATAAAGAATTCCTGGACAGGCCAGAGAAACTAACACAAAAACAAATAAACACATAAACACAGAGCATCCCTGATTTTGCCAAAGGCATGAGAACCAGGGGAAGGAGGATGGGAGGTGGAGGAAATTTTATATTTTAAAAATAAAATATAAAATATACTTTGATATTTATAAAGCACCTGTCCCAGAGAGGAGAGATGGGAAAGCACGAGAATTCTGCACCCCCAGACAATTTGTATATCTGAGCCATGGGATGTCATTTGGTTTGTTCAATTATTTCTTTAGCAAATATTTTCTGAGCACTGTGCTCGGAACAGTGTTAGATGCTGGGAATAAAGTGATGTGCAAAATAAGCTGTCGTGTGGCTAAGGAAGATTATTTCAGCCACGGAGCTGAGGCCATTTGTCCATCCAAGGTCACAGATGAAATGGAGTCTGTGCACAACCTCTCTCCGCCCCACACAGCATGACCCCATGTCCTCCCTTATGTGACAGCACGGTAGACACCTCCAGTGCCCCCTAATCCTCACATTCTGTTTGTTTTGTTTTGTTTTGTTTTGTTTTGAGATGGAGTCTCACTGTGTCGCCCAGGCTGGAGTGCAATAGTGTGATGTCAGCTCACTACAACCTCCACTGCCTAGGTTCAAGCGATTCTCCTGCCTCAGCCTCCTGAGTAGCTGGGATTACAGGTGCCCGCCACCATGCCTGGCTAATTTTTGTATTTTTAGTAGAGACAGGGTTTCACCATGTTGTCCAGGCTGGTCTCAAACTCCAGACCCAGTGATCCACCTGCCTCGGCCTCCCAAAGTGCTGGAATTACAGGTGTGAGCCATCGCACCTGGCCCCACGTTCTGGACACTTCGTCCTCCTAGGAGAAGGCTAGTGGAGAGACCAGAGGCTGGTACTGAAGAGACGCCAGCCAAGAAGAAGCTATTCCATGGGGTTATCGGCGCATAGAGGCTTGTACAGACGGAGGATCAAATATGCAAACCATTCCATGTGGTTCCTGTACGCCAGAGGTTCAAATACATGGAGGGTCAGGTTGGGTTCTCTTTATTCCAGAAGGCTGGGAAGAGTTGAGGCTGAAGGAGACACATACTGAGCCCTTCTCTGGGAGGGTGCACTCATGCCTTGCCTGGCACTGCCTTCTGGGATGCAGGACTTTCTGCTCAAGATACGCGGGGAATAGCAGGGCTCTGCCAGCTGCCCCATCACAACTCGAGGTTCACATATGCACAGGAAGCTCAGCATCTCCATCCCTCCACCTCTTGGGGAATCTTGCTGCTTTTCCTTTCCTTATTGAAGCTGCTGTTTGGGACTTTTTTTTTTTTTTTCTTATGGGGCCTTGGTCTGTCACCCAAGCTGGAGGGCAGTGGTGTGATCATAGCTCATTGCAGCCTCAAACTCCTGGGCTCAAGCAACTCTCTTGCCTCAGCCTCTCAAGTAGCTGGGACTATAGGGGTGTGCCACTACAACTCTATTTATTTATTCATTTAGATGGAGTTTGCTCTGTCACCCAGGCTGGAGTACAGTGGCGCGATCTTGGCTCACTGTAACCTCCACCTCCCAGGTTCAAGTGATTCTCCTGCCTCAACCTCCTGAGTGGCTGGGACTACAGGCGTGAGCCACTATGCCTATTTTTTATTTTTTGAAGACAGGGTCTCACTATGTTGGCCAGGCTGGTCTGGAACTCCTGACCTCAAGCAATCGTCCCACCCCGGCCTCCTAAAATGTTGGGATTACAGGCATAAGCCACCATGCCAGGCTATGCCTCCTTTCTGATGATCCTTCACGGCTTTCTCAAAAGATCCCCACCAGGCAGCCCTTCCTCTGACATTCAAATTCAGTAGGTTTGAGGTGAGCTCTAGGCATCTTTACATGTATAAGGTACCTGGTGATTCTTATAATAATTGCAATTATGTATTGATCTCAATGTCCATCACTGTGCAAAAGTGTTACTAAGACAATGGTCCTTAAACTTGAGGGGGCATCAGAATTACCAGGGGCTTGTGGTTTTGGGCATCGCCAGAATTTCTGATTGCATAGGCTGTGATGTGGCCTGAGAAGATTAACTTCTAACACGTTCCAGGTTCTGCTTCCCTGGGAAGCACATGAGTCAGAAAGAGTAGGAGGAACTCACTGCCCTAGTTCTTCACTCTGTGCAGCTAGAATCACTGGGTGAGCTTTTAAAATCCCTGAGGTCCAGGCTGCATCCCAGGACAATGAAGTCACCCAGAACAATGGAATATCTGGGGGCGGGGCCAAGACAGTGTCAGATTGTATTTTATTTAATTTATTTTATTTTAGAAAGAGTCTCATTCCATTATCCAGGCTGGAGCGTGGTGCTGCGATCATAGCTCACTACAGCCTGGAACTCCTGGGCTCAGAGATCCTCCTGCCTCAGCCTACAGAGTAGCTGGGACTACAGGTGCACGCCTGTACAATTTTTTTTTTTTTTTTTTTGAGATGGAGTCTCGCTCTGTTGCCAGGCTAGAGTGCAGTGGCATGATCTCAGCTCACTGCAACCTCCGCCTCCCGGGTTCAAGTGATTCTCCTGCCTCAGCCTCCTGAGTAACTGGGACTACAGGCGCATGCCACCACGCCTGGCTAATTTTTGTATTTTTAGTAGAGACAGGGTTTCACCATGTTGGCCAGGATGGTCTTGATCTCTCGACCTCATGATCTGCCTGCCTCGGCCTCCCAAAGTGCTGAGATTACAGGCGTGAGCCACCGCGCCCGGCCTACTATTTTTAAAACATTTTTGGAGGAGGGAGGAGGTCTTGCTGTACTGTCCAGGCTGATCTTGAACTCCTGGGCTCAAGTGATCTTCCCGCCTCAGCGTCCCAGAATGCTAGGATTACAGGCATGAGACACTGTGCCTGGTCAACGGTGATATTTTTTAAAAGCTCCCCAGGCAACTGTCATGTGTAAGCATGGTTGAGGACCACTGCCTGGGAGAGGTCTTTGAAGCTCAGCTAACTTCGAGCTACCCTGAGAGCAGAGAAGAAAGATGGGGAAAAAGTGAGAAGCCGAGGTCCCAAGAGCCAAAGTGGGGCTATGAACCCCAGAGAATCTGAGACAGCATGTCATCTTAATATGGCTCCGGAGATTCCTGGTGGTTGGTACCTGCGTCTTTCTTCTTGGTCTTAGGAAACTCAGAAATGAGAGCAGGGTTCTTGCCTGGTGCAGGCAGCCAGGTCCGAGCACAGCTGCAGGACAGATTACCAAAGACCACTGAAACCAAAGGAGCCCTCTGGCCACACACTGAGCTATGCGGGATGTGGAGCATCGCCCCAGGTGCAGAGAACCAGGAGCTACAGGTGTGTACCTGGGAGGCTAGAACATAGCTGTTTCCTGTGCTCAGGGCATGGCCTCATGATTGAAACCTGGGTGTTCTGGGCCGGGTACGGCGGCTCATGCCTGTAATCAGAGCACTTTGGGAGGCCGAGGTGGGTGGATCACCTGAGGTCAGGAGTTTGAGACCAGTCTGGGCAACATGGCGAAAACCCCGTCTCTATGAAAAATGCAAAAAAATTAGCCAGGCAGTAGTGGTGGTGTGCGCCTGTAATCCCAGCTACTGGGGAGGCTGAGGCACAAGAATCACTTGAACCCAGGAGGTGGAGGTTGCAGTGAGCTGAGATCACGCCACTGCACTCCAGCCTGGGAGACAGAGCAAGACTCTGTCTTAAAAAAATAAAGAAGGAAAAGAAACTCAGGTGTCCTGTGTCCTAAAACCAGGGAGTGCAAGACAGAACTTGGCCACAGGTCTGCGGCAGCCACTGCACCGATCCTTTTGTCACTCAAAACAAAGCTCCTTGCTACAGGTAGACCTTCTGGATTCAGCAGAGAATCCACGGGCACAGCTTTCTAACTGCGAATGTGGCTGAACCACAAACCTTTATGTGAAAGAAAAGCCTTTGAATTTCATTTTGCTACGAAATCATGGAAAAATTTCGGCTGGGCGTGGTGGCTGACACCTGTAATCCCAGCACTTTGGGAGGCCAAGGCAGACAGATCACCTGAGGTCGGGAGTTCGAGACCAGCCTGACCAACATGGAGAAACCCTGTCTCTACTTAAAATACAAAATTAGCCGGGCGTGGTGGTGCATGCCTGTAACCCCAGCTACTCGGGAGGCCGAGGCAGGAGAATAGCTTGAACCCAGGAGGCAGAGGTTGCGGTGAGCTGAGATCGCACCATTGCACTCCAGCCTGGGCAACAAGACTGAAATTCCATCTCAAAAAAAAAAAAAAAATTTTTCAATGGGACTGAAAGGTAGGTTCACATCTTAAGGGAGAATTTTGTTTTTCTTTGGACGTTATCCAGTTTGGGCCCACATTGGACAATGAGTCTTTGGGGTTCATTGTCCTCATCTCAGTGTGTCAGGGCTCGGAGACACTGAGTTCTGTGGTCAGTGTTCTGGTGAGCAGTTTGTTATACAGGAAACTCCTGGGGTGAGTTGCCGGGGAAAAAGAATATTCATAACTAGGTGCTAGATTATAATAACAAAAATGAAAAACGGCAGATCAGAGAGGATAAACTCTAAGTCATCATCTCCCTGGAATTTTCCAGAGGCCTTTAATGGAGTGAAAAGCATAAAGAAAAGTGTGCTTTATGCCTGAAACATTCTATTTTTAGGATTTTTAAAACAATAACAGATGCTTAGTGAATTCACCTCATAAGCGACCCCTGAGAAGGTATATAAAATGGAATATTTAAAACAGGGTGCCCGAGAGGACCCTGGAAGATCCAACCCAATGGGAAACTCAGTTTTTTGGCTAAAAACAAGGCATCTGGAAAAATGTGAGATAACATTTTTGAGAAGTGAAGAAAATATGAGATGCTTCATGGTTCTTGGAAACAGGAGGCCAAGTTCTGGTCCAAATTTGGGCAGTGAACCCGTAGTCACAGCTAGTTGGGAGGCTGAGGTGGGAAGATCACTGGAGCCCAGGAGTTTGACACCAGTCTGGGCAATAGAGTGAGACCTTGTCTCTGCCAAAAATTAAAAATAAAAATAAGCTGGGTGCTATGGGATGAGCCTGCAGTCTCAGCTATTCAGAAGACGAAGGCAGGAGGATCACTTGAGCTCAGGAGTTCAAGACCAGCCTGGGCAACATACTGAGACCCCCATCTCTAAAAAATTTTTTTAAATTAACCATTCATAATGGTGCCCACTTGTAGTTTCAGCTACCCAGGAAGCCGAGGTGGGAGGATCGCTTGAACCCAGGTGTTCGAGGCTGCAGTGAGCTATGATTATACCACTGTACTTCAGCCTGGGTGACAGAGGGAGACCCTGTCTCTAAAAAAAGAAAAGAAAAGAAAAGAAATTTTGGGCATGATCTCAGCTAGTGCCCTTAATCAAGTCACTTAACTTTGTCATACCCTGCGTTTCCTTATTTAAGGAAATAGGTGTCTTTTTCTATTTCCAAGAAGCTCAGATAGCATTAAAAATTCCAAAAGCTTAAGTAAAAGCTATGCAATGCCTTAACGTAATGTTGAGAAGAATCTGGCAAACAGAATCCCAAAAGGATGACACCATTAGCTTGGGTGTCTACAAAGTTTTAAAAATTATAATGTCTGCTCCCTAGCCAGAAGACACTTCATAATTCTCACCATATGTTCCACAGTCCACTTACTTGCCCTAACGCCAGTCATCTCTCTTTAGCATCCCAGCAGACAGTGAGATCCCAAGGCTGCTTTCTCACCTGTGGCTTCTTGGTGATGCCAGGCTGTCATTGAACAGAACTGGTTGCCCTTTGGGGTCCCAGGAATGAGTCTCCTGACCCATTTGTAAATCAAACCACACATAATGAATGGAATCTCTTGTCAAAAGAAAAAAAAACTTTTATTTTTTCTATTGCATAAATAATGGTAAATTAGACTCTTTTTATACAGATTATATATTTACAGACAAGTTCGG
This sequence comes from Homo sapiens, assembly GCF_000001405.40. NCBI lineage: Eukaryota > Metazoa > Chordata > Mammalia > Primates > Hominidae > Homo > Homo sapiens. The sequence goes on from NC_000007.14 coordinate 71,779,585, forward strand.
TTAAAGAAAACATCTGGTAAATATGGCAGTTTTCCTTTATACACTAAGATAACATATTAATAATATATACTTCATTTGATCGGTAAGTTGCATGCTAAGTTAATTTATATTAATATGTACATTTTATATAAAGATTCTTTTTTGACTAGTCTGCTGACTTTCTCATCACTTAATAGCAGAAATCATCAACTAATACTGAATGAGAGAAAATGGGATGCTAATGAGGTAAATGGGAAGATGGTGATTGATGAGTTCCGTCTTAGTGGCTTATTCTGGATATGAGAGCTGCCAAGCTCCAATCGTCCTGGCCATGATCAATCCCCAGCTGTGCTTCTATTTACACCCAACATATTGGGGGCAATATACAAAATACAGTCATTTACTACTGTGCTTTGAGAGACAACTCACGTCCCAAGTCTAATGACCGCTACGATCACAGCGACCCCTCCTCCCCATCCAACAGTTGACAGTTCACCAACCCAATGCCTGGACAGACTTTCTGAGTCTAATTTTTCTCCAAAGTCATTGTTTTTGGTTGGTCCTTGGAGAAAAAGCTTCTTCCTGGATTCAGAACTGGGGAAGAAAATCAGACCCCAATAAGGACCCCTGAAAGCTGATTTTGAGCTAAGAAAGAGAAAATATGCTTTAATTTTCCTTGGAGAGAGTTGAGAGCCACTGGCTTGTGCAACTCTCCACCAGGAGCTGACAGGATCCTTTCTTGGCCAATCTAGGTCTTTCCCAGGGAGAACAACAGGGCTTGTTAGAAAAACAATTACTGGGACGTCAGTCTACTTTAGGAAGAGGGAAAAAGAACAAGAATCTAGGGTTTTATGTTGCCTGGGGCAGAAGGGTTAGAGACTTGTGGATCCTGCAGCTGCTCTCTTCCTGCCCTCTCTCCCTGGTCATGGGTGGGCCACATCAAAAGCAGGCACCGCTCAGCACTCAGCATCCCTCATTAGCCATTTAAAGGGCTGTCGCAGGTAGCCGGTCCCCCGCGACTGTTAATCTAATTCCTCACAATCACCAAAGATCACGACTCTCTTCTTTCTGGGGTATTAGGAATAATTACAAGCTACTATCAACATATACTGGAAGTGCTGTTATAGTGGCCAGAAAAAAAAAAAAGCAAAGAAAGAAATAACTGGAAATTGTGCTCTTTATTCAGTAGCTTTCAGTAAGGCTTTCTCAAATGGAGAAACAAGCATCTCTTCTTGGAATCTGCCATTGTTTCCTCCAACTTTCTCCTGAATTCTGATTCACATGACCTTTGGGGAGGTGACTGACTCCCTTTATTTTCACACTTGCCAAGACAGACAGAAAGCTCATCTTTGATGCTCCCTCGAGTCAGCAAGTCCTTAGAGAATAAACAAAACCTCTTGCCTGCAAGCTGTGACACATTTAACATACACCAATTTGCATTGTTTCATTTACAGACAGCGGACACCAAAAGAGAGACTTTATCACAACTGCCTCTTGGGACTTGTGTTCAAAAAGGAGCTCCCAGTTCCTAGTGCAATTCATGGGTGAAATCCAGACCCTCTCAGTAGGGAGCATTCACTCCATCTTGTTTCAGACAAAATAGATGGGAGGGCTTGTCTGGTTTACTTTTCCTCTGGCTTTAGAGAAACCTGAAGCCAGGGAGGAATGTCACTCAACATAACCTAGATAGTGGGTGGAAGAGTCCTGGCTCCTGGGCTTTCTCCAGCTGGTAGTACCGTCCACACTTTGAGTTCTTTCTTCTGCTCTCCTGGCCTCAGTTTAACAGGTCTGAGAGCCCTGAGAGAGGCATTCTGGGCTTGACAGATGTCAGCATCCTCCCAGGAATGGCGAGCTACCAGCCTGCTCTTGAAATGCACAGAGCCTTTCGTGTGGATCAGACTGATGGGCAGCCCCATGGCACTCAATGGCCTGCATGTTTCCAAAGTAGGCCAGCGATCCAGAGAAGACCTTCAGAGGACAGCATCTGCAGCCCTTTAAGAACTTTCTTTGTCTCCCTCAGGTCCAGGGATGGAGCAATATCGCAGTTGCACCTTGCATTCCCTGGAATATTCCTTCCTAATTAGCCTGCTCTTCTATCCCACTGGAAAATTCCAGCCTCTGCATCCTTTCCACTTGGACAATAACTTCTAACAGTGCGAGAAACACTAGTTTGAAAGCCAACCCATCACACCTGAGGAAAAGAGATGGGTGAGTCTATGCCCGGCATGGGGGTTGTGCTCAACTGATGAACTACCCCAAGGTCAGGGTAGGGGCAGGTGGCCGGGCAAGCTTTTCCACTTTCAGAGGACTGTCTTGTGGGTGGGACTGGAAAAACCTCATTCTTTGTGATATATTTCCAGTCAACGGAATAAAATTAATTTTGCCTTGGAGACGTTTTGAACAGTATTGTCATGTCTCTCGAGACCCTATGAAGAGTCCCAAATGAATATGAAGGAGAAACCACAGCTGTCAAAATGACCATATGCATTAGCAATGACCATAGGATACTAAGAGAAATGCTTGGCTTGTTGGTGTAATTGATCTCATTGCTCCAAACCAATCATAGAGGCTGGATATTTGTTCCCCCCAAATTTCATGTTGATCTCCAGTGCTGGAGGTGGGGCCTGCTGGGAGATATTTGGGTCATAGGGACAGATTCCTCATGAATGACTCGGTGCCCTCCCTGTAGTAATGAGTGAATTCTTACTTTATTAGTTCATGCAATTGCGGGTTGTTAAGAAAAGGAGACTGGCACCTCTTCTCCTCTCTCTTGCTCCTGTTCTTGCTGTGTGACGTGCCTGCTCCCCCTTCACCTTCCACCATGGGTCAAAGCTTTCTGAGGTCTCACCAGAAGCCAAGCAGATGTTGATACCTTGCTCAAACAGCCTGCAGAACTGCGAGCCAAATAAACCTCTTTTCTTTATAAATTACCCAGTGTTAAGGTATTCCTTTATAGCAATGCAAAACGGACTAACATACACCTATTTATGGCAGGGCCAAAAAATTGAGGACAATCCCGAGTGACTTAGTCAAAGCAAGTATGAAGTGAAGCTGAACAGTTGTGACACTCAAATTATCATGGAGACTGGGTCGGTAAGAGGCAGCCCAAATTCTCCTCTATGTTGCTGTCACTTTAAATAATTTAAATTGAAAAGTCTTAGCTGGTGAATAATGTTTCTTTTTTAAAATTATTTTTTGAGATGAAGTTTTGCTCTGTTGCCCAGGCTGGAGTGCAGTGGCGCGATCTCAGCTCACTGCAGCCTCCGCCTCCAGGGTTCAAGTGATTCTCCCTCCTCAGCCTCCAGAGTAGCTAGGATTACAGGTGCCCGACACCATGCTTGGCTAATTTTTGTATTTTTTTTTTTTAGTAGAGATGGGGTTTCACCACGTTGGCCAGGCTGGTCTTGAACTCCTGATCTTAAGTGATCCACCTGCCTTGGCCTCCCAAAGTGCTGGGATTATAGGTGTGAGCCACCGCACCTGGTCCTTAATGCTTCTTTTCTATTTCAGATAGATTCTCCCCTTCTGGGGCAGTTGAGCAATCAGGTGTGGAGGGAAGATGGCTATGGTAAGGCCTTTAGGTTACGGACTCTTAGCTCCATGGGGATCACTGAAGAGGCCAATGAGAATGTTCTGATTTGAGGTCTTTTAAGACAGATGTTCTTCAGGGGTTGCAGCTCTGCAGACCTCCTGGTTATACAACCAGGATGTGTGACGTGCTGAAGTCTAAAAGTTTCATCTCAGTTCATCTGTACCATCACGGTGATATAGGAAAAGGGGCCCTTCCTAGCAGGGGAATTCCAGACCCCCCCTGTTATCTTGGTGAAATGGTAAAAAATGTAATGACTATGGGCCTTTGGAGAAATAGTGTGGCAAAATGACCCAATAGGGTTTGAGACCTGCAGTTAGGAGGAGCAGAGCTTAGCAGCTTCTGCAAGGAAGGAGAGCAAGGACACAGTAAACACAGATCCCAGGACATGTGACCACACGTGGCCAGGCCAGCCCAAACCAGGGAGCTGTCCTGGGTGGTTGCATCCTTCATTTTCTGTCCATGCCCTCATAGGGCCTCAGGGAAACTGCTAGATTTAGGTGAAGAGCAACGTGCAAAACTGTCTTTGATTTATGACCTGAGTCTGGACTTAAACCGAGTACGAGGCATTTGGAATAAAAGGTAAACTTTTCTCTCTCAGTTCTGAAACATATCGCTTTATGATTCTATGAATGGGAAGTTGGGAGGGGCATTATTGTCAAAAGCAGCTGTCCATTTTTCATAGGCTCTTTTGGATAACTGCAAGATCGTAGACCATTTGTCAAGTGAGATTTGAGACAGGGCAGGTATTGAGAAAGAAGACTCATAAGACACATCTTGTTCTCTGCAAATAAAACACCCAGACATTTCTGAAACCACTGGGTTTGCCTAAGACCACACCTAAACCTCAGTTCACCAAAGTTCACGTGTTTGGCTTGCAGGAGTGTGCTCAACAGGCAAACCGATACTTTTAAAGATTGGAGGCTTAATATCTTGTTTGCCTTCCAAGATGATATTTCTGTCAATTTACCTAGATTAAGGGGTCCTGGCTCTGGACCCTGGGAGAAGGGGCTGGGAGTAGGGATGGGGAGATACCAGGGCTTACAGGTAGCTCCTGCTCTCCTGAGTAAATAGAAGGACAAGTTCAAATGCCAGACAAAAAGGCAGAGATACCACCCAGATTCTTTAAGGGTAATTGCCTCTCCCAGCAGGATACAGATGCAGAGAGTCAGGTTGCACTCAGGCTGAATTGGAGTGTTCTTTAAGAAAATGTTCCCTATTTTTGTGTGCCTTGGCAAACTCAGGGTGGAATGCAAGGGTTGCCATGGTAATATCCCTCTTTTTTTTTTGTCAGATCAGTCACGTGGGACCCAAGCACATTCTGGAAGCCATTGCTAATAGTCCCGATGCTAGATTCTGTCTGGGGGCTTTGTGGGTATCTGGAAAGGTGGGGCGCAGCTTCTTTGGGGATCAAGGGGGTCAGGGTCCATTTCCCCTTCTCTCCCAAGGAAAATGCCTTCTTGCTCATCACTTGTGCTTTCCAGGGGGGCGGCGGGGGGTACCTGCTCTTGCAGCAAGAATGAGCCAACCTGTGTTTGTCAATCACTCAGCCTCCACACAGTTGGGCAGCCAAGGTCACTGGTTCCTAAGTCCGGAGGACAGAATGAGGGGTGAGCTATTCCCTCTCAATTCCTGCGGAAGTCACTTCCAGCTGGGGCTACATGGCATCCCTTGGGCATGGGAGACCAGGACCTTCTGGAATCTTCAGCCGTGAGCTTCATAGCCACCATGATGGGGACACTGACTGGCATGGGGCCCTAGCATAAAATTTGTGTGAACAGGGCTGGGAGTTGGCTGCCTGACAAGGAAGGCTTCCCTATACCCAAGACAAACTGTCCAAGCAAAGCAGCCAGGGTGCAAGTCACCGGGACAAACTCTGAGCTCCTGAAGTCTAAGGAATGCCGCTAGCTCAGGGCCGTCTCCACGCACTGTGTCCTTCAGTCCCTGGGTGCCACATGGGGGGTTACCACAGTGGGAAGATAACTCCTAGGCTGTCAGAAAGAATTCTGTGTCTTCCTTCTTGCCATCTCTCTCTAGCAGTCTGCAGAGGAATGCATTCTCCTAGATTTTCCCCTGGGGAGGGTGGGCTTGCTTCCAGGTCACTGGGAGCAAGAAGAAGGTCACCGTTAGGAAAGGAATCCTGCAGCCTTTCCAGAAAACAGGATGGCGGCGCCTCTCCAGAACTCCTTTTCCTCCCTACTCCTGCACAGTGGCTAATCTCTCTGCCAATGAAATCTAACCCTCACCTCTTGAAGGGTCTCTGTTCTCCAGCAGGAGGCAGAAGAACTCGCAGAAAAGCCACCTTCAAAGAAGTACTCATTTTCTGCCCTGAAGACCAGCCTCAGCTGCAGCATTTCAGTCCCCTCTCATGGAGGAGGGGGCTTTGAAGAATCATCCCTGGGGTTTCTACCCAGTCTACTTAGGGTCCTGCACCCCTATGGATGTGGTTGGGTGGTTCGGGGGTCAGGGAAAAACAGGAAAGTATATCCCTTCAAGATCTGCTATGCCCTCCCATCTAAGTCCAGATGGGAGAGGGCAAACTGCCCAGGGCAGAGATTAAGGATGAAGTTGTTCGATGTATTAATATTCTGCATTTGGACCGGTTCTAGTTGAGAATTCCAATCCTAAGGGGACAGTGGTGAGTCAGCCAACAGGAGCAGCAGAAGGGGCAGGCATGCAGTGTGCAGGCAGCAGGGCAGGTAAGGGGGAAAGGCAGGTTGCTGCCTCCTTGGTCTGGCCTTGCTGGGCTGAACTCCAGGAAGTTTTGCAGAGGGACCTGTGATCCCCCAGGCTCTTGGGAGCTTACATCTGCTCCCTCCTCCATATTATGGCTGAAGCCTTAGTTTTACTTGTGCTCATCAGGAATATTCATAGTCTCCCACAGAGGGAAAGTTTCTACAGCTGCCCTCAGGCTGTTGCCAGTAGCACTTGCAGAGGTGAATGAGAAAACTTTCATTGGAGACCTTGGGTGCTCCAAGTCTGAAAAGGCAGTAGGGAGAAAGCTGAGCAGGAAGACAGGGAGGGAGATCAGGAACACACAACGCACCAAAAAATCCTACCCACTGCATAGAGACAAGAAAGCTTCTGGTGGCTCGCTACTGGAAGGGGGGAAGCATGTAGTTTTAGGATGTAATCAAAAGAAGTAGGAGCAAGGTAATTCCATTACAAAATAAAGACCTGAGCTTGGAAAAGTACAAAGGGAACTATTACATCTAGAGATTACTGGCTAATCTGACTACACAAGCTTGAATTCATAGTAGTGGCTGACATCTAGGAAAAGTCAGGAAATTACAGACTTGGAATGGTGTTGAAAACAGATCCTTGGATTCAGTTCTCTTCCCCAACGAAAAGTATTCTGCAGGCAGGAGTAAATTACCTGTTCTGTTGGCTAAACTCATAAACATCTTTTCCCCCAACCTCCTGAAAATGAGTCAGTTGCAGAATCTGAAGGCCAGAAGATCTTATGTGAAAATACAGTCGTTTGATCTCTCCATCTTTCCATTTTGGATTGCATTTCTCTTTTTAGCTGGGGAAGACTAACAAAGCAAACTCCAAGGTAAGGGAAAGGTAAGATGCACAAGGACCTTAACTTACAAAGGTCATCCGGCATAGAGACGTGGTGGGTCTCCATGACTCCAGATGGCTGGGTGTGGGTATCAAAACCTCACCGCCAGTCCCAGTCCCCTCCCCCCTCAACCTGCCTCACCCCTGCCCCAAAGAAGCAGGGATGAGTGTGGGAGGGAGGACAAGCTTATATTAGGTGTAAGCGATTAGGGAAGAATGACATCACACACGAAGAAGCCAAATATATATATCTGTCTATGTTATAGAGATGCCCACGATTATGCTTCTTTTTTTCTCTAATGGCAGCACAGGCGGCAAAGCTGGGAGAAAGGCTCTCTGCAGGTTCCAAAATGCTGGTGCGGGATGGGCTCTAGGAACAGAAAGCCAAGTGCCGACGGAAACTGAGAGCACCCCAGCTCTACCAATGGCAGTCCTCTAGAAAAGGCAGTAAGAACGGAAGCGGTGAGGGGTGCAGCTGAAGACCGCCAGGGCTGCACCCCACTTAATGGCTTTCCCCTCATGCCTTGGGGGGGTCTCCACTGGGTGGAGGAAGGAAGCCAGGGTGGGATGGAAAGCCCCCTCTTCTGTGGCAACCCTGAAGTCAGCCTCTTGGAACTGAGGGTTGACCTCAGCAGAGAGTCTCCTGTTGACCCTTGGGTTGAAAGAATGGGGAGTGGAGGTGACTGTGTGTTCATGCCTCTCTCTTGCTCTCTCACCATTATACCTGGATGGCTGCTGGAATTCCGAGATGAAGATGAAGTTTTTCTCTAGAGTTATGACTGATGGTTGAAGCAATAATTTGGAAATCCTGGCGATTTATTGCATTAGAAAACAAAACCATTAAAGCACTGAAGACAGCCCTTTAGTGTCCCTGCCAAGGAGATGAAGCTGAAGTGCAACCCCAGTTGCACTCAACCTTGGGTTCTTTACTGAACGGTTCCATCGTCCGCATCCATCCATAGTCCATAGGTCCGTGTCTGCTGTGTGGAGGAAGAGTCTGCCCGCACGGCATGCACATGCGCGGTGAGCTGCAACACAGTGTGGCTGGCGGGAGGCTGCTACTCCATGCCGCTCCGGAGTATCTGGTTGGCTGCAATCAGCATGACACTGATGATGAAGGCCATAGCAAAGGCGCATATGAGGCTCTTCCGGACGCAGGTCTGTCTGTTCTGCTTCTGGGAATGCACTGGTGGTGGGAGAAGCAGGTGTGGGAAGAAGGAAGAGGGGTTGGGAGAAGAGAGAAGAGAGAAATAACACAGTGAGATAGGTTGCAACTCTTCCTCAACAGGCCAGCAGTGAGTCCTATAGGATGAGACTGGTCAAATCAAGTTGACAGGCATTTATGGGACCACTGCCATGGAGACTGCATAATACAAAATGCCTTCTGGTGAAAGGTATGAAATGAGAAAACTTCTATAACAAGAATCATGATGGATGTGATGATCAGAGTAAGGCCTAAATTTTCTGATAGAATAGAGCCAGAGTGACTTTCAGAGCCCGGAAATATGGGACATTCCAGGGTGAGTTTCATAAAAGACATCATCCAGTGACTGCTGTATCCATTTCTGCAGCTGATACAAACAGAGTGGAAGTTCAGATGCTTCCCTACACCTCTGTGATCAGCTGGGTGCAACTTACCTTTCCTGGACGTTTTCTTGGGTTTTGCTAATCACCATAAGTGACTTCTTGCATTATTTCAGACATACACATAGTGGTTCTACAGTGGGGTCGTTGGACAAGCAGCATCCCCATTACTAAGAGGTTTTTTTTTGTTGTTTTTTTTTTTTTTTTTAGAGAAAGTGTCTTGCTCTGTCTCCCAGGCTGGAGTGCAGTGGTACTACTGTAGCTCACTGCAGCCTTCTTAACCTCCTGGGCTCAAGCTGTCCTCCCACTTCAGCCTCCTGAGTAGCTGGAACTACAAGTGTGTGCCACCGTGCCTAATTATTATTATTTTTTTTGATACTGGAGTCTCTCTCTGTCACCCAGGCTGGAGTGCAGTGGCATGATCTTGGCTCACTACAAGCTCCACCTCCCAGGTTCATGCCATTCTCCTGTCTCAGCCTCCTGAGTAGCTGGGACTATAGGCGCCCGCCACCATGCCCGGCTAATTTTTTGTATTTTTTAGTAGAGATGGGGTTTCACCACGTTAGCCAGGATGATCTCGATCTCCTGACCTTGTGATCTACCCGCCTTGGCCTCCCAAAGTGCTGGGATTACAGGCGTGAGCCACTGCGCCTGGCCGACTAATTTTTTTAATTTTCATTTTTGTAGAGATGGGGTCTTGCTATGTTGCCCAGTATAATCTCAAACTCCTGAGCTCAAGCCACCCTCCTGCCTCTGCCTCCCAAAGTGTTGGGATTACAGGCATGAGCCACCATGCTTGGCCACTGGGAGGTTTTTGAAAATGCAGATTCTTGGCCAGGTTTGGTGGCTCTCATGCCTGTAATCCCAGCATTTTGGGAGGCTGGGGTGGGCAGATCACCTGAGGTCAGGAGTTTGAGACCAGCCTGGCCGACATGGTGAAACCCCATCTCTACTAAAAATACAAAAATTAGCTGGGTATGGTGGCACATGCCTGTAATCTCAGCTACTTGGGAGGCTGAGGTAGGAGAATCGCTTGAACCCGGGAGGCAGAGGTTGCAGTGAGCTGAGATCAGGCTACTGTGCTTCAGCCTGGGAGACAGAGCGAGACTCTGTCTCAAAAAAACATGCAGATTCTTGTCCAGCCCCCACCCCAGATTTGCTGCATCAGAGGCTCTGGGAGTGGGGGTCCCCATCTGTGTTTAACAAGCCCTCCGTGAGATCTTGGATGCTGCTGAAGTTGGGGAAGTGGGGATTGCTTGCTCTGGGCAGCACCAATGTGAAGATAGGGGGGCACCAAACTCTCTTAGACATGCCAGAGGCAGGGTGTCCTGCCTCCAGATACCACGGCCCCACAGGGTTTACTTTGGGTCTAGGGGTTTCGTTCTCTTAATCTTTCTGTTGTGCCAGGTCTTGCACTTTCATTTTTATAACGCCCATGAGAAACCATGTATAGGTCTCAATCAAAAGGCATGAATTAGCGGATATTAATATGGGCCAGAAACAGATAAATGGAAATAACAAGAAAAAGCATTAGCCTGTAATTGCAGCACTTTGGGAGGTCAAGGCAGGAGGATTGCTTGAAGCCAGGAGTTTGAGACCAGCCTGGGTAACATAGAAAGACCCTGTCCCTACAAAAAATAATAAAAAAAAAATTTAGCTGGGTGTCGTTGGTGCATGCCTATAGTCCCAGCTAGTTGGGAGGCTGAGGCAGAAGGATCGCTTGAGCCCAAGAGCTCAGGGCTGTGGTGAGCTGTGGTCACACCACTGTATTCCAGCCTGAGCCACAGAGGAGTGAGACCCTGCAGGAGAGAGAGAGAGAGAGAAGAAAGAAGAAAGAAGAAAGAAAGAAGAAAGAGAAAGAAAAAGAAAAAGAAAGAATCAAAGAAAGAGAAAGAGAGAAACAAAGAAAGAAAGAAAGGCAGGCGAAAGAAAGAATGAAAGAAAGGAAGGAAGAAGAAAGAAAGCAAGAAAGCAAGCAAGAAAGAAACGAAGGAAGGAAGGAGAAAGAAAGAAGAAAGAAAGAAAGAAGGAAAGAAAGAAAGAAAGAAAAGAAAGAAAGAAAGAAAGAAAAGAAAGAAAGAAAGAAAGAAAGAAAGAAAGAAAGAAAGAAAGAAAGAAAGAAAGAAGCAAGCAAGCAAGTGGGCTTTGATGAAGTGCATCAAGGATCCCAGGCATTGCATTACCTAAGGGGAAACTGAGTGGATGTCAGAATGTCTTTTCCATCTCCTCCTCCTTTTCCTCTACACTTTCTCCCTTGCTGTCTGTCCTGCAGTTGTGCACGGTTCCCCAGATAGCTTAGAGGAGACATCTGTGCCCTTGAGGTCGGCAGGAAGCCACCTACTCCAGAGCAACTGGCTGAAACAGCAGCACCAGCGCCAGCTGAGAGTTTGATACAAATGAGATTCTCAGCCCTATTGCAGAATTACTGAATCAGACCTCTGGGGTGGAGGTTGGGAATTTGTGTTTTAATAAGCTCTCCAGGCAATTAAGCAATTGCTAGACATCCACTCGGGAGTTTCTGATTCAGTAGGCCCGGAGTAGGATGGAGCTGCCGGGGACAGGAGGGGTGTGTGTGTGTGTTGTTGGGGACATGAAATCAGGGGTGTTGAAGAAGATGGCTCTTTACATTCAGCTGTTAAAGAAGACTGCGTAGCAAAAGAAAAAGGTCAAGGTTGTGTTCACATGCCTTTAGAGAATATAAAAATCACTCAAGCTCAACTACCTCTCTCCCTTGATGTGAAGTGGCTCATCCAAACTCCTGGTATTAATACCAGGTAAGAAGTAGGAAGCTGGCCATATTTCCAAAGGCAAACAGAATTTTCTCCAAGAGAAAGGGTCCCAAGGGCTTGTCAAAGGATCTCTAAAAATGGCATTGATCTTTTTTATGGCTGTGTAGTATTCCATGGTGTTTATGTACCACATTTCCTTTATCCAATCTACCATTGATGGCCATTTAGGTTGATTCCATGCATGTGTCTTTATGGTAAAGCAATTTATGTTCCTTTAGATATATACCCAATAATGGGATTGCTGGATCGAATGGTAGTTCTGTTTCTAGCTCTTCGAGGAATCGCCACACTGCTTTCTACATCCTTTACAGGAACATTAATGGTGCTGGAGGCCATGATCCTTGGCAAACTAACACAGGAAGAGAAAATCAAATACCGCATGTTCTCACTTACAAGTGGGAGCTGAATGATCAGAACACATGGATGCAAAGAAGGGAACCACAGACACTGGGGCCCACTTGAGGATGGAGGGTAGGAGGAGGGAGACGAGCAGAAAAAAATCACTATTGGGTTCTAGGCTTAGTGCCTGGGTGGTGAAATAATCTGTACAACAAACGCCTGTGACACGAGTTTACCTACAGAACAAACCTGCACATGTATCCCTGAACCTAAACTAAAAGTTAAAAAAATGGCATTGAGGCCGGGCACGGTGGCTCACGCCTGTAATCTCAGCACTTTGGGAGGCCGAGGCGGGCGGATCACAAGGTCAGGAGATCGAGACCATCCTGGCTAACACGGTGAAACCCTGTCTCTACTAAAACATAGAAAAAAATTAGCCGGGCGTGTTGGCGGGCGCCTGCAGTCCCAGCTACTGGGGAGGCTGAGGCAGGAGAATGGTGTGAACCCGGGAGGCAGAGCTTGCAGTGAGCCGAGATCGCGCCACTGCACTCCAGTCTGGGAGGCAGCGAGACTCCGTCTCAAAAAAAGAAAAAAAAAATGGCATTGAGCAGGAAGGTTTCTCCAGAAAGCCAGGCTTCAAGAAAATGCACTTCAAATGCTGGGTGTGGTGGACAGAGCTGCGACCTGGCACTAATTCATGCGTTTCCTGATAATTATTGAAGATTATCATGCATTTGCATTGTACTATATTTTTGTATATTTATTTACTCTTGCCTCTTGCTGTCTATTATTTAGAAGTCTGTAATAGAAGACTATAGGTCAGCCTGGGATAAACTGTAAGTCTAAGATCTGACTTACAGTGACCCCAGTGAGCCAGCCGCAACCCCCAGCCCCCTCACCAGTATGATACTTGTGAATTATTTCGCCATGGTCTCTTAGGTCTCATCTCATTATCTTTATTCCTTCTGAATCCACTGATTTCTGCTTCCCTGGGGCGATTTAAAGTATATGTGGCTCAGCTTTCTTCTTGCCGATTGAAGCTTCCACCTTTTGGCTACTACAAATAATGCTGTTTAGGTGTGGGTCTCAGAATCTTACAAGTTCTTACCTGGAGGAAGACAATATCCTTGGGGTAGAGATGGGCTTTATCCCATCAGTAGGCAAATGTACAAAGATACCAAGTCCCAGGAAGGAAAAAGGAGGTGGCATTTAAGAAGGAAAGGGCCAAAGAAGAAAATAAGACGAGAATGTGGAAGTAGCATATCCTAACACTTTCTGGCTAATTTATTCTGAGTAGCTTCTTCTCCTGGAAATGTTTCCGAAGGCAGCCCTTTTCCATTCCATCTTGAGGGCCTGCGAAAGCATTAGGAAGAGAAACATTGCATGACTGGGCTGAGGGAGAAAGTTTTTGCTGAAGCTCTTCTTCGTGAAGGTCAACCAGGAAACAAGGTTACCAGCAACAGGGATTATCCCCCAGGAGAGCGGGGCTGCAAGTTTGATCTAAAAATCCATCCAAGCAGTAGGAAGGGAGAGATAAGGACTGAGCAATCGCCTGGAGAATTCACACCAATGTCCTATAAGCAGAGAGGAGCAGAGCCGGGTGCGGTGGCTCACGCCTGTAATCCCAGCACTTTGGGAGGCTGAGGTGGGTGGATCACCTGAGGTCAGGAGTTCGAGACCAGCTTGGCCAACATAGTGAAACTCCGTCTCTACTAAAAACACAAAAAATTTGCTGGGCATGGTGGCGGGCGCCTGTAATACCAGCTACTAGGGAGGCTGAGGCAGGAGAATTGCTTGAACCCAAGAGGCAGAGGTTGTAGTGAGCCGAAACTGCGCCATTGCACTGCAGCCTGGGCAACAAGAGCGAAACTCCATCTCAAAACAAAACAAAAAAAAAGCACAGAGGAGCTTCTAGATCATTAGTGGATTGTAGCAGCTCTGAAATAGACCTTAGTCTGAGTCAGTACCCTGTGCTTTGAAGAGAATCATTTTACACCACATTCTGACATCATCACGAATAGTGTGGCTAAGCAAAGAGGAATGACTTTGGAGCCAGACCAAAATGTGGATCATGATTCTCTGTGTGACTTTGAGCAAGCAAATTTCCCTAGGCCTCAATTTTCTCATCTATAAAATGGGATAATAAGATCTATCTTTGTTGGGCTGGGTGTGGTGGCTCACACCCGTAATCCCAGCACTTTGGGAGGTTGAGGTGGGTGGATCGCCTGAGGTTAGGAGTTTGAGACCAGCCTGGCCAACATGGCAAAACCCCATCTCTACTAAAAATACACAGAAAAATTAACTGAGCACGGTGTTGTGTGCCTGTAATCCCCGCTACTCGGGAGGCTGATGCAGGAGGATCACTTGAACCCAGGAGGCAGAGGTTGATCATGCCACTGCACTCAAGCCTGGGTGACAGAGCAAGACTGTCTAAAAAAACCAAAAAAAACAAAAAGAAACACATACAAAAAAGATCTATCTTCTTGTGGAGATTATGCATATAGGAAGGAACTGGAAAATTGTTTGTGCCCAATGAATGCGAGCTCCCTTGTATAAACCTTTTAAATGCTCCTATTTCTTTATTGAACACCAGCCTCAGCGGGTTGGGTACTGCGTTAAGTGCTTTTTTTTTATGTGCAGAGGTTGCATAGTGGCAGATACCATGTGTGATGGGTGTGTTGTCTTCATTTATTGCGTGAGGAGCCTGAATTCCAATAAGTGAAGTTCAAGGTCATTTGGGAAATGGCAGAGGTGGGATTTGAGCTGAGGGCTTACTGTTACGCCCAGGTTCAAAACTTGTGTACAAATTCTTTTTGGTCTCCTGCATAGCAATAAACAGGTCCAAAGAAAATGCACTTCAAACACCGAGTGTGGTGGACAGAACTGCGACCTGGCACTAATTTATGCATTTCTTGGTAATTATTGAAGGTTATCATACATTTGCATTGTACTATATTTTTGCATATTTATTTACTCTTGCTGTCTATTATTTAGAAGTCTATAATAGAAGACTATAGGTCAGTCTGGGAAAAACTGTGAGTCCAAGATCTGACTTCTTCTCCTAATTGCCACTTAGAAGCCCCGGACAAATGAAGGAACTTCTGCGAGCGTCAGTTTCTCTCTCTGTAAAAGGAGCTAATAATTGCTCTGCTCATCTCAAGAATTATTTCAAAGATCAATGAGCTAATCAAAGTGAAAGCTACATCCAACTGTAAATTGCCAGAGAAATACAAAATTTCATTCTTGCATCCCCTGAGGACAGGAGGAAACCCCTGCTGGTTTTTCATCCTATTCCCTGCAGCCTACAGCACGAGGCTGAGACTAACTCAGATGCTCCCAAATCTTTGTTTTCATCTCTTCCTTCATCAAGTCATTCAGAACTGCAGCTAGACTCACCTTTCCCTTCCTGCAAAGGCCCCCGCTGATGGGAGAAGCCTGTTCCAGCCCCTAAGCTCAGCACATAAGACCATAGCTCACTCTTCCCCGCTTCCTGGCTCTGTTCCAGCCTTGGCCACTTCTGTTCCAGCCAAGCAGGTCTCCTCATTTTCTTCAGTGTAGATCAGTGGTGCCTTCTGATCTTGCCTATTTTTTTTCTTTTCTTTTTTTCTTTTTTGAGATGGAGTCTCACTCTGTTGCCAGGCTGGAGTGCAGTGGCACGATATTGGCTCGCTGCAACCTCCAACTCCCTAGCAATTCTCCTGCCTCAGCCTCCCGAGTAGCGGAGAGGGGATTACAGGCATACACCATCACACTCAGGTAATTTTTGTATTTTTAGTAGAGACGGGGTTTCATCATGTTGGCCAAGACGGTCTCGATCTCTCGACCTTGTGATCCATCCGCCTCGGCCTCCCAAAGTGCTGGGATTATAGACATGAGCCACTGTGCGTGCCCGGCCATCTTCCCTCTTTTTCTCTGGGGCCCAGCCCAAACTTTTCTTTCCTCTGAGGTTTCTTCTGAACACCCTGCTCTATAAAAGGGCCTGCTCCTTGTGTTTATTTGTTGTAATGATCTAGCTTTCAATATTTATTTATTTTTAATTAAGATATAGTTCACATACCATAAAATTGGCCCTTGTTCTAAAATTATGTCCAATTCAGCAGCGTTTAACACATTCGCGAGATTGCGCAACCATCACCACTACCTAATTCCAGAGCCATTTTTTCACCCTAAAAAGAAATCCCAGGCACATTAACAGTCGCTGCTCATTCCGCTCGCTCTGCAGCCCCAGGCAAACACTAATCTACCGTCTGTCTCTAAGGATTTGCCTGCTCTGAATCTTTCAAATAAATACGATCATACAGTAGGTGACCTTTCGTGTCTGGCTTCTTTTAGCATAATTTTTCAAGGTTCCTCCAGCTGTATGTAGCATTTACCAGTACTTCATTCTTTTTTTTTTTTTTTTTTTTTTGAGACAGAGTCTTGCTCTGTCACCCAGGCTGGAGTGCAGCGGCACCATCTCGGCTCACTGCAAGCTCCGCCTCCCGGGTTCACGTCATTCTCCTGCCTCAGCCTCCCGAGTAGCTGGGACTACAGGCACCCGCCACCACACCCGGCTAATTTTTTGCATTTTTTTTTTTTAGCAGAGATGAGATTTCACTGTGTTAGCCAGGGTGGTCTCAATCTCCTGACCTCGTGATCCACCCGCCTTGGCCTCCCAAAGTGCTGGGATTACAGGCATGAGCCACTGTGCCCGGCCATTTCATTCCTTTTTATGACCGGATAATATTTTATTGTATGAATATGTCATACTTTGTTTATCCATTCGTAAGCTATAAACGTTTGGGTTCCTTCCACCTTTTGGGTACTATATGAGTCATGCCGCTATGAACATCCATGCACATGTTTACATGTCAATATATGTCTTAAATTCTCTTGGGTGCAAACCTAGAAGTTGAATTACTGGGTTATATAGTAACTCTATGTTTCTTTCTTTTTTTTTTTTTTTTTTTGAGACGGAGTCTCACACTGTCGCCCGGGCTGGTGTGCAGTGGCATGTTCTTGGCTCACTGCAACCTCCGCCTCCCAAATTCAAGTGATTCTCCTGCCTCAGCCTCCCGAGTAGCTAAGATTACAGGCTCCCGCCACCACGCCCGGCTAATTTTTTGTATTTTTAGTAGAGATGGGTTCCACTACGTTGGCCAGGCTGATCTCGAACTACTGACCTCATGATCCACCTGCCTCGGCCTCCCAAAGTGCTGAGATTACAGGCGTGAGCCACCGCGTCCAGCTTATGTTTCGTTTTTTCAAGGAACTGACCTTTTGGGGTCTTACTGAATATGTCATGCTGCTGGTGATCTTTTCTATCTTCCCACTAAACCTTGGGCTCTTTTTCAGCACAGTCCTTGGCACAGTGGAAGCTCAGAAAGTATTTGGGAATGAAACGTGAGTTGAGGAGGCTGCCGCGGGAGGACACAGAGGCAGAGTTTCCTGTTTTCCTGCAAGCTTGTTCACAGGCTCCATGCATGACAGACTGGTGGCTGCCTCAGTGAGACCTGGGTGTGCAAGCTCTAGCGACAGACTGTTTGACTGTTTCTTTCCCTCTCTTATTTTAACAGCCATTCACACTGCTCCACTCAGCAAATGACAGGCAGTGGTTCTTGGCTTTTCTCCTGGAGAGAGTCATCTGCAGAGACTCTGCCACTCATTAGCCCATGGCCCTGGAGACAACAGGTTCATAATCCCTCTGCCTTCAATCTCCACATTTGGGAGCTGGGCTGCATGTTTTCAGAGACACCGGCTTCCAAATGAGGCAAATCAGAGCCACGAAAATTCTGATTCCTTGCTCCGCGACAGACCAAAAGAAGTCATATTATTTCTGGCAGGGAGCTGGGGGTGCAGGGATGTTAAAAAATAAAACAGTAGCAGTCTCAACTCAGGTGATTCTTAGGATAACCAGAGCCACCAGGTCTGGGAGCTATTTTTGCTCTTTGATCCTTCCAGTTCTGATATTTTATGATTCTATGAAATTGGCTATTTATGCACCCTAAAATGGAACTAATTAAGAGCTTTTCAAAGAGAATTTTGTATACACCAATGATATCAGAAATGCCCAGGTACCCAAAACTCAAAGGAAGAGCTGGAGGATGTGGCTTCTATGGAATAAGAGTGAGACTGGTATGTTTCATGATGCTTTTGTTAAGAGGAAGATAAGTCATGCTGACTTGTGGGGCTGGGAGCTGGTCCCTTCTCCTCTACAAAATCTCATGCCCTGCATCTCAGGTTTGCTAGACCCCAGACAGCTGTGTTTTGCTTTGAGGGTCCTACAATGAACTCTGGTGCAGTAGCCAGGCATTGTTTTTGTCTCTCTGGAAGCCCTACCCCTTGTTCTAATAACAAAATTCATCTTTTGTGGTTGGGACCTTCACCACCACTCCATCTGGTGGAACTTAGTCCCTGACTTCACCTTTTCCACCATCGCAAACCAGGTTGACCAGGTGTCATACCCAAAGATTGTTCTGCAGTAGGCACCTGAGTTAATCAGGTTTGATTGGAGCTCCTTTTTGGATGAAGACAGATACTGAGAGAGAAAATCTTGATACCTTGTGAAGAGAGAGTCTGCCCAGGAATGGAGCTAACAGGGAGTTAAAAAGGACAGAGAGAGGGAGAGGCAGAGAGCAGGCAAGAGAGAGAGACAGAGAGAGAGAGAGAGACAGAGAGAGACAGAGAGAGAGACAGAGAGAGACAGAGACAGAGACAGAGAGAGAGAGAGAGAGAGAGAGAGAGAGAGAGAGAGAGAGAGAGAGAGAGATGTTGCTTGAGCTCTTTGAGTCCAGGCCACCCAAAGTTCATGCACTTGACTTCCCCCATTATTTGAGCCAGTGCTTTTTTGGTTTAAAAGAATCTTGGTTGGCTTTCTTTTATTTGCAACCCAAACTATATTTTATTTATTTATTTATTTATTTATAGAAACTGGGTTTCACTCTGTCTTCTGGGGGCAGAGCAGTGGTATGATCATAGCTCACTACAGCCTCAATCTCTTAGGCTCGAGCAATCCCCCTGTCTCAGTCTCCTGTGTAGCTGGGACTGCACCATGCTTGGCTAATTTTTTAAAAAACTTTTTGTAAAATAGGTCTCACTATGCTGCCCAGGCTGGTCTCGAACTCCTGGGCTCAAGTGATCCTCCCACCTTTGCCTCCCAAAGTGTTTGGATTACAGGTGTGAGCCACCACGCCTGGCTGGTAAGAGTCTTTTTTTTTTTTTTTTTTTCTTCTCAGATGGAGTTTTGCTCTGTCACCCAGGCTTGAGTGCAGTGGTGTGATCTCGGCTCACTGCAACCTCTGCCTCCGGGGTTCAAGCAATTCTCCTGCCTCAGCCCCCCAAGTAGCTGGGATTACAGGCATGCACCACCATGACCGACTAGCTTTTTTTTGTATTTTTAGTAGAGATGGGGTTTCACCATGTTGGCCAGGCTGGTCTCCAACTCCTGACCTCGTGATCCACCTGCCTTGGCCTCCCAAAGTGTTGGGATTACAGGCATGAGCCACCACGCCCAGCTGAGAGTCTTGATGAATATCCTTGATACCCCCAATGTGGGCAGTGATTTGACTCCGGGTATGAATGTGTCAACAGCAAGGCTCCCACCCCCTGCATTTGGTTCCTGCTCCATGAAGACATGGAGCTCCAGCAGCAGCACATGTTCAGCAATGTCTCCAGGTAAAAAAAATAACTAGAAGAAGATAACTGGGGCTAGGGACTGGTTAGCCTTGCCTTTCATTCATTCACTTCCAGTGCTTACTAATATGTTGAGTTTTGTACTGAATATTGTCATGGATGATGTTGTTTAATCCTCAAAACAACTGCATGAGGAAGATTGTATCATGATTCCCCTTTCACAGATGGAGAAAAGGAGACTCTCAATATTTACCCAAGTGCCTCACTCAAGTGAGGGCATGCTGGGGAAGGATTTTAAGCCAGGCTCGTCCTGGGTGCAGAGCTGGAGCTCTTAACCAGCTCTGTTTCAGTGTTATTTACACAAAACAGCTCTCTGGGTCTTTTTATTTATTTATTTATTTATTTATTTATTTAGTTAGTTAGTTAGTTAGTTAGTTAGTTTTTGAGACAGAGTCTCACTCTGTTGCCCAGGCTGGAGTGCAATGGTGCGATCTCAGTTCACTGCAACCTCCACCTCCTGGATTCAAGCGATTCTCCTGCCTCAGCCTCCCTAGTAGCTGCGATTACAGGTGCCCGCCACCATACCCAGCTAATTTTTATTTCTTTTTGTATTTTTAGTAGAGATGGGGTTTCACCATGTTGGTCAGGCTGGTCTCGAACTCCTGACCTCAAGTGATCCACCGGCCTCAACCTCCCAAAGTGCTGGGACTACAGGCATGAGCCGCCGCGCCCAGCTGGGTCTCTATTTTCTGTTTCAGAATCTCATTGCTTCCTACAGGTGTGCTGTGAAGGGTCCCCAAACAGAAGAAAAATTCCTTTTTGTCTGAAGTCCCAAATCTCTTTGAAAACTGTCCTCTGTCTCACCACTGGCTACTGACCTCAGCTCCTTAACCTCCTATGTCTACCCAAGGAGAAAGGTTTTATTTCAGGAAAGTCACAGCACAGGAGAACTGCGAACAGATGGTGTTGATGACATATTGTGCCCTTTTTATTTAGATGGGCATGAGAGAACCATTGTGCATGGCCAGGTGATGGGGCAGGTCTCTCCATCCAGGTGTGAACCTGACAGCCCGACAGGAACGCTGTGACTTCAGCGGGGAGGACTGAGCTGGGAACCTTGGATTTGGCTGCAGAATTCCTTCTGACCTTCCAGTGAGCCCAGAAGTTTCTGTATTTAAATATGACCATCATCATCCAGCCTTTTCATGGGATGGATGAGGAAAATAAGGCTCAGAGAAGTTAACCAACATTCCCAGGGTCACACAGCTAGTTGGCACAGAATCCACACCTCTTCCCCAGGGGGCTTCCTGGGGCTGCCTGGCCTGTGTCACCATCCTTGGCACTTGTTTCTTTTGTCCCTCATATGGAAGCGCTGAGTGATTCAGAGCAGCTCTGTCTTGTCTTTCACAGAAACTATTTATTCCCCAGTTGGTGATTTCGCTTTACTTGCCTCTCCCGTGCCGGTTGTCAGAATGTCTAGAAAAATCTGACAGCTGGTATTCCATTTAGGGACAACACTTGGGGGATGTGTCTTAAGAGGGCGCACACACAGATCTTGCTGTGCTTCTACTCGACTTCCAAATATAATATGCTTTCGTCGGCAATGAAATGGAAAATGAGCACGGGTGATGAAGCACCGTTTCGTATGAAGACTTTGAAATGCCAAAGCCCAGGTAAATGACCCAGGGTGACCAATGAAGAGGCCAGGGCTGGGCATTGACAGGTAGACCCAGGTTAAAATTATTTTCTTTTGTTTTGACTCAGCAATTAAAAAAAAAATTATTTTAAGTTCCATGATACATGTGCAGAATGTGCAGGTTTGTTAAATAGGTAAACGTGCGCCATGGTGGTTTGCTGCACCTATCAACCCATTAGGTAGGTATTCAGCCCCGCATGCATTAGCTATTTATCCTGATGCTCTCCCTCCCATTGCCCCCTGACAGGCCCCGGTGTGTGATGTTCCCCTCCCTGTGTCCATGTGTTCTCATTATTCAACTCCCACTTATGAGTGAGAACATGCGGTGTTTGGTTTCCTGTTCCTGTGTTAGTTTGCTGAGGATAATGGCTTCCAGCTTCATCCATGCCCCTGCAAAAGACATGATCTCATTCCTTTTTATGGCTGCATAGTATTCCATGGTGTATATGTACCACATTTTCTTCATCCAGTTAAAATTCTTTTTATAAAAACATTGAGACAGGGTTTCGTTCTGTCACCCAGGCTGGAGTGAAGTGGTGCGACTGTGGCTTACTGCAGCCTCAACCTCCCAGGCTCAAGTGATCCTCCCACCTGAGCCTCCTGAGTAGCTGGGACTACAGGTGCCTGCCACCATGCCTGGTTATGTATGTATGTATGTATGTATGTATGTATGTATGTATGTATGTATGTATGTATCTATCTATCTATCTATCTATCTATCTATCTATCTATCTATCGAGACAGGGTTTTGCCATGTTGCCCAGGTTGCAGGTTAAAATTCTTAGCCACTATTTGACTTGGGAAAAATGACTTCACTTTGTGGAGCCTCAGTTTCCTCATCTACATGAAAATGGTAACAGAACTTGTCTCTCAGGGCCATGCAGAGGGGTCAATGCAATGTGTTCATATTAGGTTGGTGCAAAAGTAATTGCAGTTTTTGCTGTTAAAACACTTGCCATTGCTGGGCACAGTGGCTCATGCCTGTAATCCCAGCACTTTGGGAGGCTGAGGTGGGTGGATCACCTGAGGTCAGGAGTTCGAGACCAGCCTGGCCAACATGGTGAAACCCCGTCTCTACTAAAAATACAAAAAATTAGCTGGGCGTGGTGGTGCATGCCTGTAATCCCAGCTACTCAGGAGACTGAGGCATGAGAATTGCTTGAACCCAGGAGGTGGAGGTTGCAGGGAGTTGAGATCATATCACTTCACTCCAGCCCGGGCAACAGAGCAAGACTGTGTCCAAAAAAAAAAAGAAAAAATTGCCATTCCCTTTAATGGCAAAACCCGCAATTACTTGTGCACCAACCTAATAAATGACCAGCACTTGGCAGGCATGCGTGACAGTTCTCTTCCACCCTCTTCCTTCTGGACTGCATCCATATGGATTAAACAGTAAACATCCTGGAAGCAAGCACCATCAACCTTAATAGATAGTATAATGTGTCATGGGAGCACTTAATAAGAATCTGGTGACCGGCAAATAGATGATTCAACCACAAAGACCACTGAATTCCATAGATGCCAGCAACTGGAACCAAATAATAAGATATACATTCGTCTCAGTGTCATTGAGCTTATGATCTCTAAAACCAAGAATGTCTGGTGCCTAAAATGGGTGGAACTGAGGCAAAACATCCTTAAAAACTCCCTTATTCAGTATGAATGGTGAATGGGTACTTTCAGTAGACACATACTTAAATGTCCAACCTGTTATGGGGATATGGGCTTGGTAAGTTTTTTATTCAGAGTTGGGGTCTTGCTCTGTTGCCCAGGCTGAAGTGCACTGGTGCAATCATAGCTCACTGCAGCCTCGAACCCCTGGGCTCAAGTGATCCCTCCACCTCAGCCTCCCGAATAGCTGAGACTACAGGCATGCGCCACCATGCCTGGCTAATTAAAAAATTTTTCTTTTTGTAAGGAAGAGGTCTTGCTATGTTGCCAGGCTATGGTAATTTTTCCAAAAAATTAGGACGCAAAGATTGACAAGTAACACAAAAGTATATCAAGCTGGGTACGGGGGCTCACGCCTGTAATCCCAGCACTTTGGGAGGCCGAGGATGGGGAATCACTTGAGGTCAGGAGTTGGAGACCAGCCTGGCCAACATGGTGAAACCTTGTCTGTACTAAAAATACAAAAATTAGCCGGGCATGGTGGCGCATGCCTGTTAATTCCATTTGCTCAGGAGGCTGAGGCAGGAGAATTGCTTGAACCAAGGAGGTGGAGGTTGCAGTGAGCTGAGATCGCGCCACTGCACTCTAGCCTGGATGACAGAACAAGACCCTGTCTCAAAAAAGAAAAAGAAAAAGAAAAAAAAGTATAGCAAGCATATTTTATCATAATTACGGGATTCAGAGATATCTGAGAGACTGGGAGTGCCTGAAAGTCATGCTTTTAACCAAATATTCTCATGATACTGGGGACATATAAAGTTCTAATACTATGTAATGCCAGAGAGTTCCTGAATTCAGAGGGGTGAAATGAATTCATATGCACAAAGCACCCAGAACCGCGGGTGGAATGTGGTCAGCACCTGACTCAGTTTGAGTGATTTTCCATCGGGAAGCCAGGTGTGATTGATGGAAAGGTCGACTGCAGACCCCTGAGCTAGGGTCTTCTAGCCTCCTCCCTGCCTTCAAAAGGGTTTCTGTAGGGAATTCCTTTTGGTGCTGTAGGAAAATGAATTCTATATGCAATGTGAGCCCCTGATACAGGGTTTCCTGGAGCAGTCAGGAAGACTTGCCTTCTTTTTTCTTTTTTTGGCAGAGTCTTGCTCTGTTGCCCAGGCTGGAGTGCAGTGGCACAATCTCGGCTCACCGCAACCTCTGCCTCCCGGGTTCAAGTGATTCTCCTGCCTCAGCCTCCTGAGTAGCTGGGATTACAGGCTCCTGCCACCACACCCAGCTAATTTTTGTATTTTTAGTAGAGACAGGGTTTCGCCATGTTGGCCAGGCTGGTCTCGAACTCCTGACCTCAGGTGATCCTCCCACCTCGGCCTCCCAAAGTGCTGGGTTCCTGCCTGGGTGCAGGCAGGAACCACTGCACCCAGCCAGGCTTGCCCACTATCCAGCTTGGAGTTTCATCCCATTTATTCTTGTCCCTTCCTTGGGAGAAAATGTAAAGGGTGATGCTTCCATATGACTGCAGGGTGCTCCTACCACAAAGATAAGGCAGACTGGCTAACTGGAGGGGCTGTGTATTTGTGTATGTGTGTGCGTGTGTGTGTGTGTGTGTGTGTGCGTGCATGTGTCTGTTGTTTGTGTTGACCTAAAAATTAAACAAGATAACAAAATCAAACCAAAAACAAACCTTTCCCATCAAAAGTGCCACAATCTTTGGGGTCTTATTTTTTTTCTTTATTCTTTATTCTTCCATTCATGTAGAAGGAATAGTCAATATTGCTCACTTAATGAAGACCATCTGAACACCTCTTAGTAAAATTATCAGACCCAAAATTCAGACAAATGAAAAATAGAATCATTGCTATAACATGGGCCCGCCACAGTGGCTCACACCTGTAATCTCAGTCCTTTGGGAGGCTGAGGTGTGAGGATCACTTGAAGCTATGAGTTCAAGAACAGGCTGGGTGACACAGCAAGACCCTGTTTCTACAAAAGTAAAAAAGTTAGCCTGGCATGGTGGCACATGCCTCTAGTCCCAGCTACTCAGGAGGCTGAAGCAGGAGGATTGTGTGAGCCTGGGAATTCCAGGCTTTAGTGAGCTGTGGTTGTGCCACTGCATTCCAGCCTGGGTGACACAGCAGGACTCTCTTTATTTTATTAAAATAAATAAATAAATAAACTCACTGGGTGCCGTGGCTCATGCCTGTATTTCCAGCACTTTGGGAGGCCAGGGTGGGAGGATCACTTGATGTCAGGAGTTCGAGATCAGCCTGGACAACATGGCAAAACCCCGTCTCTACTAAAAATACAAAAATGAGCCGGGTGCGGTGGCACATGCCTGTAATCCCAGCACTTTGGGAGGCTGAGGTGGGCAGATGGGCAGATCACTTGAGGTCAGGAGTTCGAGACCAGCCTGGCCAACATGGCAAAACCCTGTCTCTACTAAAAATACAAAAATTATCAGGACGTGGTGGCGCATGCTTGTAATCCCAGCTACTCAGAAGGCCGAGGCAGGAGAATTGCTTTAACCCAGGTGGCAGAGGTTGCAGTGAGCCAAGACCATGCCATTGCACTGGGCAACAAGAGCAAAACTCCATATAAAAAAAATATAAATAAAATAAAAAATAAAAGGATGCTGATGGCATTTTCAAGTCCTCCCATTAATTTCTAATAGAGTCCTTGTCCCTTGTGCTGCCCACAGCAGCATTTTGAAATCTTTTCCATGCTCCAGATCTCAGTCCCACCTCCAGCTCTCCTGAGCTCCCAGCCCTCTGATGTGGGATTCTTTAAGTTCCATCTCTGCCACAAAATGTCTGTTTCTTTGCCCATCTCTTAGTTTCTGGTGAAGAGGCAGATGGGCTCTTCCACCTTCTGATGGCAAAGACCTTCCTAATTGGTGTGATTACCTGTTTGCTCTAATGAGAGCAGCAGGAAAGAAATTCCTAGGGATGAGGGGTGGGTTAGCAAGAGTAGAGAAGACCTGAGTGGGGGCTCTGGGGCTGAGGGAAGAGGCCCAGCCCGTTCCTTTCCCTCTCATTGGTCATGTGGGGTTGCGAGGAGGATTCAGTTTAATGAGAAAAGAATTTCATCACTTGGAAGAAATAAAGGAAACCATCTTGGCCCTTCACAGTTAGGTGCTAGATTCATCAAGACTTGGGATGGAGGGAGCAGACAGTGAGTCAGGGATCTGAGATTGAACTGTTCTGCCCCGATACACCTTAGAAAATTAATCAAGGAAGAAGGGCAGGAGAGAAACAAAAATAAACCAAATTTGACACACACTCAGTGTTGATCGTGAGGTCAGCTCGTTTTCCAACTTGCTTCCTCATAGGCGTTTGCTGCCTATTGCCCCAGAATCACATAGACCCTATTATAAGATTATAGTTCTTTATAATATAATGATTTATATTCCTTTGGGAATATACCTAGCAATGTGATTTCTAGGTCAAATGGTATTGCTGGTCCTAGATCTTTGAGGAATTGCCACACCATTTTCTGATAGACTGGATAAAGAAAGTGTGTACATATACACAATGGCATACTATGCAGCCATAAAAAGGAATGAGATTATGTCCTTGCAGGGACATAGATGGAGCTCGAAGCCATCATCCTCAGCAAACTAACACAGGAGCAGAAAACCAAACACTGCATGTTCTCACTCATAAGCGGGAGCTGAACAATGAGAACACATGTTGCGGGGTGGGGGATGGAGAGGAGAGCATCAGGAAAAATAGCTAATGCATGCTGGCTTAATGCGTAGGTAATGGGTTGATAGGTGCTGCAAACCACCATGGCACACATTTAAATGTAACAAACCTGCACGTCCTGCACATGTACCCCAAAACTTAAAAAGTAAAATTAATGAAGAAGCCAGGTGTGCACATGTGCACGCATGCACACACACACACACACACAAACACACACACACACATGATTATAGTTTCCCCCTCCTTTTTTTTTTTTTTTTGAGATGGAGTTTTAACTCTTGTTGCCCAGGCTGGAGTGCAATGGCGCGATCTTGGTTCACTGCAACCTCCACCTCCTGGGCTCAAGCAATTCTCCTGTCTCAGCCTCCCGAGTAGCTGGGATTCCACGCACATGCCACCACACCTGACTAATTTTTGTATTTTTAGTAGAGACGGGGTTTCATCATATTGGTCAGGCTGGTCTCGAACTCCTGACCTCAGTTTATCCACCCGCCTTGCCCTCCCAAAGGGATGGGATTACAGGCGTGAGCCATTATAGTTCCCCTTAATTGCCCTATTGATAACAATTTGAACAGTATAAAACATTAAGTTTTCCCTTTGAGATATTCTTTAGGTTCTGCATATCAATGAGACTACTGATGTCAGCTGGTCTGAAGGACCCCCCCCCAGGGAGCTGACTTACCAAAGAATGCAGTTTCCACATCCTGATGGTTTCATCAAATCAACAACCTCAATTTTTCAGTCTCTTGCCCTCCACAATCCCCTTAAAAACCCTAGCTCAACACTCCTCAGGGAATGGATTTGAGGGTTCCTCCTGTCTCCTTGCTCAGCTACCCTACTGTCATTAAACTGTTTCTCTGCTGCAAACCCTGCTGTCTCAGTGTATTGGTCTATTACTGAACAGTGGGCATAAGAACCTGGTGGTCCTGTAACAGGACGTCAGCAAGGGCATGGTTGACGTGGCTGGACAAGGCACGCAGCTTAGGCCAAGGGCAAAAGAGGATAGGGAGGAGTTGACAGTTTGGGAGAGATGGGGAGGCCCCAAAGCGCTCAAGGCTGGGAGGAGGAGAGGGAGATTTAGGAGGTGGAAGCAATGCAGCTGTGCAATCAGGTCTTGATAGAAGAAGGGAAAGGTTCAAAATGCCAACGGGCCCCCGTTTGTGGATATGGGAGCAATATGGAAGCAAAGGGTCTAAGGTGAGCCACAGGATCTCAGACAAACTCCTCTAGTCCTAGGATGCTAAGCAGGTAGACTCAGGAACTCAGTATTCTCTTCCTAGACACCTCTGCCCAAAATGCAACCAGGGAGGCTCTTTCTTGCATGTGGAAAGGCCTGTGAGCATTAAATATATTCACCCATCACTTTGATCATGCTTGAAAAATTCTTAAACCTAAACACAAATCAACGAGCTTGTGTCTGGGGGACAAACAACCCTGACATAATGTTTTTGCAAAGTTTCTCTGAGATAAAAATATGCAAAAGGGATTATGTAATGACCGTCCCAGAGGTCATACAAGAATGCAACGTGCAAATTACAAAATAACAGCTTTTTTAAATGAAATAAGATAATGAATTTTAAACCACTTAGTGCAGTGCCTGGACTAACAGGCTCACACCTGTAATCCCAGCACTTTGGGATGCTGAGGAGGGGGAATCACTTGAGGTCAGGAGTTCAAGACCAGCCTGGCTAACATGGTAAAACCCCATCTCTACTAAAAATACAAAAATTAGGCCGAGTGTGATGGCTCACGCCTGTAATCCCAGCATTTTGGGAGGCCGAGGTGGGCGGATTACGAGGTCAGGAGATTGAGACCATCCTCACTAACACAGTGAAACCCCGTCTCTACTAAAAATATGAAAATTAGCCGGGCATGGGGGTGGGCACCTGTAGTCCCAGCTATTCGGGAGGCTGAGGCAGGAAGATTGCTTGAACCCGGGAAGCAGAGGTTGCAGTGAGCAGAGATTGCGCCACTGCACTCCAGCCTGGGTGACACAGTGAGACTTTGTCTCAAAAACAAACAAAACAAAACAAAACAAAAATACTACTATAGTTATTGGTTAGGTAATGGTTAGGTACCTAACCATGGTTAGATAATACCATAATTATTACCATAATTATTAATTATGATATTTATTAAATGTTATGGTGATAATTATTACCATAATGGTTAATTAATGTTAAGCCACTTAGTGCAGTGCCTGGGCTAATAGTTATTAATGGCAATTAATAATGGTAACAATTATTAGTCCAGGCACTGCACTGACTTAAAATTATTAATTAACCATTATGGTAATAATTATTAATAAACATTAATAATTATTTTATAACAATAAGGATTAATAATTTTTAATAAACATAATACTTGCAGTATGGTTATTAATAAATATAATTGCTATTAACGATCATTATATATTAATCATATTACATTAATTATAAATAAGCTATTGACAAATCATTAAAGCAAACCCAGCAAGGCTTCTGTTTGGTAGCCCCTTTGTCAGGCATTTATTTTATTAATGTATAAGGTTTTGAGAAATAAAAAGGCCTTACTTCGAATTTAGATTATTTCCCAGTATAGCCTGACCTTTCCCAAATTACTAAGATCTATGACATTTCCCTGAACAAAACACTGATCCACCAACAAAGGCTGTTGTGGAAAATGAGATGATACCCAAAAATACCCTTCTCCACCCATCTCAAGAGTGCTGACTAGCAGTAGAGCGCTTGAGCCCCATGTGCTTTCATTGTGTGGGGCTCACATCATCTGTCAGCCCCGAGCGAGATGGATTGGGAAGGCCAGGTCTGCTGTTTTCTCAAGTTTCAGTTCTCAATCCCTTCGCTCCTCACCCCTCCTCACCCTCGCATGTCCTGCTGGAAATGGCCTTGGCTGTGACCACCCCATCCTGCCCTTATAAGATCAGTGTGACTCCCACTCCAAATACAGTCATTGATGCTATCACCCCATTGTCACAGCAAGGAGACCAAGGCAACTTCAGGACCACAGCTGGGTTTTGTTTGATGCGCATGGCAGTTTTGCAGTGTTTAAATTTGAGTGACTTCAGAAGAGATCATTGCTTTCTGTTTTGCAACAGACTCCACTACTCCCTCTCTCCCACTGTTTGCAACCTCAGAGTACAGGCCATCTCCTGTTCCCTCCTGTCGTGGCCTTTAATGCTGGGTCCATGATGCAGCAGTTCAGCCAAGACAGGGCTGATGGGAGCCTGGGTTTGCATGGACAGTTCTGGTGCCTGGGACCAGCTCAGCTCCAAGCACACTAGCCTCCCCCCATAGCACTCACTGGCTCTAAGGGAGACAGCTACAAGACCAGGCAACCAAATATATCCTTCTAGTGTCTATGTGACAGCTTCCCAACTATGTATACTGACTTATTTAAATGTTCAAAAAAAAAAAAAAGAAAAGAAAAGAAAAAAAATTTGACCTCCTTAAGAAATGTCAGCATTGAACAGAAAAGTTGCTGATAGCCTGCTATATGATGTTTTAATGTAATTAAAAATTTTTTTTCTATACAACAGGGCTATTAAAACCACTCTGATTTTCAAAGTTGGAAAGAAGGATTAAATCCTTTAGCTTCTCAGGAATTCTCTACTGATTAGGAGATTCAGTAGGCTCTCTTTTTTCTTTAAATTTGCTTTCATGAATAAAAAAAAATAACCTTTCATGGGTCTCTTTTTTGGCCTCCAGAGAACCTTATTTCTTCTGTAACTACTTGGTTAAGTTCATCAGAGGACTCTGTCCCTTTTTTTTTTCTTTTTTTTGGCCAGTGCATTTGGGAACATAGAGGTCATCCATTCCTAAGAATTCTGCGAAGTAGGTGTAATCATCCTGATGTTTATAGATGAGGAAACACAGAGAAGGTCCATCCTTTGCCCAAGGTCACACAACGGACTCGACCCAAGTTTGCCGGACAGCCAAAATAGGCTCTTTGCACCGCCCCATGCAGCCACAACCAAGAGAAGGCAAACAGCACAAAACCACACATCCAATCACACGCAGACCTCAGAGAGCCTTGAGAGAAAAGACAGGGTCAGTGGAGATTCTGCAAAAAATGCAGAATTTGGAGGAGAAAGATGGAGAAAATGAAACCCACCGCATCTTAGCAAAAAAGATCTTTAACCTCAGTCCTGGATTTTTGGCTTCAGTACAAGGGAACATCAGCCCAAGAGCCTGTGTGTGAACGCATTTTTCATATAGAGAGTGTGGTGCATTGGCCTGTCCCGGACCGGGGAGGGGATGGCAGCAGGGGCACCTACCTCCTTCAAACTCTGTTTGGCAGTTCCCCGAGGTCTCATTCAGGCTCTCTTCCTCATTGATAATGATGTTCTCAATGTCCTTCATCGTTAGGTGGTCTCGGAAGGCATGATAGAGAATGTGCTTCAACTCTTCCAGAGTTATCCTTTGCATGTCAAACTGTGGAGATAAAGAGTAGTGAGATGGTCAGAAGCATGTGGAGATGGGAAGTTGGCTCGGGCCATGACAGGCCAGACCCACAGCTGCTCTGCAGAAACTTGTCTCAGCGTTTCAGGATATCAGGTGAACAGTTTTCCATCCTGTTCAGCTCCAAGTATACTCATGAACTTGCAGGGACTTATTGGAATGATAGAGAGTGGAACATATTCCCTTCGCTTTAGCTTCTTGGAGAAAAAAAATGCCACCCGCCAGTCTGGTTTCCTATTCATCCAGCCATCTGCTGTCAACCCTGCATACTTTGTGTACTTTAGAATGGTGAAACCCTTTATATAATGCATACGTCTCTAAAATTTTTATAATTTACCAACACTCTGGCAATTCCCATATTGGTTTAAGCATGTATCTTTTTTTTTTTTTTTTTGAGATAGAATCTTGCTCTTTCGCCCAGGCTGGAGTGCAGCGGCGAGATCTCGGCTCACTGCAACCTCGCCTCCCGAGTTCAAGCGATTCTCCTGCCTCAGCCTCCGTAGTAGCTGGAATTACAGGTGCCCGCCACCACGCCCGGCTAATTTTTTTGTATGCTTAGTAGAGACGGGGTTTCACCGTGTTGGCCATGCTGGTTTTGAACTCCTGACCTCAAGTGATCCGCCCGCCTCGGCCTCCCAAAGTGCTAGGATTACAGGCCTGAGCCACCACGCCCGGCCTAATTATGTATCGTTTAAAAAAAAATTTAGAGACAGGGTCTTGCCCTATCATCCAGGCTGGAGTCCAGTGGTGTGATCATAGCTCCCTGCAGCCTTGAACTCCTGGGCTGAAGCCATCCTCCTGCCTCAGCCTCCCAAGTAGCTGGGATTACAGACATGAGCCACTGCGCCTGTCTAACATTTACAATTTTTTGTAGGGACAAGGTCTTGCTATGTTTCCCAGGCTGGTCTCAAACTCCTGGCCTCAAGTACTCCTGCCTTGGCCTCCTGAAAGTGCTGGGATTACAGGTGTAAGCCACTGTGCCTGGCCATGAATCTTGTTCTAACAAGATAAAAACACAAGTTCAAAGTCATGTTCATGAAGAAAAGCTGCTGAAGGAGAGGTGCAGAGTTCCTGATTACATCCTGCCCCTCCCCGAGAGAGGACTGTACTTTTCCACTCCATTTATATTAGGTTTGATAGTGTCGCTTTCTTTTTTCTTTTTTTTTTTTTTTTTCCGAAATGGAGTCTTGCTTCCATCTCGCAGGCTGGAGTGCAGTGGCGCGATCTCGGCTGACTGCAAACTCCACCTCCCGGGTTCAAGCAATTCTCCTTCCTCAGCCTCCCGAGTAGCTGGGATTACAGGTGTGCACCACCACGCCCAGCTAATTTTTGTATTTTTAGTAGAGACGGGGTTTCGCCATGTTGGTCAAGCTGGTCTCGAACTCCTGACCTCAGGTGATCCACCCGCCTCGGCCTCCCAAAGTGCTGGGATTACAGGTGTGAGCCACTGCGCCTGGCCAGTAGTGTCACTTTCTTGGCCAATAAAATGTGAGTAGAAGTCACATCTACCACATCTAATTCACAGCTTTATGAATCATTGTGTGGTTCTAACATTTGTTCTTTCCCTCTGCTATGAGAATTACATGCCCCAGATAGAGGCTGTTCCTTCGGGCTGGGTCTCAGAATGAGGATAAAGTGGGGAACACCTACAGCTGAATCACAATGGACAGCTCACGTCAGGAATACCCTGTGTTGTTATGAACCATTGAGATTTGGGGCTTGTTTGCTACGGCAGCATAACTTAGACCATTGTTGGTCTATGTCAAAAATAGAGAAATTGGTACATAAAACTAAGAGGCTACCATAACCAAAATTCTAAAAGACAATGTACTGGTTCCGGAGCCAGGCAGTGAAAAATGAGAAAACTGTGACTGGAGGCTGGAAAGACACAGATCCCTGTAATACGATAGCAAAACATTTGGTAAAACTGTTGCCTGTGATACCTTGGAGGACAGGCAGATATTGAATCCGAGTCCAGTGGTTTTAGGTAAAAAGTCTGTGAAACAGAATGCCGTGATTCACAATTGAAATTAGCTGCATCTAACAGAGCACTACAAGAAAGAGATGAGCTCAGGAAAGAACTGGTTGATTTGCAAGCCAAAAATAAAAACCACTCAGAAATTCCTGGCGTTGCAGCATTGAAAGAAGCAATTGTTTCTTTTTTTTCTCGTAATGATCTTGTTATCTTCCTATCCACACATTTCTCAAAGCCCCCATTTCTATTTCTAGTTCTATTTTTTTAGAGACAAGGTCTTGCTCGGTGGTCCAGGCTGATATGCTGTGGTGTGATCACAGCTCACTGCAACTTCAAACATCTGGGCTCAAGTGATCCTCCTGCCTCATCCTCCTAAGTAGTTAGGATGACAGACATGCACCACCATGTCCAGCTATTTTATTTATCATCATCATCATTATTATTATTATTATTATTATTATTATTATTATTTGAGATGGAGTCTTGCTCTGTCACCCAGGCTGGAGTACAGTGGCGCAATCTTGGCTCACTGCAACCTCCACCTCCCGAGTTCAAGTGATCCTTCTGTCTCACCCTCCCAAGAAGCTGGGATTACAGGCACACACCACCACACCTAGCTAATTTTTGTATTTTTAGTAGAGACAGGGTCTGGCTATGTTGCCTGCCTCAGACTCCCAAGAAGCTGGGATTATAGGCATGTGCACCACACCTGGCTAATTTTTGTATTTTTAGTGGAGACAGGGTTTCACCATGTTGGCCAGGCTGGTTTCGAACTCCTGGCCTCAAGCAATACTCTGGCTTCAGCCTCCCAAAGTGCTGAGATTACAGGCACTGCACCAAGAGCAATTGTTTCTCATCTCCAACTAGTAAGAGATAAAATAAAGAAATGCTTTAAGTAATAATACAGCCCTATTGAAACAAATCAATGCCTCTTTAAAAAAATCTCTGAATGTGTTAAGTGACTCTCCTAGGAAGCCTGTTATTAAGTTTAGAGAGAGGTATGTCTCAAAAATAATTGTGGATGTGTTTACTAGCATAACTGATTGGAGCCAGATAAAAACATAACTAAGTCCTTGAGAGCTATACTGGCCAAGAGCCAACAATCTTGGATTAAAAGACACTATAACTGTTCCAAACTTTAAAAGATCTTTGGGGCCGGGCGCGGTGGCTCACGCCTGTCATCCTAGCACTTTGGGAGGCCGAGGCTGGCGGATCACAAGGTCAGGAGATTGAGACCATCCTGGCTAACATGGTGAAACCCCGTCTCTACTAAAAAATACAAAAAAATTAGCCGGGCATGGTGGCGGGCGCCTGTAGTCCCAGCTACTCAGGAGGCTGAGGCAGGAGAATGGTGTGAACACGGGAGGCGGAGCTTGCAGTGAGCCGACATTGTGTCACTGCACTCCAGCCTGGGTGACAGAGCGAGACTCTGTTGCAAAAAAAAAAAAAAAAAAAGATCTTTGGACTTCCCAACCTACGGGCCCAAGCAATTAAGAGGATAAGCTACACGGGTCCCAGGAAGGGTGTATTACACAATGCCCTCATAGAGTAAGTACAAGAATAGTGGAAAAGGACAGCTTTCCTGGGAATCTTGGAGAACAATGTCATCCAGGGTCACTTCTAGGAAGCAGAAGCAGCTAATTGAGGGAAAATTCCTCACCCCAAGGTTTTTGTCCAACAGGGTTTCAGAACTGCTCTGAGCCTCTGACCGCTATGGGTATCCCATGTTTTGCTTTCCAGAGGGGAATGTTTTTGGTGGTTGGCCTGACCCTGGTCCACCACCATATGTCAAGTGTGTGTTTGTGTCGGGCAAGGGTGAGGGGTAATTTGACTTTTTAGTTTTTATGTTTCCATACCAAGAAGAGCCACATCCAGATTTGATGAGCATCATGAGATTCTAGAGCTTGAGTCTGGTGTTATAACTGGATGGGACTGTTGGGAAGTCTCCCCTGGGGAGGGGAGGAGTATATTTTGCAGCTGAAGAGAGGGAAATGAATATTGATGAGCAAGAGTGTGGACTGTAACAGGGTCTATTATTTCCAGCTATAATTGAGCCTTGAAAAACATGGGTTTGAACTGTGTGGGTCCACTTATATGTGGATTTCCTTCTCCCTCTGCCATTCCTGAGACAGCAAGACCAACACCTCCTCTTCCTCCTCCTCCACCTACTCAAGGTGAACACCATGAGGATGAAGACCTTTATGATGATCCATTTCCAGTTAATGAACTTACTTCCTCCTCTTTATGATTTTCATAATAGCATTTTCTTCTCCCTAGATTACTTTATTGTAAGAATGCAGTGTACAATACATATAACATACAACATATGAGTTAATCAACTTTTTTTTTTTTTTTTTGAGACAAAGTCTCGCTCTGTCCCCCACCCTGGAGTGCAGTGACGCAATCTTGGCTCACTGTAATCTCCGCCTCCTGGGTTCACGCCATTCTCCTGCCTCAGCCTCCTGAGTGGCTGGGACTACAGGTGCCCGCCACCACGCCCAGCTGATTTTTTGTATTTTTAGTAGAGACGGAGTTTCACCGTGTTAGCCAGGATGGTCTGGATCTCCTGACCCTGTGATCTGCCCGGCTCGGCCTCCCAAAGTGCTGGGATTACAGGCGTGAGTCAACACAACCAGCCTTGAGTTAATCAACTTTTTATATTATTGGTAAGGCTTCCAGTCAACAGTAGGCTATTAGCAGTTAAGTTTTTGGGGATTCAAAAATTATACTTGGATTTTTGACTGCACGTGGGTCAGTGCCCCTCATCTTTGCTTTGCCTAAGGGTCTACTATATTTGTTTCCCCTTGTAGGAGAGGATGATATCTCCTTGCCTGTTGATGTCACAAGCTTTGGCCAATCAACTGAGAGCCAAAGTGATAGAAGTATGAAAGTCCAAGGAGAAGCTTCAAAGCCATTGTGTTTTCTGCCATTTCCCTTTCTCTTCTTTCACATAACATTTACACAAAAGAGGGGCTGCTGCTTCATTCTAGGTTCTGGAATGACCTAGGAATTCAACCTGAGTAGATCCTCAACCATCCCACAAAGGACGCGGGATCTGAGTGAGAAATAAATGCTTGCTGCTAACTGCTAAGACTCTGTGGTTTCTGCAGTGTAACTTAGTCAAGGGTGAACACAAAACTCAGTGTTTTCAGTTACTCTGCACTATGAGGAAGGAAGTTTTAGACTCTTTTTTCCCTCTCTCTCTCCCTGCCTCCCTTCCATCCTTCCTTTCTTCCTTCCTTCCTTCCATTCCCTTCCTCCTTCTTTCCTTCCCTCTCCCCCTCCCCCTTTCCTCCCTTCCCACCCTCCCGCCCTCCCTTCTTTTCTTCCTCCCTCCCTCCCTCCCTCCTTCCTTCCTTCTTTCCTTCCTCCCTTCCTTCCCTCCTTCCTCTCTCTTTTACTTTCTTGTTTCTTGCTTTGTCACCCAGGCTAGAGTGCAGTAGTGCGATCATAGCTTACCGCAGCCTCAAACTCCTGGGCTCAAGCAATCTTCTAGGTGGAACTACAGGTGCATGACACCAGACCTGGCTAATTTTTTTTTTAATTTTTTTTTTCTTTACAGAGAGAGTCTTGCTATGTTGCCCAAGCTGGTCTCAAACTCCTGGCCTCAAGCCATCCTCCTGCCTTGCTTGCTTGTTAAACAATTTGTACCTTGCTTTAACTGTGCACCTCTGTTCTAAAAAATTAAATTGGGATATTGAATCTTGCTGTAAAATCTAAATGATTCAAGTTCAAAGCCATTTATACACTTCAGAGCAACTGAAGGGGAGGTGTAAAACAAACTTGTTTTCTGCATTAGAGTTTAACGATCCTAGACAGGAATTTTGACATACACTCAGAGAAAACTCATGGGACCCTGTCTCTTTATATTGGGTAAGGGAGCAAGGTATTGTTCATTTGGCTTTGGGGAAAAACCTGGCAGAATGCATGAAGAGGATGATTTACAGATGAGAACACCAAGACCCCCTGCCATGATCAGAGATGAAGAGTGGCAAGATCAAGGTCAACAAGACTCAGAAAATGAGTAACCATTTCCTAACACTTGAAGAGTGTGGTGCCTGGAAAACCTCTAACCTGTTGAGAGGTTGCTGTCATTCAGAAATCAGGCCAAAAGATTGGTCAGGAGCAACGAGAAGAGAAGGAAAGATACAGACTCCAAAATCTATAGTTTTGGGCCAGGTGTGGTGGCTTATGCCTGTAATCCCAGCACTTTGGGAGGCTGAGGTGGGCAGATCACGAGGTCAGGAGTTCGATCACGAGGTCAGGAGTTCGAGACTAGCCTGACCAACATGGTGAAACCCTGTCTCTACTAAAAATACAAAAATTAGCCCGGCGTGGTGACGCATTCCTGTAATCCCAGCTACTCAGGAGGCTGAGGCAGGAGAATCACTTGAACCTGGGAGGTGGAGGTTGCAGTGAGCCGAGATTGCACCACTGCACTCCAGCCTGGGCAACAGAGCGAGACTCTGTCTCCAAAAAACAAAAATCTATAGTTTTGGAGATCTGGGTCATGTTTTAGTATTAGGGTATATATTTAGTATTAGGACATCTAAACAAAATAAGTTGCGTAGCATTCCATATATCACCTATATTGTCAATATCTGTCTTTCAAAAGTTTGAAAAAAATCACTGTAAAACAATGTGTACCCCATGCCAACAAGCCTTTCTTCTGTGATTGTCAGTCCATTTTACTTTTCAGTTTTTCTTCAGTCAATTTTGGAATGTTGTAGTTTTTTGGAAAACCAGAGAGAACATTTTCATTATCATTAGTATGCAACTATGGACCCTAGTCCTGCAATTTTAAATTCCTCCCAATCATTATTACATCCCAGTTCTCCTTTGTACTTTTATTGGTTTCTCTCTTCTAGTTGATTTTCGTCACCTTTTTCTGTTGTTAATGGATCATAGGGAAGAGAATGTGGCCCATACATCTGCAATTTTTGGAAACCTAAGGAATTTTCCACTATAGTAGAATCTCTGTAAGGTCAGTTATACAAATATATTTACATTTATTTGTTTATTCATTTATTTATTTTTTTGAGACGGAGTCTCGCTCTGTCGCCCAGGCTGGAGTGCAGTGGTGTGATCTCAGCTCACTACAATCTCTGCCTCCCAGGTTCAAGTGGTTCTTCTGCCTCAGCCTCCCGAGTAGCTGGGATTACAGGCGCCCACCACCATGCCCAGCTAATTTTTGCAT
Organism: Homo sapiens; assembly: GCF_000001405.40. Classification (NCBI taxonomy): domain Eukaryota; kingdom Metazoa; phylum Chordata; class Mammalia; order Primates; family Hominidae; genus Homo; species Homo sapiens. The sequence goes on from NC_000007.14 coordinate 71,817,692, forward strand.
TTTTAGTAGAGATGGGGTTTCACCATGTTGGCCAGGATGGTCTCGATCTCCTGACCTTGTAATCCACCTGCCTTGGCCTCCCAAAGAGCTGGGATTACAGGTGTGAGCCACTGCACCCGGCCATATTTATATTTATTAATTACATTACGTAACCTTATAATTATAATCTTTTTCTATAAACTTACTTTTTTTTTTTTGGACTACTGGAGTCAAGGACCATGAGTAGCATATTGAAGTCTGTGAAGAAAACTTGTTCTCCATAAATTATTCTTATAGTTCAAATATTTGTTAAATGAGGCTATTCTGTAGTGCAAAAAGATTTATATACTAATCCAACAAATGGTTATTGGGAATGACTCTGCCAGATACTGTGATGGGAATACAAAAGCGAACAATACATAAATCCTGTTCTTGAAACCAAGCAAATGAGTCATTTGAATTCAATGTGGTACATGCTGTGGGAGGGAAGCCAGGATGTCTTGGCACCACCTGGTTGGGGGTGAAGGGTGGGTCAGAGGGGGCTTTCTGGAGAACATGCCTACTATCAAAGACCTAAAGGAAAAAGAGGCTGACTTTGCCAGGTGAGTGAGGGGAGGGTGGGAAAAGGATAAGGAGGGAAGAGGAGACGGTCAGGTAGGGTAGGGGGCAGCCGTACCAAGGCACAGAGTTGCAAAAGCTTGACATGTTCATTAACTGACAATATGTTGAGTTCTTCTGAGGCTTCGAGTAGCCAGGAGAAGGTGGGAAGGAATGAGGTGAGGGATATGGGTGGGGCACTAGTCAGTAAAGGCCTTGTATGACACGGTGAAAAGCTTAATTGTATTTTGTTTGTTTTTATTTTTTAATTCTTATTCATTTTGTAGAGATGGGGTCTCACTATGTTGCCCAGGCTGGACTTGAATTCCTGTGCTCAAGTGATCCTACTGCCTCAACTTCCCAAAATGCTGAGATTACAGGCACTTGCCACCATGACCAGCTTATTTTATTTATTTATTTATTTATTTATTTATTTATTTATTTATTTATTTATTTTTTTGAGCTGGAGTCTCACTCTGTCACCCAGGCTGGAGTGCAGTGGTGCGGTCTCAGCTCACTGCAACCTCCACCTCCTGGGTTCAAGCGATTCTCCTGCCTCAGCCTCCCGAGTAGCTGGTATTACAGGTGTGCACCACCATGTCTGGCTAATTTTTGTATTTTCAGTAGAGATGGGGTTTCACCATATTGGCCAGGCTGGTCTCGAACTCCTGACCTCGTGATCTGCCCGCCTCAGCCTCCCAAAGTGCTGGGATTACAGGCGTGAGCCACAGCACCCACCCGACCAGCTTATTTTTAAAAAATAGTTTTGTAAAGACAGGGTCTTGCTATGTCGCCCAGGCTGGTCGCAAACTCCCAGGCTCAAGCAGTCCTACCACTTCAGCCTCCTGAGTAGCTGGGACTACAGACATGCACCACCACTTGTTTTTATTTATTTATTTTTATTGTGGTAAAATATAATAACTAAAAATTTACTATTTTATTCTTTTTTTTTTTTTTTGAGACAGGGTTTCACTCTTGCTCCCCAGGCTGGAGTGCAGTGGTGCGATCTTGGCTCACTGCAACCTCCACCTTCCGGTTTCAAGCAATTCTCCTGCCTCAGCCTCCTGAGTAGCTGAGATTACAGGCATCTGCCACCACACCCGGCTAATTCTTGTATTCACCATGTTGGTTTCACCATGTTGGCCAGGCTGGTCTCGAACTCCCGACCTCAAGTGATCTGCCCGCCTTGGCCTCCCAAAGTGTTGGGATTGCAGGCATGAGCCACCGTGCCTGGCCTATTTTATTCAAGTGTACAGTTCTGTGGCATTAAGTACTTTCACAGTGTCATACAAACACCACAATTACTTCTCTCCAGAAGTCCTTCATCTTCCCAGACTGAAACTTTGTACACTATTATTAATTATCATTAAACACTATCTCCCCATTCCTCCCTCACTGCAAACCCAACAACCACCACTCTATTTTTTGTTTCTCTGTGTCTTTGACTTTTTTAGGTACCTTATGTTAAGTGGAATCATATGATATTTGTCTTTTTGTGACTGGTTTATTTCACTTAGATAATGCCCTCAAGGTTCATCCATGTTGTGTCATGTGTCAGAATTCCCTTCCTTTTTAAGGCTGGACCATTTTCTGTAAACCCAAAATAGAATTCTAAGCTCCACAACCATCGGAATGGACCCCACTTCTCAGCCAAGGGCATTCCAAAGTTAACCTGAAAAATGACTTCAGGCTATGATGGGAAGGAAGAATTGAACATGACTCATTATACCCTCCTCCCTTTTGGAATTCAGGCCCAAATATTAAAGTTAATTAATGTTTCAATTAACTAACATTAAAACAGAGTAAGACTGATAGGACAAGGAACACTTACAATCTATTCTCTCTGCAGCCTGCAACCTGGAGGCTTCATCTGCATAATAAAACCTTGGTCTCTACAATCCTTATCATAAGCCAGACATTCCTTTTGATTGATTCCAAGTCTTTAGATAATACCTCAACCAACTGCCAATCAGAACCCACCAATGACCAATCCACCTATGACCTGGAAGCTCCCCACCCACCAACCTCCAGTTGTCCAGCCTTTTTAGACTGAACCAATGTCATCTTATGTGTATTGACATTTTACATCTCCCTAGAATGTACAAAACTCAGGTGTAGGCTGACCACCTTGGGCACATGTTCTCAGGACCTCCTGAGGGCTGTGTCATAGGCCATTGGTCATTTGTATTTGGCTCAGAATAAATATCTTCACGTATTGTTTAGAGCCTGAGTCTTTTCATTAGCCATTCCGTTGTATGGACATACCACATTCACAATAGACATAAAGTAGAAGCAGCCCAAGTGTCTGCTATGGATGTAGGTGTACAAATATCTGTTCCAGTCACTGCTTTTAACTCTTTGGGGTATATACCTAGAAGCAGAATTGCTGAATCATACGGTAATTCTATGTTTAAATTTTTCAGGAACAGAGCTTGGTTTTATCTGTTGAGTATCTTTGAGTTGTATTTTTATCCACTAAAACATTTTCATCAGAGAAATTACTTGATCAGGTTTGAGCTTGAGAAAAACTACCCTTTGCTGATACAAAGGTCCCAACAACCAGAGAGGAGGCTATTGAAGTTACAGATTCTGAGACTGAAGTAGGCTATGGAGATAGGGAGAATTTATGAGCTGTGTAAACGAGAGGTTGATAAGACTTGATGGATCACTGTGTGTGGTGTGTGAAGGCGAATGGGCCATCCAGGGAGACACCTGGGTTTTACGTTCAGCTGAATGTATGGGCTTAGAAAGAAAGGCTACACGTTAAATTTTGGATGCATTCTTTGAAGGTTCCTGAGGGACAGCCCAGTAGAATAGCCTAGGATGCAGTAGAATGTATAGATACAGGTTAATGACACAGATTTAGCATTCATTTGCATACAGATGATGATAAAGTCATCAGAAAGGATGACACCACCCAAGAAGAGAGTGTGGGCTATGAAAGCCCCGAGGGATGCATTCAGAGGACATCAAGATGAACAAGTGGGTGGCCCTCGTTACTGAATGCACAGAGTGTGACTTTTATCTTCATATTAATCCGTTTTCATATTCTTCTAATGAAGACATACCCGAGACTGGGTAATTTATGAAGAAGAAGAAGTTTAAAGGACTCACCGTTCCACATGGCTGGGGAGGGCTCACAATCATGGTGGAAGGTGAAAGTCATGTCTTACATGGCAGCGGGCAAAAAAGAATGAGAACCAAGCAAAAGAGGGAAACCCCTTATAAAACCATTAGATCTCATGAGACTTACTCACTACCACCAGAACGGTATGGGGGAAAACTGCCTCCAGGATTCTATTATCTCCCACTAGGTCCCTCCTACAACATGTGGGAACTATGGGAGCCACAATTCAAGATGAGATTTGTGTGGGGACACAGCTAAACCATACCAATCATTATACACGGTCTTTAAAAAATATTTCAGTGCTTTGTTAATGTCTTTTGGAAAAAAATCTATTTTTGTATCAGTACAGCTATGCTTAATTCCTTTGGTGTGAATTCTGCTAAATGTTTCTTTCTTTTTTTTTTTTTTTTTGAGTCAGGGTCTCGCTGTGTCACCCACGCTGGAGTACAGTGGTGTGATCATGGCTTACTGCAGCCTTGACCTCCTGGGCTCAAGCAATTCTCCCACCTCAGCCTCCTGAGTAGCTGGGACTACGGCTAATTTTTGCATTTTTTGTAGAGATGCAGTCTGGCCATGTTGGCCCAGGCTGGTCTTGAACTCCTGAGCTCAAGTAATCTGTCCGCCTCAGCCTCCCAAAGTTCTGTGACCACAGGTGTGAGCTACCACACCTGGCCTTTCTTTTGGTTTTTAAACTTTTTAATGTTATATTTTAGAGATATGTCTCTTACAAGGAGGCTAGAATTGGATTCTAAAGAAATCTAATTTGAGATTCTTTGCTTTCCAATGGTAGAGTCTAATTCCATTTTTATATATTGTTATAAACATATTTGGCTGTACTGTTGTTATTTTATTTCCTGCTTCTGGTTCTTCTGAGATGGCGTTTCGCTCTTGTTGCCCAGGCTGGAGTGCAATGGTGTGATCTTGGCTCACTGCAACCTCCGCCTCCCGGGTTCAAGTGATTCTCCAGCCTCAGCCTCCCGAGTAGCTGGGATTACAGGCGTGTGCCATCATGCCCGGCTAATTTTGTATTTTTAGTAGAGACGGGATTTCTCCATGTTGGTCAGGCTGGTCTCGAACTCCCGACCTCAGGTCATCTGCCCGTCTTGGCCTCCCAAAGTGCTGGGATTGCAGGCGTGAGTCACCGTGCCTGGCCCGCTTCTGGTTCTTATGGTTTGTTTTCTCTTTTACATAAGAAACCTGTGGACATTTTAGTTTTGGTTATGCTGCTGGATGTTTTTCCATTTGTGTAATGCATGACTTAAGCCACCATTTCTTAAATTATCAAATTCAAGAAACTAAATGGCATCCTGTCATTTTTTCTTGTATGTAATAAGATTAATAGACCTTTTATTTTCCTACCTTTTGCCTCATGCTTTTCAGTCTTTGTAAGTTTAATTTGAGATTTATGATGACACATTTTCTACTATTTGCATCTTTTTCTAGAATAGTATTTGGAGTCTGCATTTAATTTTGTAACAAAATTTACAACAGCTCCTGCTACTTCATTATATTTAAGTGATTCCAATGCTTACTTCCATTTTTTAATAACTGTCCCTAAACTAAGTGCCTGATTGTCATCCAAATATCTGCTAGAGAACATTTAAAACTATTTGACAATGAAACACTTGTGAATATTACATTTTCTGCATTCTTAGAATTCTGATAATACCTTTCTCCCCTTCTCTCATGACAGACAATTTATTCTGACATAAAATTCTAGAATCATACAAATCTCCCCCTCAAAGTTGTTGAAGCTTCTCCAGTTTCTTCTCTCTCTCTCCGTCTCTCTCTCTTTTTTTTTTTTAAGAGACAGGGTCTCACTCTGTGGCCCAGGCTGGAGTGCAGTAGTAAGATCAGAGCTCACTGTAGCCTTGACCTCCTGGGCTAAAGTGATCCTCCTGTGTAGCTGGGATTACAGGTGCATGTTAACAGGCCTGGATAAATTTTTATATTTTTTGTAGAGACGGGATGTGTGAGTCTGTTCTCACGCTGCAAATAAAGACATACCCGACCCTGGGTAATTTATAAAGAAACAGAGGCTTGGGCCGGGAGCGGTGGCTCACGCCTGTAATCCCAGCACTTTGGGTGGCCAAGGCAGGCGGATCACAAGGTCAGGAGTTCGAGACCAGCCTGGCCAATATGGTGAAACCCCGTCTCTACTAAAAATATAAAAATTAGCCGGGCATGGTGGCAGGCGCCTGTAGTCCCACCTACTTGGGAGACTGAGGCAGAAGAATTGCTTGAACCTGGGAGGTGGAAGTTGCAGTGAGCCGAGATTGCACCACTGCACTCCAGCCTGGGCAACAGAGCGAGACTCCATCTCAAAAAAGAAAAATAAAAAAAATTAATAAAAAGAAAAGAAAAAGAGAAAGAAAAGAAAAGGAAAAAGAGGCTTAATGGACTCACAGTTCCACATGGCTAGGGAGGCCTCACAATCGTGGCAGAAGACGAAGGAAGAACAAAGGGACTTCTTATATGGTGGCAGGTAAGAGAGAGAACTTGTGCAAAGGGACTCATCTTTATAAATCCATCAGATCGCGTGAGACTTACTCACTAGCATGAGAACAGTATGGGAAAGATCCGCCTTCATGATCCAATTACCTCCCATCAGCTCCCTCCCATGACACGTGGGAATTGTGGGAGCTACAATTCAAGATGAGATTTGGGTGGGGACACAGCCACACCATATCATGGGTGTCTCACTATGTTACCCAGGCTGATCTCGAACTCCTGGACTCAAGCAATCCTCCTGCCCAGGTGCCAGGCCTCTCTGTTGTTTAGTGTGGGGAAAGAGCCAAGAGGTTGGATAATGTATGCAGAATACATGTTTTCTGAATGACTAAACCTGAATCTTCTATTTGCTCCACAGCCCAGTCTTTCCTGCCTGTTTCCCCTTCCTCAATCATTGTCCCCCCAAAATCCAGGAGAAGGCCAGGAGGAGCACTCTCTACAGGTGGACTTCCCATGTTCAGCTTCTCTACCGTGTTGCATGGAAAAAGCAGACTAACTGAACTTGTTTTCCTGCTGTGAAAGGAACCTCAGGGGTGCCTGAGTCCCCAGTGAAGTCTGAATTCCCGATAAGATGAAATGCCAGGCTGCCAAAAGCCCAGAGCTCGCTGCTGGCTGCCGGCTGCCTTGTGAGGCCTTTGCTCCATTTTTCGTCCCTGACTCATACTGGGACCTGCACAGCTGGGGGCCAACATCTTTCCTGCCCAGATTTGTGAGCGAGTCCAATCTCATGTCAACTTTCACTGAATGTCTGGAATGAATTTGATGACACAGTTCTTTCTCCTCTGGAGAAAAAGACAGGCGGAATAAACTCCAAAATATTTCACACCTCTATTCCTTTCTCTGCCCATCTGCAAAAGGCATTTTCCTGCCGAGAGAGAGCTGCCTGGACGATCAATGGGTCAGAACTTCTTAACCAGGGAGCAGAATTGGTTGCAGTGCACCACAATAGTAACTCCTGTTATCTGGGGTCTCCTGATGGGGTCTTGAACAGCTGGAGTCCTACCTACACAGTTGAGTGATCTCACCCATTTATCTTGGTACACAGTATAAAAATACAGTCATGTTTTAAGTCTGCCTTGAGCGCCAGCGTGACCAGGCCAAGCGAGGTCAGTAGATCTGCATAACTTCCTTCCAGGGCCTTCTCCTTCCTCCTTGGTCCCCACAGCGCAAACAATGCAGCCTCTTCTATCAAATAAGCAGACCCCCTTCCTAAAGGGTGGGTCCAACCATCAACCTCCCACGGGGGTCCAGATGTGAAGGGCAGGAGACACCAATGTAACCAGAGAGACGTCTAGAGTCTGACTGGTATGGTTTGGCTGTGTCCCCACCCAAATCTCATCTTGAATTGTAGTTCCCATAATTCCTGTGTGTTGTAGGAGGGACCCAGTAGGAGATAACTGAATCATGGGGGCAGTTTCCCCCATACTGTTCTCGTGGTAGTGAATAAGTCTCATGAGATCTGGTAAGTTTTATAAGGGTTTCCCCCTTTTGCTTGTCTCTCATTCTTTTTTGCCTGAATGCACAGAGTGTGGCTTTTATCATCGTATTAGTCCGTTTTCATGTTCTTCTAATGAAGACATACCTGAGACTAGGTAATTTATAAAGAAGAGGTTTAATGGACTCACACTTCCACATGGCTGGGGAGGCCTCTGAGATTTTTCCCTATATGAGGAATTAAACAGCGGGACCGAAATGAAAGGTATCCTGAGACAGACTCCTCCCTGCCAAGAACAGAGAGACAGACGTACCTTGGACAAGACTGCTTGGGAAGATGAGTAGTTTGGGCAAAGAAATGGAAGACTGGTAAAGGTATTGAGAAAATGCAACGTTCAAAGCAGAAAGCAGGGCTGGGCATGGTGGCTCATGTCTGTAATCCCATCACTCTGAGAGGCCGAGGCAGGCTGTTCACTCGAGGTCAGGAGTTCAAGACCAGCCTGACCAACACGGTGAAACCCTGTTTCTACTAAAAATACAAAAATTAGCCGGGCGTGGTGGCAGGCGCCTGTGATCCCAGCTACTTGGGAGGCTGAGGCAGGAGAATTGCTTGAACCTGGGTGGTGGAGGTTGCAGTGAGCCAAGACTGTACCACTGCACTCCAGCCTGGGGGACAGAGCGAGACTCTGTCTCAAAAAAAAAAAAAAAAAAAAAAAAAAAGGCAGAAAACAACAAAAAACCCAAAACAGTAGGTGCCAGACTATGGATAAATCCATTTGGACTCCTGCACATCTTGCCTCATTGGTATGGAGAGACAGGAGGACAGAGAGAAAAGTGACTCCCTGCCTTCTTTGGCCCACAAGGAATCAGCTCAAGGGAGCAAGGGGATGGGGCCAGGGCATGTGACTAAGCCTCTGCAGTCGACCCCCAGAATGCACTGGTGGCTTAGAAAAAGATGAAAATGCCCAGTAACACCCAAACGAAGATTGAGCACCTATTGACTCCCACAGTCTAGAAGAAATTTTCCACTAACAGCAAGATCTATGGAGCAGACATGTGACTCAGACATCGTGGTTGACTTTGAAAAGCTTTGCTCTCTGAAAAAGAGCACAAGATCATTCTGAGTGAAGCCAGGAAGGTGCTTTGACCTGCCCTTGAATACCTAGGGCTAGGGTGTCCCCAGTCTCTGCTCCTGAAGCAGCTCTGACCCCAACCCTAGCCTCTTGTACCAGCATTCCTCCCTCCACTCCTCTTCAAAGGCAATCAACCACAGACCATGTTGGAGGGGACAGGGGACCTTGACGTGGCCTTGCTGCTTGCCTGCCCGGCATCAGATGAAGTGAGGTGTGAATCTGTTGTTCCCACCTCTGATCTCATTTCCTACAGGTCTCGCCCAATGTGGGGTCTCATCATTGCAACCTCTGCCTCCCAGGCTCCAGCAATCCCCAGTCTCAGCCTCCTGAGTAGCTGGGACTACAGGTGCATGCCACCATGTCCACATAATTTTTGTATTTTTTATAGAGATGGGTGGTCTTGCTATGTTGCCCAGGCTGGTCTCCAACTAGGTTGCTATGGTGCCTGGAGATGTCTATTTCTTATAAAGCACAGCCCTGAACACATGTCAACATCAACAAGGGCTCAGATGAAGAAATTGATCTCTTGCAGCCTGGAGGAAATGCCAGCCGGATGCACGTAGGGATAGGGTGCAGCCGGAGTCCAGGTCACGTCGCAGAGCCTGGGCTTGTCACAGAGCCTGGGCTCTGTGGAAGATGGTATTCCCCTACATCATGGGTGAGAGGAGGCTGCATTTCAACTTGGCGTGTCACTTAAATGAAGACCTGTGAATACAGACAGCTTGTCTGGGAGCTAAGCCCATTGGTGGGTCCTCCGGCGGCAAATCTGAGAAGGGATGGCCACAGGACTGGGCTGTCGGCATGCCAAGTGTCTGGTCCCCACCTAGGCTGTCTGATGGCAGGTCAGAGAGGCTAGATGCAGGGAGAGCTTCCTCTGAGCCAGGAGCACAGCAGATGTGGCCTCATTTAAGTCTCATGGAGGAAGCAAAGGCTACATGATGCCTATTTTACAGATAAACACAGTGGAGTTCAAAGAGGTTAAATAACGTAGGCAAAGATAAGAAACAAAAGAGTGAGGACGGGCATGGTGGCTCACGCCTGTAATCCCAGCATTTGGGGAGGCCGAGGTGGGCAGATCACTGGAGGTCGGGAGTTCGAGACAAGCCTGGCCAACACAGTGAAACCCCATCTCTACTAAAAATACAAAAAATTAGCTGGGCATGGTGGTGGGTGCCTGTAGTCCCAGCTACTCAGGAGGCTGAGGCAGGAGAATTGCTTGAACCTGGGAGGCAGAGGTTGCAGTGAGCCGAGATTGCACCACTGCACTCCAGCCTGGGTGACAGAGTGAGACTCCATCTTAAAAAAATAAATAAATAAATAAATAAATAAATAAATAAATAAGGACTCCAGGGAAAGTCACATTGAGAAGGTGATATTTGAGGAGGAACATAGAGGAGGCAAGGGTGGGTCCATGTGGATATTTGGGGGACGGACATTCCAGGTACAGGGACCAGCAAGAGCAAAGACCATGAGGCTAGAACGTGCTCTGTGTGCTGGGGCTGGAAGGGAGATGAGGGCATGTGTTTCCACAATGAATATGTATCACTGGAGAACCAGATAAACGTTTCTCCTTTTAAAATGGAGATAATCACCATGCTGAAGTGCATTTCCTCGGGTAAAATTATAGGTATGGTTTTGGAGGACAGGTCAAAGGAGAAGCCCATTAGTAGCTCTCTGCTCCCAATTTCCACCACTATCCTGATGGGAGCCTTGACCCCAAATAATAATTCATTGGTGTCTCAGCCCTTCACACCAGCTTGATCTGACCCGCTGGAGTGCAGAATGTGTGAGAACTCCAGAGAATATAGTTCACTCTGCCCTCAAAGAAATGGGTTTTGTGATAAGCCAATTGGTGGCCCCAAAGATATCCACATCCTAATCCTGAGAACCTATAAATGGGTTACCTTACATGGTAAAAGGGCCTTTACAGGTGCAAAGATTCGCCTGGATTATGCGGATAGACCCTGTGAAAGGAAAATACCTTGGGACCCCAAAATTACTGAGCTAAAGGGAAAATTCAAGCTTGGAACTGGTCAGGGCAAATCTGCCTCCCATTGTATTTTGGAAAGACTTATCAGAAAAAAGAATGCAACCATCTGTCTCTCATCTTCCAGTGACCTAGAAGCTCCCTCCCTGTTTTGAGTTGTCCCTGCCTTTCTGAACAGAACCAATGAACTTCTTACATATATATATATATGTAAGATATATACATAAGATATATACATATATACATATATATATGTATATGTGTGTGTGTGTGTGTGTGTGTAATTTGGGGTTTTGTGTGTTTTTTTGAGACGGAATCTCGCTCTGTTGCCCAGGCTGCTGTGCAGTGGCATGATCTTGACTCATGGCAACCTCCGCCTTCCAGGTTCAAGTGATTCTCCTGCCTCAGCCTCCCAAGTAGCTGGGATTACAGGCACACACCACCACACCCAGCTAATTTTTGTATTTTTAGTAGAGACGGGGTTTCCCTGTGTTGGCCAGGCTGGTCTCGAACCCCTGACCTCAGGTGATCCATCTCGGCCTCCCAAAGTGCTGGGATTACAGGTGTGATCCACCGCGCCCGGCCACATATATTGATTGATATCTCACCTCCCTAAAGTGTATAAAACCAAGCTGTGCCCCAACCACCTTGTGCACATGTCAGGACTCCCTGAGGCTGTGTCACAGGTACGCGTCCTTAACCTTGGCAAAATAAACTTTCTAAATTAACTGAGACCTGTCTCAAATTGGGGTTCACAACCCTAAATGTAATCATGTAAGACTGGGGGAGAGAGAGATTTCACTAAAGAGGAAAAGGCCCTGTGGGGAAGGAAGATGGGGCAAGCGGCCACCCACCTTGTCACCAAAAGCCACCAAAGGGCATGGAAATGGATTCTTCCCTTGGAGCCTCCAGGAAGACACCTTGGTGTCAGCCCAAGGGAATTGATTACAGACTTCTGACCTCCAGAAATGTAGAATACATTTGTGTTGCTTTAAGCCACAAAGTGTATGATAATTTGTTATAAGAGCAACAGGGAATGAATAGAGATTTATTTTGGTTGTTGTCTGTAAAGTAAAGGGCTTTTATGCCAAGAGCTCACTCTGTCTGGAAGTAACTCATCATCAGAAATCTGGACACAGGGTAGGCTGTGGTTTGCTAGTGGCGGCCACACAGCTATTGGATTGCCTGGGTCGGGCCCTGAGGGTAAGCTGTGAATAGCCTCTAGAGTAAAGTGGGATGCAGGTGGAGTTCTCAACAGGGAGCCCACTCTATTCAATACCTGGGAGCTGTTTGCAGTCTGCACTGTCTGGGGATGATGAAATGGGAAACAAACAGGGCAAAGGAAAAACATTCATAACCTCACAGCACTCCTGAGAATAAACAACAGAGAAAATTCCCCATTGCACATCGAAGAGGATGTGCCAGTGTTCTCAAGTGGTTCATTTTATGTGAAACAGACAAGCATGTATTACAGATCTGAGTGAAGATGAGGACTTACTGAAGAAGCCATTGTCTGTCTGTCTGTCTCTCTCTCCATCTTTTTCTATGTGTGTATGTGTGCATGAGTAAGTTCCTTTTTTTTTTTTTTTGTTCTTTTTTGGAGATGGGAGTTTTGCTCTTGTTGCCCAGGCTGGGGTGCAATGGCATGATCTTGGCTCACTGCAACCTCTGCCTCCCAGGTTCAAGTGATTCTCCTGCTTCAGCCTCCCGAATAGCTGGGATTACAGCCATGCGCCACCACGGCTGGCTAATTTTGCATTTTTAGTAGAGATGGGTTTTCTTCATGTTGGTCAGGCTGGTCTCCAACTCCTGACCTCAGGTGATCCACCCGCCTCGGCCTCCCAAAATGCTGGGATTACAGGCATGAGCCACCGTGTCCGGCCATCAGTTCTTTTTTTCTTTTTTTGAGACAGAGACTGGCTCTGTTGCCCAGGCTGGAGTGCGGTGGTGCGATCTCGGCTCACTGCAACCTCTGCCGCCCAGGTTCAAGCAATTTTCCTGCCTCAGCCTCCTGAATGGCTGGAAGTACAGGTGCCCACCACCATGCCTGGCTAATTTTTGTACTTTTAGTAGAGATGGGGTTTCACTATGTTGTCCAGGCCGGTCTTGAACTCCTGACCTCAAGTGATCCACCTGCCTCGGCCTCCCAAAGTGTTGGGATTACAAGTGTGAGCCACCATGCCCAGCCAATGAATAAGTTCTTAGTAGTAATAAACTGAGAAAAAGTCCTCGAACTTGGTTCTTACTCAGATACCATCACATAGGGGCTGTGTGACTCATTGAAAGTTACTAAACTTCTCTGTTCCTTAGCTTCCCTGTGAAAAATAGAGATGATATTGTTTACAACATGTGGTTGTTATGTGGATAGAACTCTTTTTATTCCCAAATCACACATCTTCATTTTGCTGTGGCCCACACATAAAAAGTTAAGGAGAAACAAAGTCATTCAGTTTGTTATCGCAGAGGTAAGAACTCATTGACACCCTGATTCCCCATCCAAAGCTCCTTTGTGTCACTTTTATTGGCAGCTGCAGCTGTTCCGGAAAATAAAATGAATCACCTAAGTTCTCTGCCTCCTCATGCACATAAATGCAGACCCCGAGTTCAGGAGCTAATGGACTCATAATCTAGGATGGATTCTGCCACTAACTAGTTGCGTACCCTGAAGCAGGTCATTTAATGACTTGGAATCTGTTTCCTCATACATTTAATAGATAATCCTAATGATAAAAAGAATAGGGCCAGGCGCGGTGGCTCAGACCTGTAATCCCAGCATTTTGGAAGGCCGAGGCAGGTGGATCATGAGATCAGGAGTTCAAGATCAGCCTGGCCAAGATGGTGAAACCCCGTCTCTACTAAAAATACAAAAAATTAGCCGGGTGCAGTGGCGTATGCCTGTAATCACAGCTACTCAGGAGGCTGAGGTAGGAGAATCGCTTGAACCCAGGAGGCAGATGTTGCAGTAAGCCAAGATCGTGCCACTGCACTCCAGCCTGGGCAACAGAGCAAGACCCTGTCTCAAAATAATTAATTAATTAAAAGAATAATATGAATAGCAATAATATGATAAGAATAACCATAATAATGAAAATCCCTTCCTTATCCACCTTATAGAGGTTTTTGTGAGAATTAAATAAAGTAAGAGGCTGGGCGTTGTGGTTCGCATCTATAAGCCCAGCACTTTGGGAGGAGGAGGTGGGCGGATCACTTGAGCTCAGGAGTTCGAGACCAGTCTAGGCAACATGGCAAAACCCCATCTCTACAAAAAAATACAAAAACAAGCCGGGTGCAGTGTGGCAGCACGCACCTGTAGTCGCAGCTACTCGGGAAGCTGAGTCAGAAGAATCGCATGAGCCCGGAAGGTGGAGCACATTGCACTCCAGTGTGGGTGAAGGGAGTGAAACCCTGCCTCAAAAAAAAAAAAAAAAAAAAAAAAAACAAACCAAAAACAAGAAAACTAAATAATAAGAAATGTTAATTTTCTTCCACAAAAATATGCAAAGTAATACAAATATAAGACATACTGTTGATAGGCCCGTTAATGATGTGATGCCAATTTCATCTCTGTATTTAGGCTCAGAATGTCCATCTCTGCTCCAGGTGGGAGGCTGATGTTGTCCAATTCATAATTCTCCCTGAGAATGGTGAAATTTAAGTTCCTCGTGGCTAAAACACCCCTGCTTTTTTTTGTTCTCATTTAAAGAATGTCATGTAGGCTTTTAGGCTTCCCTCAACAGCTTCCATCTGGCATTCAGCAAAGCAAGAGGATGAGATGTCACTGCTATGACTTGTCTCGTTCTGGACAGTTCCTTTTACCACACCAATGACCCTAGGCAAGTAATTCTTATTGAATATCTTCAGATAGAGAAGAAAGCCATTTCTGATGGGGTTTTGAAGGGGACGGAAAAGAGTCAAACAGCAACAAAGTGCAATCTAAATAAGGAGATGCCTTTTTGCTTGTGCTTAGCAAATGAATGAAGTGTGGATTTACCTTGATTCTGTATGCAGGGACTGTGACTTTTGTAGATATGGGCACTTATTCAGAAACAAGTTCCCAGATGCCAAGGTGACTGCTGAAAACCCTTCAATGACTCTTAGTTCCTTCATCATTGAGTCCAAGTTCTGAAACACAGCTCCTAAGTGTTTCCTTTTTTGTTTTTTGAGACAGTCTTGCTCTGTCGCCAAGGCTGGAGTGCAGTGGCACAATCTTGGCTCACTGCAACCTCTGCCTCCCAGGCTTAAGTGATCCTCCCACCTCAGCCTCCTGAGTAGCTGAGATTACAGGCCTGCACTATCACGCCAGGCTAATTTTTTTTTTTTTTTTTTGGTAAAGAAGGGGTTTCGCCATCTTGGCCGGGCTGGTCTCGAACTCCTGAGTTCTGGTGATCCACCCGCATTGGCCTCCCAAAGTGCTGGGATTACAGGCGTGAGCCGCCATGCTCGCCCACTTCCAAGTGTTTCTATAATATCATCCAGCCTTGTCATTGTGTCCTGCCCGCGATGTCTTGATCCTCTGTATGCCAGCCATTCTACTTAGTGGCTGCTCTATGCAACAGGCTTTCTTTCATCCATGGGTTTTTGCCTAGTCTTTCTGTCTGGAACACCATTCTCTGACGTGTCCTTCTCCAAAGTGATTCCTCCTTTAGGCCTCAACTTCTCTGACATTCTCTGGCAAGCCTCCTAGAGTTCTAGGGGTTGGATGTGTTTTCTCTTACATGTGATCCATGTTATTCTATACAACCTTAATAGAGCACTTGCAACGGTGTGTGAGAATCGCCTGCTGACATTTTTGTTCTGTCCATGAGACTGTGAATTCCTACGGGATAGCAACCATGCCCTGTTGGTGGTTTTATCTCCATACTACTTAGCACACGTGAGCCCTAGATCAATATTTGTTGAATACAAGGATGAGTGCACATTGTCCTAAGAAACGGGTAAAACAACCAATGCATGGAGGAAAATCCTCACTTATGAAGAAAAATATGTGGCAAATGGAGACGTTCAACAAAATAAGCCATGATTCTATAGAAGCATTAAAGCAAGGAGAGGGGTGGAATAAAATCTAGTGACAGCCATGAGACTTAAGGAATGGAAAATACAGGATATAACATGGTAAAGAAAAAAAAAAAAAAGACCAAATAGAGGATGAAGAATCAGAAGACCAGGCGAGGCACAGTGATGAATGCCTGGAATCCCAGCACTTTGGGAAGCCAAAGCAGGACTGCTTGAGGCCAGGCATTTGGGACCAGACTGGGTACCATAGCAAGACCCTGTTTCTACACCCCTGTGCCCCTCTAAAAAGAATTAGCTGGGTTTAGTGGTACAGGCCTGTCATAACAGCTACTTGGGAAGCTGAGGTGGGAGGATCACTTGAGCCCAGGAGTTCAAGGCTGAGCTATGATTGTGCTACTGTACCCTAGCCTGGGCAGCAAAGTGAGATCCTGTCTCTTAAAAAACAAAAAAAAATCTTAAAAGTTAAATTGGCCCGGCGCAGTGGCTCACGCCTGTAATCCCAACACTTTGGGAGGCCGTGGCGGGTGGATCACAAGGTCAGGAGATCGAGACCATCCTGGTCAACATGGTGAAACCCCATCTCTACTAAAAATACAAAAATTAGCTGGGCATGGTAGTGCGTGCCTATAGTCCCAGCTACTCGGGAGGCCGAGGCAGGAGAATCTCTTGAATCCAGGAGGCAAAGGTTGCAGTGAGCCATCATGCCACTGCACTCCAGCCTGGTGACAGAGCGAGACTCCATCTCAAAAAAAAAAAAAAAAAAAAAACCAACAAAAAAAAACTAGTTAAATTAAATTACATAAATGACACAGAGTAAAAAGGAAGTGGCCACCTGCTATCTCAGTCTCCCTTTTAAAGGTAATTACGATCCACCCTAAAAAAAAAAAAAAAAAAAAAAAAAATCAGAAGACTTAAGTCAATTGAGCCCAGGCTGAGTGAAGAGTAGAAAAGAAATACGTATATAGAAGTGGTTGAGAGGAACAGCAAGGTAAGGAATGTGTCCCTTTCATGCTGTACAAATATTAGCATCAATTGTTAAAAACATTGGGAAAACTAAGCTATTGTGTTCTGAGATGTAAAAGTGTTCTGAGATGGAAAAGTGAAACTAAGGGGGTTATTATGATTTTTTTCTTAGAAGCCCAAAATACTCAGAATATCCTTGCACCAGTTTTAGTTCCCAGGGGAAGCCCTATGCAATTTGGAGACCTCCTTCTTCTTCCAGGAAACAATCAGACAGGATTCCAAGGTTAGGCCCGGGGCCCTCTGTTCATTAAACAGATGACAAATGCAGACTGCGTTTAAGCCATAGTCACTGGGGCACATATATGGTGTATGGGAATGTGGTACAGGACTCTGTTTTAGCTTTTTCATTTCTTTGAGACAGCGTCTTACTCTGTCACCCAGGCTGCAGTACAGTGGCTTGTTCACAGCTCACTGTAGCCTCAAACTCCTGGGCTCAGGCAATCCTCCCACCTCAGCCTTTCGAGTAGTTGGGACTATGGGTGCACATCACCATGCCCAGGTAATTTTAAAAAAAATTTTCATAGGGACGAGGTCTCACTATGTTGTCTAGGCTGGTCTCAAACTCCTGGCTTCAAGGAAGGGATCCTCCTGCCTTGCTCTCCCAATGTGCTGGGATTACAGGAATGAGCCACTGTGCCCTGCCAAGACTTTTGTTTTCATAACCAGCTCACAAACACGGCACTTGCCTAAGCCCCTGGCCTTTTGTTTTGGTAACTGATCACAAAGGTAACATGGCTGAGCTTATAATCCTCCAGTAACCAGATCACTAATATGGCACTTGGATAAGTCACACTTCCTTCTGTTTGTCTTACCAAATCATACATAAGGCATGCAGTTAGGAATTACAACCCTCTGTTTTAGTAACCACAGGGAAACATGGCGGCACGGGGTAAGTGGTAGAAATATCTATTATATTTAGGAACCATATCACGAACTTAGCCTGTGTTTAAACCGTAGCCTCTCCCTTTTAATAAACAGATCACAAATATGGCAAGTGGCATTGCCTCTCAGATCACAAATCGAGCACACGGCTAAGCTGTGCAATGTGACATTTGTTAGATTCAATTATACATCCTGGCCTCATCTTTTTAAATTTATTTGTTGCTTATGAAATTTTAATTAGCTAAAGAAAAACAAACACTTTATAGAAACAAGGTAACAGAGGCCATAAAGCACATAAACCACCAGCCCCATAGAAGCACTTAAAAAGATAGGTAGAGATCACATCTAGGAAGTTACAGAGTCAAGGCAGAGAAAACTGTAGAAGAAACACACCGACCCCACTAGAGTTGGCACTGTGAGGGCATCCGAGCAGCCATGGGGTAGACCAAGGACCTTTCCTTGTGAAGCTCTTTTGTCCTCGTGAATCATTATATGTGGGGACAGCTGGGAGTTATAATTTGGAATATTGCAAAGCAAATATGTACTTCTCTCACTTTGGGGTATATTCCTGCCTGTTGGTGTTAGACTCGGCTAGGTGACTTGCTTTGGGCAATGAGGTGTTAGCAGCTGTGGAATGAGCAGAGGCAATCGGTCATGACCTCTTGCACCAAAGACATCTCAATGAGAAAAACTTGCCTTGAGTTTCTGCTGCCTGGACCTAGAATGAATACATGAGACAGACCTGACCCAATTTCCTCTAGAAGCAGAGCCTCCCAGCTGAGCCCAGCCTGGATCAACCGGGTCTCCGCCTACCTGCGGATCCTGGAACATCAGGGTCAATGCTTCTTGTGATATGTCACTGAATTTGGGGGTGGCTGCAACCTCATTGTGCAACATTAACTATCACCCTTGCAATTTCCAAGGGCAAGAGTAACGACACGATGGGGGCAGGGAGCAGCTCCAGGGAAAAGGCTGCACAGGTGGACCTGGATCTGGAGTGGAGGTCAGGTCCAATGAATAAAAGGGAGGAAAAGACCTTGCATCTCTGCAGTGGTGCAATCGCATCTCTGCAGTGGTGCTGACTCCAGGTTCAGTGACTTTCACCTTCATAGAGAAACAGCGATGAACCGCCTTTAAGGGACTTATCTGTATTCCATGCTCTCTGCACATTCAGGAACTGTTTCTGGCTCACTGAGACTCATTCTATTTTATGGCAAATTCTGTCCCATTATTTCTCTCTGTCTCTTTTTTTTTTTTTTTTTCTGAGACAGAGTTCTGTCGCCCAGGCTGGAGTGCAGTGGCGGATCCTGGCTCACTGCAACCTCCGCCTTCCAGGTTCAAGCAATTCTTGTGCCTCAGCCTCCTGATTAGCTGGGCTTACAGGCACCCAACACCACGTCCAGCTAATTTTTGTATTTTTAGTAGAGATGGGGTTTCACTATGTTGGCCAGGTCGGTCTCAAACTCCCAACCTCAAGTCATCTGCCCACCTCGGCCTCCCAAAGTGCTGGGATTACAGGCGTGAGCCACCAGTGCCCAGCCAGAAAATTGTTATTTCTAAACAAGAGCCACTGGCCAGGCAAGGTGGCTCCTGCCTGTAATCCCAGCACTTTGGGAGGCCGAGGCAGACAAATCACTTAACGTCAGGAGTTCGAGTTCCGCCTGGCCAACATGGTGAAACCCTGTCTCTACTAAAATTACAAAAGTTAGTCGGGCATGGTAGCACGGGCCTGTAATCCCAGCTATTCAGGAGGCTGAGGCACGAGAATCACTTGAATCCAGAAGGCAGAGGTTGCAGTGAGCTGAGATCACGCCACTGCACTCCAGCCCGGGTGACAGGGCGAAACTCCATCTCAAAAAAAAAGACAAAAAAAAAAAAAAAAAAAAAAGCCACAAAGTTAGCTCTCCAGATCTGTTGGGCTTATTGTTAACCAGGTAACATAATTTAATAGATGTCTAGCCTTAGACATACCTTGATGGCTGATGTGTTTGAAATGCAAGAATAAAGAAAACATTGTGCAAATATCTTGGCATAAAACGTGAATTAACTATAAGGGAAGAAAACCCTTCTGGGACAATCCTTGGATACAACAGAGAGATTCCAGGACACAATGGAGAGATATCACTGAGTTTTTAGGGCAAAGGGCTTTTACTTAAGAATTTGACACCTGGGAAGGTTATGATCCATCTACAAGGCAACAGAATATAAATCAGTTATGCGAGAGCTCAAAAGCATAAAATCTATCACCCTTCCTAAAGAAATACTGAAAGTGCACATAGGCCCTGAGACATGAATCAAAACAAGGGGTTCAAGAATGGGGGTAAAACAGGGTCTTAAGGTTCTGTTTCTGAGAACTGAAACCATCCACATCTAAAATTTAATTTAAAACAAAGGCCTTAAACACAGCTATAGAACAAAATGGAAATGACGTGGTGATGGGTTGAAAGGGAAGACATAATATGAAAAACCAATAATTTTACCATAACAAATTGGATCTAAATCCCATATTACATAAGCAAAGATCAAAACGCCAGAACAGGAGGGATGAAAAGGAGGGGGGTGGGAGAAGTACTAATTTTATTATTTAAATGGGGGCAGAGTTCTTATTTAATTACACTGATTAGTAGATTAACGTTAAGTGGTAATTGTGGTAACAGGCATATTTATCATGTTACAGATTTTAATGGACATGGCTTTAGAGGCTGCATAAAATTGCCGTGTATTTTTCCAGATTTTGTTCTGCGGAAAAGAGTTCCAGGAAGTAAAGTGCTCTTCAAAAAAAGGAAAAACTCTGCCATGGTTAATATGAATGGAAATATAGCATATGATTTCCCCAACTGGAAATGAAAAAATGAAAAATGCCTGTTAGTATAAATCTTTTTAAGCAGGCTTGTAGTTAAGAGATCATTTTTTAAGTCTAGTGTTTGCCAGTAATTAAAGCAGGAAAATCTTTTCTCATGGACTATTGTGGTAAACATTTGGCATTGTCCTCTAACATCCATTCTGTCCCAGATGAGCATGTGACCCAATTTTGACCACAGAGATACTCTTTGATGCCCGCTTTATAGAGACAGGGTCTTGGTCTATCCCCCAGGCTGGAGTGGGTGGCACAATCATAGCTTGAGCCCAGTCTTGAACTCCTGGGCTCAAGTGATCCTTTTGTCTCAGCCTCCTGAGTAGCTGGGGCTACAGGCATGTACCACCACACCTGTGGTATGGTTTGGCTGTGTCCCCACCCAATTCTCATCTTGAATTGTAGTTCCCATAATCCCTGTGTTGTGGGAGGAGCCCAGTGGGAGGTAATTGAATCATGGGGGAGGTTACCCCCATTCTGCAGTTCTGGTGATAGTGAGTGAGTTCTCAGGACATCTGATGGTTTTATAAGGGGCTTTTCCCTCTTTTGCTTGCCACTTCTCTTTGCTGTAGCCATGTGAAGAAGGACGTGTTTTCTTCTCCTTCTGCCATGATTGTAAGTTTCCTGAGGCCTCCCCAGCCATACTGAACTGTGAGTCAATTAAACCTCTTTCCCTTATAAATTACCCACTCTTGGGTATGTCTTTATTAGCAGCATGAGAACTGACTAATACAACCTGCCTGATTTTTAAAATTTTCTTTAGAGAGAGGGTCTCACCATGTTGCTCAGGCTGGTCTCAAACTCCTGGCATCAAGCAATCTTCCCACCTTGACCTTCTAAAGTGCTGGGATTACAGACATGAGCCACTGAACCTGGCCCATTTTATCATTCTTGAGAGAGAGAGAGAGAAAGGGAGACCCATAAAAGAGATACTCCCCCTTTAAACTCTAGGTATTGTCATGTCTAGATGTGATGTCTGGAACTGCTGTAACCATCTTGTAACCGTCATGAAAATGACACTTTTGGGCCAGGTGCTCATGCCTGTAATTCCAGCACTTTGGGAGTTGAGGCAGGCACATCACTTGATGTCAGGAGTTAGAGACCAGCCTGGCCAACATGATGAAATCCCATCTCTACTATAAATACAAAAAGTAGCTCGGCATGGTGGCACACACCTGTAATCCCAGCTAGTCAGGAGGCTGAGGCAGGAGATTCGCCTGAACCCAGGAGGTGGCAGTTATAGTGAGCCGAGATTGCACCACTGCACTCCAGCCTGGGTGACAGAGTGAAGCTAAGAAAATGACACTTTTCTGGTTATCACTGCTGTATAACAGCTTAATCATTTTATGGATTCTGTGGGTCAGGAAAGAATCAAATGCTGGATTGGATTATCTGCTGAAGCCTTGTTCACGGTGCCAGAGCCAGAAGGAGTCTGAGACCAGGAGTGCCAACTCAGCCCCTCTCCATGGCCTCTCCAAATGGCTCAGCTTCTACCTAGCATGGAAGCCTCAGGCTGGCTGGACTTCTTATGGCGGCATCTCAAGGCACTAATTACAAATGATCCAGGAAACAAGACAGATACTGCATTCCCTTCCCTGACCTAGCATCACTCTTGCTGCATTCTCTGGGTTACAAAAAAGTCACATGCCCACCCAGATTCAAAGGGTGGGAAGGTGGACCCCTCTCTCTATGGAGGGCTGCCCAGGTCACATGCAGTGCCACGGCTGTCTTTGGAGAATGCAGTCTGAATGGAAGTCAGCACTAAGGCAGGGAGAGGGGGCTCAAAGAATCTGGGTTACTGTTGGGCCACAGATTCAACCAACCCTGAAGTTTTCCCTGACTCTGTTTTTGTTTTCTGAGATATTTTCCTATCCTTTAAGCCATTTAGAATTGGTGTGTTTTGTTTATGTTTTTGACTTGTTGCAAAAGTGTTCTAACAGAAGCAAACAGGCAAGGGGCAGTGGCTCACACCTGTAATCCCAACACTTTGGGAGGCTGAAGCAGGAGCATTGCTTGAGCCCAGGAGTTCAATGCTGCAATGAGCTATGGCTGCATCATAGCCTGTGTGACACCACAAGACCCGTCTCCACAAAAAATTTAAAAATTAGCCGAGCACAGTGGTGTGCACCCATAGTCCCAGCTACTTGGGAAGCTGAGTTGGGAGGATCATTTGAGCCCAGGAGTTTACAGCTGCAATGAGCTACGATTGCACCATGGCACTCCAGCCTGGGTGACACAGTAAGATGCTCTCTTTAAAAAAAAAAAAAAAAAAAAAAAAAAGAGAAAAAGAAAAAGAAACAAACCCCTTCTTAACATCCTGCAGGGCCAAGTGTGTGGAAGAAATTGTCCAGACAGTGCTTCTCTTTAGATATTAAATTCGGAGAGACCTGTGACTGTATGGCTGGGCTCTCTTAGGCATTGATT
Source organism: Homo sapiens (assembly GCF_000001405.40). NCBI lineage: Eukaryota > Metazoa > Chordata > Mammalia > Primates > Hominidae > Homo > Homo sapiens. The sequence goes on from NC_000007.14 coordinate 71,840,656, forward strand.
GAACCGCTCAGAGCAAAACCTCAGTTTCCTTATATATAAAATGGGGATAATAATACTAATGAATAGGACAGTTGTGAGGCTGAAATGAAGCAGCACTTATGAAATTTTTTTGTTGGCACAGAGGAAACAGTCAATAAATGGTAGCCTTCGTTAGCACTGTTTGACCATGACTATTTCATGGTAATATATGATAGCATTTTGGAGGGAAAACCACATTTTGGATACATCCTTTCTATATTTTACTAAGATATGTGGGTGTGTGTTTTAAGAATGTATTGAAGTCATTTTCCCTTTTTCTTTGGAAAAAAAAAAAACCTTTTTAAAGGTAAAGAGTCAGGGAAGCATCTGTCACAGAATGATAGCCTAGAGCTCTTCATTATCTTAGTGGAGACGTTTTGCAAACAACCAGAAATCCTTCCAAACTGAGTTAGGTAACAAACAGAGGCTATGTTGGAAGGACAAAAGGAAGTGCCATAGAATCCTAGGAGAGGAGATGAAGGATGCAACAACGGTTCTCCAAGTGTAACAAGGGTAGCTGTGTTCCACAGGATCATTGAAAGTAGAATGCACGACCCTCCCCAGACTCTCACTCCGGGAAGGCAGGCTGCTGCCTCTCTGCCCTCCCTCTCTCTGGGACTGTAAGACCCTCAGCTCTTTCTTCTTCTCTGTTCATGTGGCAGGAAGGAGCCTGCATGACTGATGGTTCCATCCGTTCATGCCTGCAAAGACTGGATGGAATCATCATGGGCCAATTCCAACAAGATCAACAAATCTCAAAGCAGTATGGAGATTTCCCAGAGAATTCAAAACAGAATTACCACTCAGCCCAGCAATCTGATTTTTACTGGATATCTACACAAAGGAAAATAAATCATTCTACCTAAGACACTCACACTTGTATGTTCATTGCAGCACTATTCACAACAGCAAAGACATGGAATCAACCTAGGTGCCCTAGATGGTGGACTGGATAAAGAAAATGTGGTAGATATACACTGTGGAATACTATGCAGCCATAGAAAGAGTGCAGTCATGGCCTCTGCAGCCACATGGATGCAGCTGGAGGTCATTATTTTAAGTGAATTAACACAGAAACAGAAAACCAAACACTGCATGTTCTCAATTGAGTGGGAGCTGAACATTGGGTCCATATGGACATAAAAATGCCAGCAATAAACACTAGGGACTACTAGATTAGGGACAGAGGGAGGGGGACAAGGGCTTAAAGACTACCTATTGAGTATTATGTTCACCATTTGAATGATGGGTTCAATAGATACCCAAACCCCAGCATTGTACAATATATCCATGTAACAAACCTGTACATGTACCTCCTGAATCTAAAAAAGAAAAAAAAAAAAGACAAAAAACAAATCTCCCAGCCCTTCTTGGTCAAGGGTCCGTGCCAGTTTGTTACTGATTAGGAGAGAGAGACATATGGCTCATATCTCACATAGGGAGGCTGGAGATAGCTAGATACTAGGCAGCAACTCACGTGTCTGCCTCTGTCCTAAAAACAAAGTCTAGTCCCGAGTAAACTCTTTGACAAGCAGGATTCACCCAATGTGACAATGGAGAATTGCAGCTTGAGTGTGAGTCCTCAAATGACTGAAGCAAGCAATACTATCCTGCCCTGCGGGAGCATAAAAGTGAGGACCCTGCTTTGTCCTGAAAGCTTACTCCAATTCACTGGATGCTCCTCCCAAATTTCTCCCTGATGTTGATCGCTGCCGTTTTGTCTGGGTTCTTAGAGACAGAATCCATTCTCACCTAAGATCAAGGGATGAGTCTGAGCTGTTGGGATTTTGCCCCTGTGGCTTAGCTGATTTCTTCCTGGGATTCTGGCAGCAGGGTTGGTGGCACAAGAGCAAGACATCCACGTTTACAGTGAATTCTGAATTAAGAAAACCTCAGCACAGCCTGGAATCCAGCCAGAGAAATACACCGGTACATTAGCTTCTCTGCTTCCATTTGCAACGTTCACCGATGCCTGCAAGCTGTGCTTGTTAGAGCACTTTGATAACATGCTAATACACTTAGTGAGGCAAAAATAAATAATAAGGCCTCTTCAAGCTTGCCTGGCTTTGAACCCCATAACTATTAGTACTTCCATAAGTAATTATTCCCAAAAGCTTACAGGTCCGTTCCTGTACCCTCAGCACTGCCTATCTTCGGGGTTATACCTCCTGTAACTATATTTAGACTGTAACATAACTACATTAGACTGTCATATTGCATTTTATCCTAACAATACTCTAAATACTTTACATGACTGTAAATCTGATTTACAAGGATTCTTGGAAAATCAGTGAAGGAAAATCCTAGACCTCCAGCATTCCAGGGTAGTGAGAGGTTGTTATTTCATTTTTTTCTCTGCTAGGCATTAACTAATAAAGGAAGAGATGTGAGGATGGGTATTGGACGGCCTCCAAATAAGAAATGTAGGTGAAACATATAATTGATAGAAGCTGAATCCACCATAATTTCTACATCTTCTTATTCTCCCTAAGAAGACACTTCTCCTTTCCCCTCTTTAAATTTCTTTCCTATGCTTCCTGAAGACCTCTTAGAAGCTGGGTTGGCCCATAAATGCAATGGAGCACCATCTTGAATTCACAAATAAAGAACGAACCAGCCAACTACATCAATGCACTCATTGCAACTAAGAGTAAAAAATTTTAGGCCAGGCATGGGAGCTCATGCCTGTAATCCTAGCGCCTTGGGAGGCTGAGGGGGATGAATTGCTTGAGCTCAGGACTTCAAGACTAGCCTAGGCAACATAGTGAGACCCTATCTCTAAAAAAAACTATTTAGAAAAATAGCCAGGCATGGTAGTGTGCACCTGGAGTCACAGCTACTTGAAAGGCTGCAGCAGGAGGATTGCTTGAGCCCAGGAAATCGAGGCTGCTGTGAGCTATGATTGTACCACTGCACCCCAGACTGGGTGACAGAGCAAGACACTGTCTCTAAAAAACAAACAAACAAACAAAACCAGAGAGCTAAGCTAAGCTCCTCATGGCAAAGATAACCCTCAGTTTCCTCATTTGTAAAATGGGACTAGAATGGATCTAATTAATACATTATACTTACACCATACTTATTATGCTCATGGGCACGCATGAGGTATGCTAAATGCCAGCAGCCACAAGCCCTCTATAAATGTTAATTTCCTCCCCTGTGTCCTCTTTCTTCTCTGACAGTGACTGAAATCTGCACACAGATGGCGTTAGAGATTCTACATAGTGTGCTTGATTTTCTGGATTGGTATTTAAGGGAGAGGAAGTGGGGTAACAGCATCAGAGAAGCAGCTAAATGCACGTTACTCAGGAATTGATCTCGGTGACTTTTTGGTTGATTTGCTGCACTGGGCATTCTGGCATTTATAGAGATGGACCCTGGAGTTGGGACAGTCATGTCACTTTTGCACAAGGAGCACACTGCGATATGATTTTCCTTTCTCCATAGAGCAGGCTACAAAAGACAGGAGAGCTGATTGTCATAGGGTGGCAAAGCTATCTTTCTGAAGCCTCATTCTTGGGAATTCCTTTTATGATGGTGATCTATGTCATTCCATCAGATGCCCCTGCCATCACCCCAGATAATATTTGCTCCTCCCAGAAATAGCTTGGAGCAAGGCCCAATTTTTTCTGATTTAATCTTACCTGCCTTCTTTATAATGACTCAAAAATGTGTTGCTACAGGACAAAACCAAAGTTCTAAGTTTATGTGACACTCACCCTGGAAAAACAACAGCTTTATGCATAGCCAGTTTCTTGAGCATAAATTTGGTACCAAGCATTACAATATCCTTAAGCAGATAAATAACAAATGGGGAAATAATTTAGTCATTTCAATTGGAACAAATTCCCAAAATATCTTCTTGTTATCACTTTGATGAATCAGACTCCAGAGTTCTTAGGGAACATATCACAATAACTAATTAAAGCTTTTAAGATGATGGAAAGGAATTAATATTAAATGGGTTGGACCAAAAGAGGGAACTGTAACACTTAGTGGAAAGGGCAGAAGAGAAAAGGAAGAAATCCTGGCTAAACTAAGAAATGATTGTGAAATGGACTCACCCCTGAGACAAATGTCAAAAGCAGGGAAGAAATCACATCTTCTACCAAATTCTGCCTTAAACTAAGGATCTGTAATTTATTGGAAACATCACATGTTTTAAATTGGAAACAACATACTCCTCCATCTGAGTTCTTTAATGTCTTATTTTTTTCAATTTTTTACATTTTTTGAGACAGAATCTTGCTCTGTTGCCCAGGCTGGAGTACCGTGGCATGATCTTGGCTCACTGCAACCTCTGCCACCCGGGTTCAAGCAGTACCTCAGCCTCCCAACTAGCTGGGATTACAGGCATGTGCCACCACACCAGGCTAATTTTTCTATTTTTAGTACAGACAGGGTTTCACCATATTGGCCAGGCTGGTCTCGAACTCCTGACCTCAAGCGATCCTCCTGCCTCGGCCTCCCAAAGTGCTGGAATTACAGGTGTGAGCCACTGCACCTGGCAGAATGTGTCTTACTTGTTCAATTTCACCTGGTTCCTGTATCTTGATAAAACAAGCTAAGTCTGAAAAACAATGTCAGGTAAGAATTTCATATGGAACATCTATACTGACGAATTCCATTCATCTTTCCAATTTGGCAAACACTCTGCCAGAAAGCAAGAACTGAGGAGGAGGCCTAGGCAGGGTTTCCTTCATGCCTGTGTTTCGTTTAGGTGTGGTCTGTGTGTTTCAATAACTCACCCACCTCCACTTCTAGAGGCTGGCTCTAAGGCCAACAGCTCCTGGCAGCTTGGCTTTGTTCACGGCCCAAGCCCTGGTCTCTCCTCTTCTACTTTGCCCTCTGCTGTTTGGCCTTATTGCAAGGGTCCTGACTTCCTGCTTTATGATTTTCTGCCTCTAGCCCTTTCCCCCTAGCCCTGAACCCTAATGCAGAGGTTCATCAGCATGGCTGGGGAACTTGTTAGAAATAGATACACTCAGGCCCCGTCCAGAGACTCTGGGGTGGCATCCAGCACCCAGAATTCAGCTGATTCTGGTCATCACTTCTAGGGCTGACCTGGGATTTCCCGCTGGGTTAAGATTAACACTCTCATCCGGGCACAGTGGCTCATGCCTGTATCCCAGCACTTTGGGAGGCTGAGGCAGGTGGATCACTTGAGGTCAGGAGTTTGAGACCAGCTTGGCCAACATGGTGAAACCCCGTCTTTACTAAAAATACAAAAATTAGCTGGGCATGGGGTGCACACCTGTAATCCCAGCTAGTAGGGAGGCTGAAGCAGGAGAATCACTTGAACCTGGGAGGCGGAGGTTGCCGTGAGCTGAGATTCCACTACTGCACTCTAGCCTGGGGGACAGAGCCAAACTCGGTCTCCAAAAAAATAAAAGATTAACACTCTCCTCCTGGATGTCATCGTCTTCTGCCCACTTTGCATAACAAAACAACAGCAAAGGAGGGTTGAACATTCAGCACCTGACTGACTGCAGCATTTAGGATACACCAACAAAGAATCGCCCTATGAAGCGAAACACACTTCTCATTGAATATATATTGATGCCAAAGTTTGGGAAAGCTGAAACCCCTTAAGTGATGTAATTGTTGCCGTTCTGATTCTCTTATTTTACAGAGATCAGCAGAGACTTGGGAGATGCCAGGCAGAGGTTATGGCCAGGCTGAGGCGCTGTCCATGGTCATGAAATAATGACACAGATTCTTCAGGAGGAAGAAAGGAGCCCGCAGTTTTCTGCTGAGCAGGAAAGGCACCAAACACTGCTCCTTGGGAAGCTGTACTAGTCGGGTTCCCCAGAGAAACAGAACTAATAGGATAAAAATATGTGTGTGTATGTGTGCGCGTGCGTGTGTGTGTATAGATAGATATAGATATGCATATATATCAAGCTTTTTGTTTTCCCCCATTTACAGTGCTATTCTTTACTTCTACAGGGTAACCCTCCTTCTATTGTGCAGAAATTTTCTGTGCAATATTCTGTGGGGTTTTATTTATCTACCTGTCTACTTGGAGGCTATATATATATATAGCCTACTAGGGATAGTAGTAAACAAAATCCATACATATATGTATATACACGTATATAAATATATATACGTGTATATACATATATATGAGCAATATATACATAAATATGTGTATATACATGTGTATATATTATATATGTATATATGTATGTATATATAATATATACACACATATATGTATATATAATATATACATACATATATGTATATTATATATACATATATGTATATATACATATATAATATATACACACATATATACACATATACACACACATATATATATATTGCTTATGTCATGGAGGCTAATAAGCCCCAAGATCTGCAGGGTAAGGTGGCAAGCTAGAGACCCAAGAGAGCTGATGGTGTAGTTCCAGCCCAAAGGGTGGCAGGCTCAAGACCAGGAAGAGCCCATGTTTCAGTCTCTTCTCTTGGTGAATTCCCTTTAAAGGGAGAGGAAGCCTGAAGGCAGGTGATATGGTTTAGCTGTGTCCCCCACTCAAATCTCATCTTGAATTGTAGCTCCCATAATTCCCATGTGTTGTGGGAGGGACCTGGTGGGAGATAATTGAATCATGGGGGTGGTTTCCCCACAATTCTTGTGGTAGTGAATAAGTCTCATGAGACCTGATGGTTATATAAAGGGTTTCCTGGCTGGGTGCAGTGGCTCACGCTTGTAATCCTAGCAGTTTGGGAGGCCAAGGTGGGTGGATCACCTGAGGTCAGGAGTTCAAGACCAGCCTGGCCAACATGGTGAAACCCCATCTCTACTAAAACAAAACCAAAACCAAAACCAAAACCAAAAACAAAAAAAAAATTATCCAGATGTGGTGGTGCATGCCTGTAATCCCAGCTACTCAGGAGGCTGAGGCAGAAGAATCTCTTGAACCCAGGGGGCAGAGGTTGCAGTGAGCCAAGATTGCACCACTGCACGCCAGCCTGGGCAACAGAGTGAGACTCTGTCAAAAAAAAAAAGGAGGAAGAAGAAAGAAGAAAGAAGAAAGAAGAAGAAAGAAGAAAGAAGAAAGAAGAAGAAAGAAGAAAGAAGAAGAAGAAGAAAGAAGAAGAAGAAGAAGAAGAAAAGAAGAAAAGAAGGAGAAGGAGAAGGAGAAGGAGAAGGAGAAGGAGAAGGAGAAGAAGAAGAGGAAAGTTTTCCCTTTTTGCTCGGCTCTCTCATTCTGTCTTGCCACCACCATGTAAGAAGTGCCTTTTTTCTTCTGCCATGATTGTGAGGCCTCCCCAGCCATGTGGAACTGTGAGTCCATTAAATCTCCTTTTCTTTATAAATTACCCAGTCTCATCCAAAAACACCTGAACAGAAATACCCGCAATAGTGTTAGACCAAATATCTGGGCACCCTGTTGTCTAGTCAAGGTAACACATAAAATTCACCATTGCAGAAGTGAAACTGGTTATAAGAAAGCACCCTGGGAGAATGGTACTTTGGGAATGCCAATTTTAAAGAATTGTAAAGAACTGTTCAGACTGTGTCAGATTAGCCAGATGTGAGCAACAATCCCACAGTCAGAAGATGGGATGATAAAGTATCCCCCTCAGAACTGCATCACATCTGTGCTTGCTAATCAAATTTGATGCTCACACCCGTATTTATACTGAATGGCCCCTTCTGTTCAAGAGCCAAGTTTGGAATTCTATTGATATCCAGAAGACCAAAGAGGAAGACCAAGAAGCACCAGCCATTCTGTGTCCTGGTATTTGTAAACTAGGGGAGACCTTTCTTCTTTGAAGGATAAACAGGAAAATAAAACCCCGTAGAATATTGCAAAGAAAATGTCTGCACTGTAAAAGGAGGGATACTTTGTAAACATACAGAATAACACTAAAGGGGTTATTACAGAAAAAAAGCTTAAAAGCCATCTGTTTTGTGTTCTCAATGAAACACACACACACATACACACACATAATATTACCTATGAAACAAGAGCTATGATAATTGAAGACTGGGATAGAATTATTTTAAGTTGAGAAAAAAGGGAATTCAAGAAAAGAAAAAATTTAATAATATTAAAACATAATAGAAAAAAATTACATTGGTAGTTGTAAAGTCCAATATCGATGATGCTGAAACTCTAACTCAGGTTACAGAAAACAAACTTGGAAAGCTCATCAGTCAACTATTCAGTTTACCCTTGGGTTGTTCACCTTTACTTTTTAAATTTTTACTCCTTTTATATATTTTGCATGCTAATCTTTTGTTTATTGTGAATGCTGCAAACATTTTCTCCTGGTCTGTAGTTTCTTTTTTAATTTGTTATGGTGGCTTTCCCCATGTGAGGGTTTTTAAATTTGCATTTAGTCAAAGCTGTTTGTTTTTTCCTTCTGGATACGGGTGTCTTAAGGTGTTTAACTCAATGGGATAAATATAATCCACTCTATTTACATCTAACCATTTTAGAATTCTTATGTGTGTTTAATCTATGTGTGGCTTATTTTTATAAGTGCTGCTGGGTGAGCATGTAGCTTTTTTACATCTCCAATAGATAGGCAGTTGCCCCAATTGTATTGAATATCCCATCCTTAGCCCAAGTGATTTAGCACAAGTTTCACGCTAAATTCCCACGTAGACCTGGGCATATATATGGACTCCCAGTCCATTCCATTGATCTAGACTCTATTCTATTTATGGCTAGTACTGCATAGGTATATGTGTGTCTTGATATTTGATAACTCTTTGTTCTTTTTCAATCTTGGATCTTCCTATTTTTTTTTTTTTTTGCCACATGTATTTTAGGATCAATTTAGCGATTCCATGAGAATCTTGTTAGGATTTGTTTATTAGTAATCAGGGAAATGCAACTTAAAACTATAGGATGCTATTTTAAATCTATCTAATTGGCAAAATATTCACATTTGATGGTATTGAGGGTTGGAGAGAATTTAGTAAGAAAAGGTCTTCTATATTATTAGAGTAACTTTTTCTTTTAAAAGGCAGGATGTTATTCAGTTGCCCAGGCTGGAGTACAGTGGTGCAATCATAGCTTACTGCATCCTCGAACTCCTAGGCTCAATGGATCCTCCCACTTCAGCCTCCTAAGTGGCTGGGGCTATAGGCGCATGCCACCACACCTCTGTCATTGTTTTGTAGAGATAGGGTCTATGATGCCCAGGTTAGTCTCAGACTCCCAGCCTCAAGCAATCCTCCCGCCCAGGCCTTCCAAAGCACTGGGATTAGAGAATTGAGCCATCGCACTCAACCCGTACTAGCAACTTTTAAAGGTGATATGACAATGTCTATTAAAGCTGAAAATGTGCATGGCCTACAACTTGGCAATTCTGCTTCCTAGAATCTCTCCTAGAAAAAGCCTCACACCTGCGTGCATGGAGGCAAGAACACATATGTTGCCTGAAGGATTCTTGTGAAAGGAAAAAGTACTGGAATCAAATGTCCATCATTAGAAAAACTAAGGAAAATATCCTTACATGGAATCTATGCCATATATCAAGAGATCTGAGTGCGTAATATACTGACATACTGTTTTTGTTGTTGTTTTTTCTTGGAGATGGAGTCTTGGTCTGTCACCCAGGCTGGAGTGCAGTGGCACATTCTCGGCTCACTGCAACCTCCGCCTCCCGGGTTCAAGCGATTCTCCTGCCTCATCCTCAAGAGTAGCTGGGATTACAGGCGCATACCACCACACCCAGCTAATTTTTGTATTTTTTTAGTAGAGATGGGGTTTTGCCATGTAGTCCATGCTTGTCTCGAACTCCTGACCTCAGATGATTCACCTGCCTTGGCTTCCCAAAGCGCTGGGATTACAGGCGTGGGCCACTGTGCCAGCCTGACATTCTCTTGAGTGAAATGAAAAGCAAGAATACTAAATGACTACGATATTATTTGTGGAAAAAGAAAAAATCACTCAAGAAAACAGTATATTTTTTGTAGGGGGGAGGTTATAGATTCTGGAGGGATCTATACTAAAGTAATAACAGTGGCTAGTTAGCTCTGCGGAGTTCAATATTTGGCAGGCAGGTAGTGGTAATGAGGTGAAAGCACACAGAACAATACAATTAGCTCTTAAAAGCATAGATTAGTGAATAAAATAAAGAACAGAATAAAATCTATGTTATGAATTTTGTTTACTACTATCCCTAGGCAGAAAGTAGTGGTTGACACATAGTGAGTACTCAATACATATTTGAAATGAATGAAAAAACAGAATACCATTTATGTACATTAAATATGCATGCAATATTGGCCTGGTGCAGTGGCTCATGCCTCTAATCCCAGAGCATTGGGAGACTAAGGTGGGAGGATTGCTTGAAGCCAGGAGGTCAAGACCAGCCTGGGCAACATAGCCAGACCTCCTTTCTATAAAAATTAAAAAATGGATTAGCTAGGCACGGTGGTGCACACCTGTAGTCCTAGCTACTTGGGAGGCTAAGGTGTGAGGGTTGCGTGAACCCAAGTTACAGTGACCTGTGACTGCATCACTGCACTCTAGCCTGGGCGACAGAGAGAGACCTTGTCTCAAACACACACACACACACACACACACACACACACACACACACACACATCACACATATACAGCTGGGTGCAGTAGGAGGCCGAGATGACCACTTGAGGTCAGGAGTTCCAGATCAACCTGGTCAACATGCCAAAACCCCATCTCTACTAAAAAAAATACAAAAATTAGCCAGGCATGGTGGTGGGTGCTTGTGATCCCAGCTATTCGGGAGGCTGAGGCACCAGAATTGCTTGAATCTAGGAGGCGGAGGTTGCAGTGAGCTTTGATCATGTCACTGCACTCCAGCCTAGGTAACAGGTGAGGCCGTGTCTCAAAAAAGAAAAAAACAGTATATATATACATATATATATGAATATATACACACACATATATATATTCACTAAAAGCAAAAATGCAAATTTTGCACCAACAGCCACACATTAAAATCCTTTGGATAATTGCCCATAGGAATAGAGGTGGAATAGGAGGGAAACAGAGAGAAAAGGAAATAAACAAATGAGCAAACAAACAAGTAAGAGAGAGGCTTTGCATGGATCTAAGATGGTGTCCTACCCTAAATGGAGAAATATAATAGATGCAACTCTCCGCCCCGATGCAGAAAAGTGCACAAACAAACAAATGTGTCTGTGAACTGACAAGAAAGGAAGAAAACTCCAGAGGGCAGACATTAAGAACAAGCAGTTAATTAAGGGAGAGCTCAGAGCTGGCTTTTTTCCTGAGAGGATCTGCCCAAGCCTGGTGCCTGGAAGCTGTGGTTTAATGACCCTGCAGAACCCGAGGGACAGGAGGCAGAGTCTATGGACCACACAAGAGGAGGATCTAAAGGAGGTTCTGCAAGAAGGCAGAATCCTCAGAGCCAGGTGGAATGGTTTCGATATTCATCCATGTCATTAGAACATGATTAGTTCATTCCATTTTGTCATCGAACAGCATTTCATTGCACACGTTCACCACAATTTTGTTTATCTGTTCTCTGGTTGATTGACATTTGGTTGTGTCTAGTTTGTTGCTATTACGATCAAGACTCCATGAACAATCTTGTACACATCATTTTACGGACATATGTTTTCACTTCTCTTGGGAAAATACCTAGGAGAAGAATGTTTGGGTTAAAGAACAAGTATGTATTTAGCTTTATAAGAAACTGCCGACTGGGCACAGTGACTCACACCTATAATCCTAGCACTTCCAGGAGCTAAGTGGGGAAGACAGATTGAGCTCAAGAGTTTGAGACCAGCCTGGGCATTATAGTGAGACCCTGTCTCTAAAAAAAAAAAAAAAAAAAAATCTTAGCTGAAGTGGGAGGATCCCTTGAGCTCAGGAGTTTGAGGCTGCAGTGAACCATGATCGCACCACTGCACTTCAGCCTGGGTGACAGAACAAGAGACTCTGCCTCAAAAGAAAAAAAAAGAAAACAGAAACTGCCAAACAGTTTTCCAAAGTGATCGTAACATTTTACACTCCTCTCAGTCATGTCTGAGAATCTCATTTACTCCACATCCTTGCCAACATTCGGTATTTTCAGTCTTTTCAGCTTAACTTTTTTTCTGGGCAAGAAGTGGGTAACTCACGGCTGTTTTAATTTGTAATTTATCTAGACAAATGATGTTGTACGTCTTTATATTGATTGTGCTTATTAGCCATTTGTATATTTTCTCTTGTGAAATAACTAGATGTTGAGCACAACCTTTACAGGATTGTTTGTCTTTTACAGTATTGAGTTGTGAGACTTTAAAAATATATTTAATATATTCTGCTTACGACTCTTTTCTCAGATAGATACGTTGAAAATATTTTTTTCCTAATCTGTGCCTTGCCTTTTCCTATTCTTAGTGGTTCCTGTTAGAGAGCTGAAGTTTAAACACTTATTATTATTTGCTTTTTTTTTTGAGACGGCATCTCACTCTGTCACCCAGGCTGGAGTGCAGTGGTGCAGTCATAGCTCACAGCAGCTTCTAATTTCTGGGCTCAAGCAATCCTCCTGGCTGAGCCTCCCAAAGTGCTGGGATTACAGGCATGAGCCACTGCACTCAGTCTAAAAAGTTATTTTTAAAATTGGATTTTAAAATAAATTTGAAAATATTTTCTAAAATTTTATTTATATAATTGGCAATTAAAAATTGTATATATTATTATTTATGGCATCTAATTTGATGTTTTGATATATGTATACATTATGCAATGGCTAAATCAATCTATTTAACATATACATTATCTCATATGCTTATCAGTTTTTGTGATGAGAACATTTAAAATCTCTCCGCAATTTTAAAGTATACAATATATCTTTATTGAGAGTCTTCACAATGTATGATAGATCTTTTGAAATTATTTTTCCTGTTTAACTGAAATCTTCTGTCATTCTGAAATTTTAATTTTTTTTTTTTTATTTGAGACAGGGTCTTGCTCTGTCAGCCAGGCTGGAGTGCAGTGGCATGATCTCAGCTCACTGCAACCTCTGCCTCCCAGGCTCAAGCAATTCTCCTGCCTCAGCCTCCCGAGTAGCTGGGATTACAGGTGTGTGCCACCACACCTGGCTAATTTTTGTATTTTTAGTAGAGACGGGGTTTCACCATGTTGGCCAGGGTGGTCTCGAACTCCTGATCTCAGGTAATCCGCCCACCTCGGCGTTCCAAAGTGCTGGGATTACAGGAGTGAGCAACTGCGCCCAGCCTGAAGTTTTAAATTTTGATTAAGTCCATGAGTCCATTTTTTAATGGTTCGTGATTTTCATGTTCTGTTCAGGAAACCTTTGTCTACCTCCAGTTGTGAAGATACTCTGTTTTCTTCCACAATCCACATATTTCTATGCTTTTGGGACTATGATCAGCCTAAATTAATTTGTGTGTGTGTGTGTGTAGGGTTTGAGGTAGAGGCCAAATAGATGGTAGAATTTTAACTTAAATTTGGATCCTTGATATTTGCTTTAAAAAGTCTTTACACAACATGGGCTAGAAGAAAACACCCCAAACCATTGACAGTGTGTGTTCCTGAAAATGAATGGAGAGAAAGAAACAGGCCGGGCAGGAGGCTGAGGCAGGAGAATCTCTTGAACCTGGGAGGCAGAGGTTGCAGTGAGCTAAGACCATGCCACTGCATTCCAGCCTCGGTGACAGAGCAAGACTCCCTCTAAAAAAATAACAATAAAAAACAGACAGACAGACAGACAGAGAAAGAAAGAAAGAAAGAAGGAAAGAAAAAAAGAAACTGAAATGGCATACAAAAGAGATATCAATGAAATCAGGAATGTGCTATTTATTTTAAGAGGAAAGAAAAGGTCAGAAGCAATTATAGCAAGTTGGTGATGTTTGTTCATTCTGCATTGTGGTTACATGCATGTTTGTTGTAAGGACCTGGTTCTTTTTCCTACTGCAAATAATTTTCCAAGTAAAACCAAGAAAAAGTGTACACTACAAAGTAGCAATAAAAAGTTACTTTGAAGATTGGCAGTTTCATGCTAGACAGTGCAATTAGATGCAGTTGAAGTTGCCAAACTCTCTCGAAAGATCACAGAAATTTTCAGATTTGGAGAAGCCACATAGCTGATTCATTCACTGTGAGTGTCTGTCAGTCAGTGGGTGATAACTGTCAGAAGCTTCGGGCTCATTTCCCAAGAAAAACTATATAATGTGAAGCCAAGCTTAATTCAATTAAACAAAGAAAATAAATCACGGCTTCCCTTAAACATTAAGAAGCAGAAAATCTCACAGTTCTTTGATACATCTCAAAACTATGCTGCAATTCAAAACGATGCTAACCCTGTCTGGACAAGGGCTATGAACTGTGAAAAGCTCTGTGCTGTTCTGAGGTTCTGTGTAAAGAACTGCCGATGGCTGAAAGTGATTTAGAACATGCTTCATACTAACTGTGAACACAGCTTAAACTCAAACTTCGAGCTAATAAAGAAGAAAGGGATATGGAATTGTATGCATCAATGCATGCTAAGGGGAATTGAAAAATAAATATGCATTCTAGCGTCGTTCTCCAAGTGTGGTCTATGGGCTGGCAGCATTACCCGAGTGCTGATTACAGATGCAAACTTGCATGTCTCAAGTCTGACTTACTAAATCAGGGGGAGTAGCTCAGGAGTCCGTGTTTCATGAAGCTTTCCAGGGGATGCTCTGGCTGACGCTGGACAATGACTGCTTTAGTGGAAATGTGACATTCAGTTTTAGGTGCACACGGCACCCAAATTTCCTTTCTACATTGGGCGGTGCTTCATCTTAGGAGCCTTGGTAAGTATCCCCCACCTCAACTTGGAAGCCCCAAAGGCCATAAATGTCACCATCCCCCATGCAACTGAGATTTGGGCATGTGACCCAGGCTTGGCAATTCAAATGCAGCACCCCAGCCTTTCAATCTGGAGCTAGGGCTGCAAAGAAGCTGTTTTGGAGGTTCCGTCTGACCCTAGGCAGCACCCAGGGTGTTGTGGTCCCTCGTGGGCACTCTCAGTCCCCTAGTGGCAGTGAGGGTCTTGCTGTAGCTTTGGTGATGGCATTTGGACTCTGGTGCTGGCTACCCTATACCTTACTTATTTCCTATGCCTTCTCCAAGCCTGACCCACCAGCCTTCCTGTCAACTCTGTGAGCTACCCAGTGCTTTAGAATACATTTCTTTTCAGCTTAAATTGGTCAGAGTTGATTTCTGTAGTGGGCATTAAGAGTCCTGACTACATGTGCATTGAATGCAGTGCTTTTTCATTTATTTTATTTTGGTTTTGCTCCAAAGGCACTTTTTCAACTGATATTATGTCTGTGTGCGTGCACATTATATACACACACATACATATACATATTGAGACAGGGTCTCTATGTATGTATGTATTTTGTATATGTAGATATGTATATATTTGAGAGTTTCAAATATATATGAATATATTAAAGATATGCATGTATATATTTGAGAGTTTTCATATATATATTTGGAACTCTCAAATATATACATGCATACATACATATATACAGCCCTTGCCTGGGGTGATACATATGTAAATATACATATATATTTATAAATATACATATACATATATTTAAACTCCTGAGCTGTTCATTCTGCAATCCTTCATTAATTTTAATGTAAATATTTTGTATGTATATATTTTGAGACAGGGTCTTACTCTGTGGCCCAGGTTGGAGTGCAGTGGTACAATTACAGCTCACTGGAGTCTTGACCTCCAGGGCTCAAGCAATCCTTCTGCCACAGCCTCTCCAGTAGCTGCAACTACAGGTGTGCACCACCACACCTGGTCAATATCTTTGATGTTATATTTTAGAGTCAAAGATGTTTTTAGAATTTAAAAACATTACTTATTATATGTATATATATGAACATATACATCTAGATGTGGAGGTAAAACATCTGGAAAAAATAGATCATACTGTTTAACTGCTTCATTTTCCACTGTTCTGTATTTTTATATTTGTTTTCCCAAGACTATACATGTATGTCCAAATAAAAAATAATAACTGGCCGGGTGTGGTGGCTCATGCCTATAATCCCAGCATTTTGGGAAGCTGAGGTGGGCAGATCACTTGAGGTCAGGAGTTCAAGACCAGGCTGGCCAATGTGGTGAAACCCCATCTCTACTAGAAATACAAAAATTAGCTGGGTTTGGTGGTGCATGCCTATAATCCCAGCTACTCAGGAGGCTCAGGTGGAAGGGTCGCTTCAACCTGGGAGGCGGAGGTTGCAGTGAGCTGAGATCGTGCCATTGCACTCCAGCCTGGGTGACAGAGTGAGATTTTGTCTCAAAAATAAAATAAAATGAAATAATAATAATAACTGTAGACAACCTCATGGTGTGTATATGTATGTGTGTGTGTGTGTGTGTGTGTGTGTGTGTGTGTGTGTGTGTTGCAAACTAAATTTGTCCAGGCCTAAGTGTAGAAACTATGTGTTATTCAAATGGACCATGCTTCTTTTAAAAAAGAATCAGAAATTCAAACAAAGATGTAGGTCAAAAATATCTATCACAATTATTTGTAATTAATACAAAGGACATGAGTTAAATAATCTCACAAATGGGCTAAGTGAATTTTGGTGCCTCCATATTCTGCAATCTTACATGGCTATTAAATATTAGATTTTTGAAGAAAGCTTCATTCTGCATCTTCCCGCCTCTGGCACTGTCATATTGCTCAGAGTTAAGAATTCAATATAGGGAATGTGTCAGACCCTTGTGAAGTGGGAATTCACCCTGTGAGTCAAAGGAGTTTAAATGGAGGGGCTGGAAGTGCTGTCAGGGCTCTCACCCATTCTGGCTGAGAACTGCTGCCTTGGGCGTTTCAAAGGATTGCTCCTTTAGAAAATCATCAGGGGAGATTTACCCACATCCATCCTTCATCCTGTCTCCAGACAACTGGCTGTCTCACCGACTCCTCTTCCCTCTCCTCCCCCTGTTCTCTTGGTGGAGTTGCCCCCGCCCACTTAATCAGGCGAGCGCTGAGGCTGCAGAGGTGGCACTGGCCAATCACCCCAGGCAAGGGCTCTGCGATCCTTCATTAATTTTAGTGTAAATTAAATTGTTCAATTTATTCCTTCCATGGGAGAGGGCCCAAGGACCAAGGTATCTTAAACCAAGATGTCTGATGAAAATATAAAACAATAATTAGAAAAGGAAAAAAGGCATAATGAGAAATAGCTGAGTCCTTCATGGTTCAGAGACTCCAAAGGCCACATCACGTTCCTGGGAATGCTGCATATTCTATATTTCTATTATCAAGGAAGTGGGCCAAAGAACTGCAGAATCCTGGCACTTAAGAAATCAGGTGATGATAAAAATGTCACAAAAGATGTGCAAAAGGCAAATAAATCTCAGGACCCCTGATATGGTTTGGCTGTGTCCTCACCCAAATCTCATCTTGAATTGTAGTTCCCATAATCCCCACGTGTCATGGGAGGGACCCTGTGGGAAGTAATTAAATCATGGGGGTGGTTACCTCCATGCTGTCCTCATGATAGTGAGTTCTCATTAGATGGGATGGTTTTGTAAATGGCTTTCCCCTGACTTCACTCATTCTTCTCCTTCCTGCTGTCACGTGAAGAAGGACGTGTTTGCTTCATCTCCTGCCGTGATTGTAAGTTTCCTGAGGCCTCCCCAGCCATGCTGAACTGTGAGTCAAGTAAACCTCTTTCCTTTATAAATCACCCAATCTCGGGTATGTCTTTATTAGCAGTGTGAGAACAGACTAATGCAACTCCCAAATCACTAAGTCAAAGGGAAGAGTTGAGCTGGGAACTATGTCAGGAAAACCTGCCTCCCATTCTGTTCCTATACAAGATAGCTACAAAGAGTAAAGAAAAAAAAAAAAGCTACAGACCTCCCTCACAATTTGCCCACCTTGCCCACAAGGAAATTCCTTATGGACAGAGGACAGACAGAACTCAAAGTCATCCTTCTGCTTATGTGAGACAAATATATATCTGATTGCTTCCCCCGCCCTAATATTTCACTAAGCCCTCCTCTCACATGTAAATTGTGTGTTCAGTGAAAGGCCAATCAGAGATTCAAAAGAGTGAATCTACCTATGACCTGGAAGCCCCCTCCCCACCTCAAGTTGTCTTGCCTTTCCCGACCTAACCAATGTACATTTTACACATACTGATTGATGTCTCGTGTCTCCCTAAAATGTATAAAACCAAGCTGTGCCCCGACCACTTTGGGCACATGTCATCATCAGGACCTGCTGAGGCTGTGTCACGGGCACGTCCTTAACCTTGGCAAAATAAACTTTCTAAATTGACTGAGACCTGTCTCGGATATTTTGAGTTCACAGATGTAAACTGAACAAGTTCAGAGTAGAAGGGGTCCTCTGCTGGGTAATCATTTTTCTTTTTGTCTTTTTTCTTTTTTTGTATGTTTGTTTGTTTGTTTTTGGAGACAGAGTTTTGCTCTATCCCCAAGCTGGAGTGCAGCGGCATGATCTCGGCTCACTGCAACCTCTGCCTCCTGGGTTCAAGCAATTCTCAGGCCTCAGCCTCCCAAGTAGCTGGGATTACAGGCATGTACCACCACATCTGGCTAACTTTTGTATTTTCAGTAGAGACAGGGTTTCATCATGTTGGCCAGGCTGGACTCCAACTCCTGACCTCAAGCAATCTGCCCGCCTCAGCCTCCCAAAGTGCTGGGATTACAGCCACTGTGGGCATCATTTTTTATTTGTCTGTTGACCTCCGGACACCAAGTCAGTCTAAGCCACTCTTCATGTTGATGTGTTTCTATCACTTTATGCTGTCTTTGAAAGGAATGTGTATGGGTTGTTCCCGTCAGAGGCCTCTAGGAACTTCTGTTTCTCCTTCAACCTCCAGTTGACATCATGACCCTTGGCTATATGAGTTTGAGACTGTAAGTGTGGACTCCTGTATCCAGGTACACTCCAAATTCATTTGATCTCCTGTCTCCTCTGCTCATTCCAAACTTGAAAGAATCTATAGCAATGAAGGATATCAAACCAGAGACTAAATTAGAAGTTGCCCTTCCTGGCAATGTGGCCCTGCTGCATGGTGTATATGAATAAGCTGTAGGATGGAAAATCCATCACTGTTAGTTCTTTTTAACTGAGCCCATGCGGACACGGTGTCAGAGGCGTGGGTACCAGAGTGACTCCATCTTGAATAGGGGCTGGGTAAAATAAGGCTGAGACCCACTTGGCTGCATTCCCAGGACATTAGGTATTCTTAGCCTCCAGAGGTGTATGATTAAGGGAACAGATTGATAACATTTACTAAACAGACCCAGACTCAGGAATGTCCTAATATCCCGATATCTTGAGAACAGGAACATTCCTAGTCTTGCTTTAAAGAGAATAATATCAATTCTTGCAAATATAGTAATTAAGAAAATTAACCCTTTATCACAAACCCTTGTAGTAGAGCATATCTCCCAGGATATTTTTGCTACCCTGTATAAACAAGCATTGTACCTAGGGTGGGTGCATTCCTCCTTTCGGGAAAGCCCTGCTCTGCCTTTATTGAGCATTCTTTATTTTCATTTTTTTTTTTTTTTTGAGAAGCAGTCTCGCTCTGTCACCCAGGTTGGAGTGCAGTGGGGTGATCTCAGCTCTCTGCAACCTCCACCTCCTGGGCTCAAGCGATTCTCCTGCCTCAGCCTCCTGAGTAGCTGGGACTGCAGGCACATGCCACCATGCCCAGCTAATTTTTGTACTTTTAGTAGAAACGGGGTTTCACCATGCTGGCCAAGCTGGTCTTGAACTCCTGACCTCGTGATCCTCCCGCCTTGGCCTCCCAAAGTGCTGGGATTACAGGCATGAGCCACCGCACCCAGCCTTGAGCATTCTTTTATTCCTTTACTTTCTTAATAAACTTTCTTTCACTTTACTCTATGGACTTGCCCTGAATTCTTTCTTGGGTGAGATCCAGGAACCCTCTCTTGGGGGCTGAATCAGGACCCCTTTTTGGTAACAACAACACTAATAGTTATGACATGCCCCATAAAAAATGACATGACATTGTTACACAGCAAAGAAACACCAGGTCAATGTCACATTGCAAGCCTTTAAGGCCACGTACCACTGCCAGGAGAGGTTGAAAGTGAAAGACAGAAAACAGGCAGCGAGGAAGAGTCTTCAGAGTAAACTTCCAGGGAGCACTCTGCCAGGGATGATTAATGCCTGAATCCTCCCTGGGTGGTGCTACTCTCACCAAAGCTACAGAGAGCATTTGCTGAGGGGACATTTATAGGCAGAGGATGATCCCACGGAGAACTCTCTGTGATCAGGAGACCAACGATGACAAAGAGAACCATCTAGTTCAAAGTAACCCACATTATTAACTTAACATGTGTGGGTCTTCAAAGAGGACCATTTAGGTCAGATACAGAGAGGCAGAACAAGGAAAGAAGAGAAGACACTCCTTCCTCATGTCTCCAAGAGATGCATGGAGACATGCATGCTTAACACTGAACCCTGAATGCCATTTTGCATGCATAAAGCAAACTGGTGTGTTGTGGTGTGGGGTGTGTGTGTGTGCGTGTGTGTGTGTTACGCTTATGCAAGTATAAGCTGACCGATAAACATTAATTGAGCATCTACTTGTTTTGGGCACCAAACTGAGTGTGCAAAAAAGAGAGACACCTTCCCTGACTTCAAGAAATGTATTACTCTATCCCTCATTTTGAATTGGTCTCTTCACTTAACTTTCTTGTCCTTACAAAATCTCTTTTTTAATCCCTTCTGGTGTTATTTAATAGCATCAGGGGAAACTCAGATTTGGACCCCACCCTCAGAAAGATCTCATAGGTTATCAAATCTGTGTTCAAGAGTAATGTCCAGGCAAGATGTGGTGGCTCACACCTGTAATCCCAACACGTTGGGTGGCCGAGGCAAGGGGATCCCTTGAGACCAGGAATTCAAGACCAACATGGTAACATAGTGAGACCCTGTGACTACGAAAAAAAAAATTACAAAAATTAGCCAGGCATTGTGGTGTGCACCTAGTCCCAGCTACTCGGGAGGCTGAGGTGGGAGGATTGCTGGACCCTGAGAGGCTGAAGCTGCAGTCAGCCCAGGTCACACCACTGCACTCCAGCATGGGTGAAAGAGTGCAACTCTATCCAAAAAAAAAAAAAAAAAAAAAAAGAGAGAGAGAGTAATGTCCAAAACATGTTGATTGGGTTTCCTGCTTTAAGGACTTTACTTTAGCCTGGTGTAGACCTTTCCAGGTCCTTTTCAGTTTCCTTAGAGAATTCCAGGGCTGCCTGTCTACTTAGATGAAAATCCTTGACCATCCAAGACAGGCAGAAGCAGGGAATGGGAAGCTTCACCTTAAGGTGCTAGCTTGTGAGCTGTGCTTGCTTCCTCAAAGGTTAGCAACTAACTAACTTTCTCTAAGACGTGGCCATCTCATCTTTCCTTGACCCTTTTGCGCTGGACAGAGAATCCCGAGCCTAATTCTCAGGAACAACTAGCCTCTCATAAATCTGCAAAGGTACCTGCTGTAAGCAGCTGGGATTCAAGGCTTACGCCCCTTTGAAAAATCTAGGGTGTGGCTGAAATTAAGATCAGCACATGCTGGAGACACTAGCGTATGCTGTTAAGGCCCAAGAATGCTGATACGATTTGGCTGTGTCCCTACCCAAATCTCATCTTGAATTGTAGCTCCCATAATTCCCACGTGTCATAGGAGGGACCCAGTGGAAGGTAACTGAATCATGGAGGCAGGTCTTTCCCGTGCTGTTCTCATGATAGTGAATAAGTCTCACGAGATCTGATGGTTTTATAAAAGGGGCTCCTGCACACACCCTCTTGCCTGTTGCCATGTAAGACGTGAATTTGCTTCTCCTTTGCCTTCTGCCATAATCATGAGGCCTCCCCAGCCATGTGGAACTGTGAGTCTATTACACCTCTTTCTTTTATGAATTACCCAGTCTCGGGTATGTCTTTATTAGCAGCATGAGAACAGTTTAATACACATGCTGAGTTAGAATGGAAAGACAAAACCACTCTTGTAATTGCTAGGAAGATTCATGCAATCTTGATAAGCTCACATCTTTAGATACATTATCCTGACCAGGATTTAAATTCCCAGATTTTGTTCAGCGTTTCTTCTAAGTAAGGCAATATGGTTACTTACTATTCCAGTGGATCAGCTCAAGATAACAATCTACTAGTGGGCAGAAATTCAGGAGACAGGGCGCCCTCCAGTTCCAGCAAGTGGACAGAGAAGAGGAAATCCCATGTAATGACAAGATAATCCAAGTTAGTTGAATGTGGCTTGAATGAACTTCAATAGGGGAACTATTATGAAACAACAACGGCTGGGCGTGGTGGCTCACGCCTATAATCCCAGCACTTTGGGAAGCCGAAATGAGTGGATCTACTTGAGGCTAGGAGTTTGAGACCAGCCTGGGCAACATAGGGAGACCCCTATATCTACAAAAATTAAAAAGTTAGCCAGGCATAGTGGTAAACACCTGTGTCCCAGCTACTTAGGAGGCTGAGGTGGGGAGATTGCTTGGGCCTGGGAGATGGAGGCTGCAGTGAGCCATGATCGCACCACTGCATTCCAGCCTGAGCAACTGAGTGAGACCCTCTCTCTCTCTCTCAGAAAAAAAGGCCAGGCACAGTGGCTCACATCTGTAATCCCAGCACTTTGGGAGGCCAAGGCAGGCGGATCACCCGAGGTGAGGAGTTTGAGACCAGCCTGGCCAACATGGTGAAACCTCGACTCTACTAAAAATACAAAAATTAGCAGGGCGTGGTCACACATGCCTGTAGTCCCAGCTACTCCGGAGGCTGAGGCAGGAGAATTGCTTGAACCTGGGAGGCAGGGATTACGGTGAGCTGAGTTCATGCCACTGCACTCCAGCCTGGGCAACAGAACTAAACTCCATCTCAAAAAAAAAAAAAAAAAAAAAAAAAAGAAGAAAGAAAGAAATAACAACAAAACACCCATACAAGCAACTAGCTTGATGCCATAGAAAACACACTGCAAAACAACGGAATTACTATTGGGAAGGCTCCACGCAGGAGTCTGTCTACACAACTGACTGTAAGATTAAGAAGTATAAGGTCAGCAATCATGGCACCTGCAGCAATCCTCTAGCCTGTCTACATCTCTTCCCTGTGTTCTCATGAAGTCTGGGAAGTTGACATTCCATCCTGACTGATGATGCCTCAATCTATGTTTCCAGCTCTCTCTCTTTTTTGAGCTCCACGCATGCATAGCTAACTGTGAATTCTCCACTGGATGTCTGTATCGAATAGGAATCTAAAAGTTAGCATGGCCCAAGCTGAGCTCTTTAATTCCACTTCTACTAATTACTAAAGTCAAAGTCCTATTCCCCTATTCTCTGCAAAGCATCCAGTTAGCTTTGTTCTTTACAGATTCTCTATTGAGGTTAGTGATTTTTAATGTTTAAATAAGATCCTCCCCCCCGATTACAATTCTTCAAATAGCTTCTTATTGCAAATAGAAAAAAAATATAATTTTCCTTCCCGCTGTGGTAGACAGAATTTTAAGATAATCTTCAATTACCCACAGTCTTTTATAACCTCCTTCACTTGAGGATGGGATATCACTCCCATGATTAGCTTAAAAATCAGTTGCATTTGAGTTGATGGAAATGGATAGTACACTGGGTGGGCCTGCCCAAATCAGGTGAAGTCTGTGAACCAGGCTCTGGTTGGCCTGGAAGACAGCAAATGTGCATGCTGTGAAATGCCTGTGTGAGCCACACAGCAAGGATTCATGGGCAGCCTGTAAGAGCTAAGAGTAGTTCCTGGCCCAAAGCTAGTACAAAACAGGGACTTCCATCCTGGAGCCACGAGGAACTGAATTCTGACCGTGAATTAGAACGAACCTGGACTAGAATCCTGAGCTCCAAATAGGCATCCCAATGTAGCTAACACCTTGACTGCAGCCTTCAAATAGCTTCCCAGGCAGAGGACCCACCTAAGCCTCCTGACCCACGGAGACTGAGAGATGATATATTTGAGTTGTTTTAAATCACTAAGTTTGTGGCAATCTATTATACAACAATAGAAAATAAATGCACTGGCCAGGTGTGGTAGCTCACGCCTGTAATCCCAGAAATTTGGGAGGCCAAGGCAGGAGGATCACTTGAGGTCAGGAGTTTGAGACCAGCCTGGCCAACATGGTGAAACTCTGTCTCTACAAAAAACTTATAAATTAGCCAGGCATGGTGGAACACACCTGGTAGTACTAGTTGCTTGGGAAGTTGAGGTGGGAGAATCTCTTGAGCCTGGGAGGTGGATGTTGCAGTGAGCCAAGATCACGCCACTGCACTCCAGCCTGGATGACAGAGTGAGACCCTGTCTCCAAAAAAGGAAAAAAGAAAGAAAGAAAGAAAGAAAAGCAAGCAAGCAAGACAGAAAGCAAGAAATAAAGCAAGCAAGCAAGAAAATAAATGCACCAATAAAATCTGATTTTTGATAATGGTTTGGCTCTGTGTACCTGCCCAATTCTCACGGTGAACTGTAATCCCCAGTGTCGGAGGTGGGGTCTGGAGGAGATACTTGGATCGTGGGGGTGGTTTCTCATGGTTTAACATTACCCCCTTGGTGCTGCCCTGTCAAGAGTGAGTTATTGCAAGATCTGATTGTTTAACAATGTGTGACACCTCCCCTCTCTATCTCTTCCTCCAGCTCTGGCCACGTAAGAAGTGCCTGCTTCTCCAGGAGGTGGAGGCATGGCCTTCCGCCATGACTGTACGTTTCCTGGGGCCTCCCCAGAAGGTGATGCCGCCATGCTTCCTGTACAGCCTACAGAACCATGAACCAATGAAACCTCTTTTCTTTATAAATTACCCAGTCTCAGATATTTCCTTATAGCAATGTGAGAACAGACTAATACAGTTCTCAAAGCCTTATCTGGTTCTTCCCTGCCTCGTTGGCTTTATTTGCTATTAATCTTCTCCTTCACTCATCATGGAACATTAAAACGTAGTTTTGTCACAATGGCTAACCTTGGAGGGGGTTGTTAATTGGGAGGACACATGGTGGCTTCTGGGGTATTGGTAATATTTCACATCTCATCTAGGTGCTGTTTAGTCAAGGGTATTGAGTTTATTTATAGTTAAAATTCATTTAACTATACATTTGGATTTGTGCATTTTATGTATTATACATTAGAGTCAATAAAGAGTTTAAAGTTAGTTTTGCAGAATAATATTTAATGATGTGACAAATGCTCCTAAGTTAATATTTATGTGAAACAAGTCAAATAAAAATTACCAATTTTAGAAAGAGTAGTAAATAAAACACAAAAGTATACGAATAGCAGCTTTCTGAGAAATGCAAAAATTGTTAAATACAAGGCACATTTTTTTTCTTTTTTTTTTGAGACAGAGTCTCGCTCTGTCGCCCAGGTTGGAGTGCAGTGGCATGATCTTGGCTCACTGCAAGCTCTGCCTCCCGGGTTCATGCCATTCTCCTGCCTCAGCCTCCCGAGTAGCTGGGACTGCAGGCACGTGCCACCACACCCGGCTAATTTTTTTTGTATTTTTAGTAGAGATGGGGTTTCACCATGTTAGCCAGGATGGTCTAGATCTCCTGACCTCGTGATCCACCCGCCTCAGCCTCCCGAAGTGCTGGGATTACAGGCATGAGGCACCGCGCCCAGCCAATACCAGGCCAGTTTTATATGTTTATTATATATTACACATGCAATATTATATATTTATTATCTGTTCCATATGCTATATTATGTATATTATGCAATATACATATTATATATGTAATAGATCTTATAGACATTTCCCCATTTTTGCTATTTGTTTTACATGGAACTGTAAAGTAAGTAGCATATGATCCATATGTTATTGGTAAAAAACATATAGATCATTGATAGATATTGGAAAGAGATTTTATAAAATGCAATATTTGGTTTTGAATTGTAAGCCTTTTAGCAAGCTAATAATGGAATGAACTGAGTACTCCACATGCTTGAGAACATTTAACTGAAACTACCAGTCAACATCCTACCGAACCCCCAAATCTAGAGATGGTCCAGGTAAACTCAGGGGATGATACAGGATGCTTTTCAACTTCAAAATAATTTAGCATGATTCTAGAATTTCAAACCAATATAGTAGAGTTATGAAATAGGGGGAGAAAGGTCTGTTATTTGAAAAAGGAGAAAATTTGGCAGATAATTTGTCTACTAGAAAATCTAAGGGCAGGCCGAGTGTGGTGGCTCACGCCTGTAATCCCAGCACTTTGGGAGGCCGAAATGAGTGGATCACTTGAGGTCAGGAGTTCGAGACCAGTCTGGCCAACATAGTGAAACCCCGTCTCTACTAAAAATACAAAAATTAGCCAGGGGTGGTGGTGCATGCCTGTAATCCCAGCTACTCAGGCAGCGGAGGCAGGGGAATCGCTTGAATCCGGGAGGCAGAGGTTGCAGTGAGCCAAGGTCACACCATTGCACTCCAGCCTGGGTGACAGAGCGAGACTCTGTCTCAAAAAAAAAAACTAAGGACATTTACAGTAGCATTACTCAAATTGATAGAGTATGATCTGGAATGGAAATAAACATAAAAATCAACAGCTATATTATACACCAGAAGGCGTCTGTCAGGAAATATGAGGGAAAAAAGAGGCCAGTCACAATAACATGTAAACTATAAAATACATCAAAATGTCCTTAGGGGAATGACAGGAACATCAACCCACCAGAATTTGACCACATGTAGGTTTGAATGCATTTGGTGGTGTGTTGTGGGGAGAGATGGGGACTGCCTTTTTACTTATTTATTTATTTATTTATTTTGAGATAGAGTCTAGCTCTGTCTCCAGGCTGGAGTGCAGCGGTGCAATCTCGGCTCATTGCAACCTCCACCTCCCGGATTCAAGTGATTCTCCTGTCTCAGCCTCCCAAGTAGCTGGGATTACAGGGATGTGCCACCATGCCCAGCTAATTTTGTTATTTTTAGTAGAGACGAGGTTTCACCATGATGGCCAGGATGGTCTCGATCTTTCGACCTCGTGATCTGCCCACTTTGGCCTCCCAAAGTGCTGGGATCACAGGAGTGAGCTACCGTGCCCGGCTGGGGACTGCCTTTTAGAATACTCCTTTTGTTCATTTGTTTGGTTTTCTTTTTAACCATCAAAGACCCACAGTATTTGTTGACAGCTATGTCAGGGCTGTGAGAGTGAACAGAGCCACGCCAAAGGCAGGCTTGCTGGTTACAGGTAGCTGAAGGCTTCTCTGACTCAGTTCTTACTTATTTATGAGGACTATTTACATATTAGAAACAGTCCACTTATGTTTTTAAACATCTATGATAGACATATCTCCTTTTTCATTATTTATTTTAATGTACGGTCTTTTCACGTATAAAAGTATTCTTTTTTTGTTTTCAAATCTATTACCATTTATTTTTTGCTTTATTTCTGCTTTGAAATATTTATGCTTACAAAATCTATCCCCATCCTAGAATCAGTATAATTCGGAAGAAGGGCAATGTATTAGCCTGTTCTCGCATGGCTATAAAGAAATACCTGAGACTGGGTAATTTATAAAGAAAAGAAGTTTCATTGGCTCACAGTTCCATGGGCTATATAGGAAGCATGGAGGCTTCTGCTCCTGGAGAGGCTGCAGAAAGCTTCCAATCATGGCAGAAGGCAAAGGGCAAGCGAGACGTCTCACATGGCAGGAACAGCGAGAGGGGAGGAAGTGCTACACACTTTTTTTTTTTTTTTTTTTGAGACGGAGTTTTGCTCTGTCACCCAGGCTGGAGTGCGGTGGCACTATCTCGGCCCACTGCAACCTCCGCCTCCTGGGTTCAAGCAATTCTCCTACCTCTGCCTCCTAAGTAGCTAGGATTACAGATGTCCGCCACCACGCCCGGCTAATTTTTGTAGTTTTAGTAGAGACAGGGTTTCGCCACGTTAGCTGGGTTGGTCTCGAACTCCTGACCTCAGGTTATCCATCTGCCTCAGCCTCCCAGAGTGCTGGGATAAGAACTCATTCACTCATTATCTCAAGACTAGCACCAAGGAGATGGGGCTAAAGCATTCATGAAGGGCCACCCCCATGATCCAGTCACCTCCCCCCAGGTCCTACCTCCAACATTGGGGATGATAATTCAACGTGAGATTTGCTCGAGGACACAGATTGAAACCATATCTGGGAAGGATCTGTTTGCCCTATTAATAGTAAAAGAGAATATAAAGTGATAATAAGAGTTCAATCACTGTGTTTGTAGCCTAAGAATAGAGGTTCCTGTTGAAATATACGCTGACTCCAGGAAGGAGACCAGGAGAGGCTGGCTCAGCTGACCAAACTGTCATCTGACTCATTTCCTCTTAGCTTCCATGGTCTCCTTTTTAAGAACAAGTTGGGTGAGGTAGCTATGTTCACTTCAACAACCTCAGTGAGTCACTACCACAATGGGGGCAGGGACAGAGTGCTTCTCCTCTCCTAAAATGGGAGATGAGAAACTCTCCCATAAGGGTCTATATATACAGCTGCTAGAGATCTGTATAGCAGAGAATACATTCAACTTTTTCAAGACCTGGAAAAAACACTTTTTTTTTTTTTTGAGATGGAGTTTCACTCTTGTTGCCCAAGCTGGAGTGCAATGGCACGATATTGGCTCACTGCAACCTCTGCCTCCCAGGTTCAAGGGATTCTCCTGCCTCAGCCTCCTGAGTAGCTGGGATTACAAGCATGCACCACCATGCCTGGCTAATTTTTTGTGTTTTTAGTAGAAACGGTGTTTCACCATATTAGCCAGGCTGGTCTCGAACTCCTGACCTCAGGTGATCTGCCTGCCTCGGCCTCCCAAAGTGTTGGGATTACAGGCTTGAGCCACCGTGCCTGGCCAAACACTCCTTTAAATACTGGCTTATGGTCAACTTTCAGCCTTGGTTTCTAATACTGTTATATTTGCCCTTTGGTATTTCTTCATGTAAAACCTAACAGGTAATCAATATTTTTAAATGTGAATTTGAAGTCTAGAGTGGGCAAACAGTACTACTCTGCCATCCTGTTAACCTGGGATTAATTTCATTCTTGGAACATAATGTATATATCTGAATATTCATGAAGTAGTACATTTTACACTCTACTCTCTGGGGTGATCGGGTTGTTTGAAGGAGACAATGGAATCGTGTAATACAATTGGAAGATGCCCCAGAAAGGTGAGTGAAACTGCGAGTTGCCGCAGGATCGTGTTTTGGGAGTAGAGCAGAGAGGTCACCACCTCCTTGGGGTGGGCCTCAGCTTTGCAGACCAGATTCCTCAGGTTTCCTGGAATTACCAAAACCAAGACACCAACCCAGGTGGGCACTGATTAGCACATCGCAGGAAATCCCCAACGGCCGTAGTTACCTCTGGGGAGAAAAGGAACGATGAGGAGTGGGGATGGGCTTTACCTGCACCTATAATATTTTATTTGTTAAGAAACAAAGAGTGGCTGGCGCAGTGGCTCACGCCTGTAATCCCAGCACTTTGGGAGTCCGAGGTGGGCCGATCACCTGAGGTCAGGAGTTCGAGACCAACCTGGCCAACACGGTGAAACCCCGTCTCTACTAAGAATACAAAAATTAGCTAGGCATGGTGGCATGTGCCTGTAATCTCAGCTACTAGGGAGGCTGAGGCAGGAGAATTCCTTGAACCTGGGAGGTGGAGGTTGCAGTGAGCCAAGATGGCACCATTGCACTCCAGCTGGGCAACAACAGAGAAACTCCATCTAAAAAAAAAAAAAATGAGTGCTCTAAAGCAAATATAGCAACATGTTGACACCTGTTCATTTGGGTTGTTTGTAAATTATTTTTTATACCTGTCTGTATGTTTGAAATGACTCATAATTGAATATTAATTTTTAAGAGA
Source organism: Homo sapiens (assembly GCF_000001405.40). NCBI lineage: Eukaryota > Metazoa > Chordata > Mammalia > Primates > Hominidae > Homo > Homo sapiens. The sequence continues at coordinate 71,870,520 of NC_000007.14, forward strand.
AAAGGCTAAAAAGAAAGATAATATATTACAATTAGTGGCTGTCTTTGAATAGTAGAATTGTTTTTTTCCCTCCTTCCAAATTTTCAATATTTTCCAAAATTTTGATATTGAGTCTCTGTTACTTTTATAATTAGGAGAACAACAAGCTCCATTTGAATTAGGCATATCACCAATCAGCCGAGATCAATAGAAACGTACTGAGGAGGAAAATGGATCAAGGATGATGCTGATAAAATGGCAAATGACGAAGCATAAAATGTGGTTAAGTCTCATTACTTTGTATTTTACTTATTCTGAATTAGTTAGTGGGCAGTTGGGTTGGCCTTGCATGGTTGGTGGAGAGAAAAGACTGCTGAGCACTAGGTGGGATTGTACTTTTAATGCTTATTCTATTCTGGAGTCCCACCATACACTTCCTATAGGCAAGGGACGTGTTTTCTACATATTCAGTTTCTCCTTCTGTTTTGGGGATTTCTGGGCCCTCAACTGTCTGACAACACGCACCTGTTGAAGGAATGATTAAGCAAAAAAAAGAAAAAAGAAAAAAAGGTAAGCAAAATTGCAGGGAGGCAGAGAGATTCTCAATCTACTTAAGAGAACAAACTCTTTTAACAGCTGTTAGCTCATTAAGTGTTGAAATGTAAATATTGTAGCTAATTAAATACAGCTTTATTTATTCATTTTGGCAAGACCCAGCTGAACATAAATTATACAGGATACATTTTTAATGAATAAAAGAGCTTTAAAAAAAACCTATGTTTTTGCTAACACTGGCTGACCTTTTTCCAATTAGCGTGAATTGTCATCAAGCCTCATTTCCCCGGTATCTGTAGCCTGTAGGGCTTTCTCAAACAAAAACTGGACACAACCAGCCCTCCACCTACTCCAGACCTGCACCCACACAGCTGAATGTGACTGGGAAAAAGCATCAAGTTGCCACCTCCAGGCCGGGCACCACAGCTCACTCCTGTAATCCCAGTGCTTTGGGAGGCTGAGTCAGGAGGATCACTCGAGGCCAGGAAAGTTTGTGACCAGCTTGTACAACCGAGTAAGACCCCATCTCTACAAAAAATAAAAACTCCTTGCTGTTCCTGGACTGCCTCCTGCCTGCCCCCACTCCCACCACCAGATGGCTCCTCCTCAGGACATCGCACCTTCTGTTCCCACTCCTGGAATACTCTTCCATCATTTACTCTTCTCTAGTTTCCCATGAATCACTCTCCTCTGGTTTCCCATCACTCACTCTCCACTCTTATGTTTTTTTTCAAATATCACCTTTTCAGAGAGATTCTCAGATTTATATAAATGTCAGCTCCCCTGTTCTCCACATGGCCTGTTGTCCTTCCCAGATCTGCTTTTTACCATAATATATTTCATCTTCCACCATGGTCTCGATCAGGACCATCCACAGAACTTTCTGCCATGATGGAAATGATCATTCCGTACTGTCCAACACGGTAGCCACTGGCTACATGTGTCTACTAGGCACTTGAAAATGCCTAACGCAATAAGATAACTTTTAATGTTATTTAGTTTTAATGAATTTAAGTTCAGTTTAAATAACCATATGTAGCTCAGGGCTACTGTGTTGGACATAGTAGGTCTATCATTGATTTATCCCCTTGCTAGTTTATTCAGAGGTTGACTGTTTGCACATTTGATCTTCCTGAAAATAATACCCCTGATTGACTTATCCCCATCACTAGCATGCACCCTCCATAAGGGCAGATGTTTTTCCTGCACCTGACACATAGTAGGTGTTCAGTAAGTGAGTCAATGCCCTTTAACTCAAGTTTATCATTTTAAGAGCCAGAGTGTTTTCATTCTAAACATTTTCAGAAATTATTCTAAGCTCTGCAGAATCTGTCCTTATTTTAACTTAGTACCAGAATGTATTGTTTCCTTGCAATTTCAATGTCGCTTTTCTGTACATAACTTGTTATGTTGTAATAAATTGTGTCCTCAGAGACGGTTAATGTCATTCCTTCAACAACTGCACAGATTGCTGGGTTTTTATTGTCTACTAAATGACTGTTTATCATTAACTTTTTCTTATGTCTGTCTCTATTATATGCTTTATTTACTTTTCTTTCTTTTTTTCTTTTTTTTTTTGAGATACAGTCTCATTCTGTTGCCCAGGCTGGAGTGCAGTGGTGTGATCTCAGGTCACTGCAACCTCTGCCTCCCGGGTTCAAGCGATTCTCCTACCTCAGCCTCCTGAGGAGCTGTGACTACGGGCATGTGCCACCATGCCCAGCTAATTTTAGTATTTTTAGTAGAGACAGGGTTTCACCATGTTGGCCAGGCTGACCTCGAACTCTTGAGCTCAAGCCATCCTCCCGCCTTAGCCTTCCAAAGTGCTGAGATTACAAGCATGAGCCACGGCGCCCGGCCGTGCTTTATTTTTCCATGGAAATGACTGGGTAAGGTTTGAAGGTACTTCCATTCTCCCACATAGTTAAACACACAAAGTTTGTGACAATTTTTTTTTTTTTTTTTTTTGAGATGGAGTCTCACCCTGTCACCCAGTCTGGAGTGCAGTGGCGCGATCTTGGCTCATTGCAGCCTTTGCCTCCCGGATTCAAGCGATTCTCCTGCCTCAGCGTCTTGAGTAGCTAGGATTACAGGCACCCACCACCACGCCTGGCTAATTTTTTTATTTTTAGTAGAGACAGGGTTTCACCACGTTGGCCAGCCAGGCAGGTCTCGAACTACTGACCTCAGGTAATCTGTCTGTCTCAGGCTCCCAAAGTGCTGGGATTACAGGTGTGAGCCACCACGCCCAGCCGAAAATTTTTTTTTGTGGACACATTCATGGTCTGTTCAGAGAGACTGGTTGCCTATACATACAGTCATCATGAAAATAATATCAGAAATAATAAAGAAGGCAGTTATTGCTATTTCCCTTTATAAATTGGACCACGAAAATAAAAGGTTTGAAACCTAAAGCCATTGAGCTAGAATTAAAACCCAGTGTTTTCCTCTGAGTCCAATGTTCTCATCTAACCCAGTTCTTCTCAAAAGCGTAGTGCATAAATCATTTACTAAAAATCATCTGCTTTCGACTCAAAGTTGCTCAAGAAAAAAATAAAAGTAAAAACAAAAAAAATCACCTGCAGTGCTTGTTTAAAACAAACATCCCTGGGCTACCCACCAGACCTACGTGGGCAGAATCTTGGGGCCAGGCCCCAAAAATCTGTAGTTTTAACGCACTGCAGAGTTTGAGACCCACTGTGCTAAGTTTACTTTCTGAAGACTTGACACTACCTTGAGCTTTTATTCTACAGGGGAAAAATGACACTATTTTCATTGGCTCCCAAATCATAAACTTATAACAACTATTCTGTTGCAAACCAAATGAGGATTTTAAGCCTTGATATATACATTCAACTAACCTGACCATAAGTAGAGATATGATCAGTAAAAAATGTATTTCAGTAATAGATTATAGGTCAAAAAATACTTCTAGATTCGGCCAGGTGCAGTGGCTCACGCCTGTAATCCCAGCACTTTGGGAGGCTGAGGCGGGTGGATCACTTGAGATCGGGAGTTTGAGAACAGCCCAGCCAACATGGTGACATCCCATCTCTACTAAAAATACAAAAATTAGCTGGGCGTGGTGGTGGGCACCTGTAGTACCAGCTATTTGGAAGGCTGAGATATGAGAATCGCTAGAACTTGGGAGGTAGAGGTTGCAGTGAGCTGAGATCTCACCACTGCACTCCAGCCTGGGTGACAGCGAGACTCTGTCTCAAACATTAAAAAAAAAAAAAAAAAAAAAAAATCTAGATTCCCTCACCGTGTCTTAGGAACAGAAAGATTCATCCATCAAGTATTAAGACCTAAGAGGATACCATTGCTACAATGTAGGGCTAATCTCAGAAAATCTAAAAGGTGATTATTCTATGCAATAAAGAAGGTCATTTGCAGCAAAAGCAAATGCACGTGTCCTTTTGCTAGGTTCACATTCTTCATTCTCTAGTTTGGGTTCCAGAGCACGGAATGACTTTGTGATTTAAAGCCACACTTGCAGCGTGGACTGGGACTGGCTTTGAATATTAGTGTTGTGTATACTCACCAGCCACTACAGTAATTGGGTCTAGAATACAAGAAAACAACTTTATTTTTCTGTGATTCCCCGGGGCTAGTTCTGGCAAGAAGAAATTCTGGCAGAGCTTTTGCTTCTGCAGTGATTCCAGGGACTTCGAGTGAGACAAGACTGGTCTAGGGCAAATAAGGGTACAAAGGGGAGGCCAACGAGAGAAACGGCCAGAGTGGGAACTCAGGAGCCGAGTCCAGCAGGGCCGAGCACATAGTTGGAAGGGCTTTATGTGTCTTGGGGTGGGTAAAGGATCAGTAAAATGGCTGGGTACTGTGATCCATGCCTGTAATCCCAGCACTTTGGGAGGCCGAGGTGGGCGGATCACTTGAGGTCACGAGTTCAAGACGAGCCTGGCCAACATGGCAAAACCCCGTCTCTACTAAAAATACAAAAATTAGCTGAGTGTGGGGGTGCATGCTTATAATCCCAGATCCTCAGGGGGCTGAAGCACCAGAATCACTTGAGCCTGGGAGGCAGTGGTTGCAGTGAGTTGAGATCATACCATTGTACTCCAGCCTGGGTAAAGGAGACTCTGTCTCAAAAAAAAAAAAAAAAAAAAAAAAAAAGAATCAGTAAGATGAGCTCTCTAGTGAATGGTGTCACCAGCTGTGTCAGCAGATGGGCAAATGCAAGGAGCCATGCAGGAGACCAGAGACCTGACAGAACTGGGACAAACCACCCTGAAGTATGGGTCACACCCAAGTTTGCCACCAGATACCAGGGATCAGTTTACAGGGAAACCTGGATTTCTAGGCAGGAACTGCAGTCCAGGAAAGCCGTGGGGTGAAGAGCAGTAAATCATTTTGCAGATTGGGAAAACATGGTAGAATGCCAACTTTTGATGGCACTGTGTGTGCTTAACTCTGATATAATGAAGCCAGTAATTGAGGGTCTGGGTCATGGGGCATAGTCATCAATTATGAGTCTGTGGCAGGAGGTCATGGCAGGAAGCCAGACCCTAGGACCCTGATACTGGGGACTGTGGTAGAATAACATGCCCCAGATCCTCTGCTCAGCCATCATCTACCATCAGGAGCTATGTATCTGGAGAATAGGTGAATAAGAAGCCACCTGTCACTGTCTTTCTAAAGTGAAAAAGAGGTGGGGTAAGGGGGCCCAGCTAGGTTCTTATACTACACACTAGACAGACTCAAATTCCAGGAACTCCATATTGGTCTGTGTTATTGGGAGACTCCATGGGGAGAACTTTAAAAGTGGTCTGTTGGCACTTTTGTTATTTCCTGCTCAGTCCACCATGGTGAGAAAAAGGTAGTGCTCACAGACCATGGTCAGTAGCAAAGTGTCCCTGACCATGAGCACAAGTTCAAGGCCAGCAGTCAAGAGGAGACCTCACCCCAACCTCCACAGAAACCTATTTATCAGATGAGAGGTTTGGGGCATTTGGCCAAGAAACCACACAAGTGACTCCCTCTGCTTCATGGTAGGTTATGTTTTGACAGTTAACAGGGAAAGAAAAAAAAATAGCCTTGCTATGGTGTGAAAATGGTTTGTCTCCACCAAAAGTCATGTTAGAATTTGATTCCTAAAGTAATGGTGTTGAGAGGTAGTAGAACCTTTAAGAGATGTTTGGGTCATGATGGCGCCATCATGAAGGGCATATGCCACTCTTGTGACACTGGGTTAGTTCTCGTGGGAGTGAGTGAGTTCTTGCTCTTGCAGGATTGGATTAGTTGCCTTTAGAGTGGGTTGTTATAAAGCAAGGTCACTCCTCGTGTGTTGGCCCTTTCACATGCACTCACTTGCATTTTTCCATCGTGTTACAAAACTTTGTGCCAGAAGCTGCCACCAAGCTTTTGGACTTCCCAGCCTCCAGAACCATGAGCCAAATAAACTTTTCTTGATAAATTATCCAGTCTCAGCTATTCTGTTATAGCAACAGAAAACAGACTAGGACAAGTCTTTTTATAAAAAATTCCATAAATGAGGGTATAGAGCTAACTTTTATTGATTCTTTGTAATACATGATCTCTTACTTGGTAAGGGGGGGAGAATGTGATTTAGAGAGGAATGACCCCGGGTGTCCTCCCCTCCACTCCAACTAACCTAAATGAATCTACATAATGTGTTTAGAAAACACAGTAAAAGTTCAATAAATGCTAGCCATTTTTCTTACCCAAAGTTGCCCAGGTTGCAAGTGGCAGAACAAATATTGGGACCCAGACTTCTCTGAGACAGAAACTAATGCTCCGACCCACCACATTATTACTGTTATCAATGATTACCTTTTATCTGTCGTTTGGTTTAGTTGGGATGGTAAAAGATGAAAGAGCTCCAATAATTAGGTGTGCAGGCATTTGTGTTTTAGCTTATCAGACTTACGTTGTGTTCAGATAACTTACCTAAGCAATCAATTAGAACCCTTGTTTCTTTGTTTTTGTTTTTTAAAGAAAACTGATGAAACCAGAAATTGATTGTGATAGGAATTTGTGTTTCTTCTTGCTACAGCATAAGAGCAACACATTAAAGAAAAAAAACCATATAAATATCAATAGACGCTGGAAAGACATATGGTAAAAATCAACAGCCATTCCTAATAAAAATCTTAATTATAACAGGGCTAGAAGGAAACCACTTAAATGTATTAAAGACCACCAAGCCCAATAGTAAATGTTATTCTAAATGTTGAAAAAGTAAAGCTGTTTTGAATTGAGTCAGGAACTAGACCGGTGCATTTGCTTTTGCTATTATTTTTCCACATTGTTTACAGGTTCTAGTGAATGCAGCAAAACAAAAGAGAGTATAAACATAGAAAGAAGAAAATTATCTTCTCATTAAAAATGTCACTGCAAAAAATTACAAACCACTTGAATAAATAAGATAATTTAATAAAGTGGCTACATATAAGATAAATATTTAGTTTATATAATAGCTTTTTTCTCTAATTGGGTAACAAAAATCTAGAAATGGAATAGAAAAAGTACTTAACTCAATATAATGACCTCAAACTATAAATTATTTATGAATACATTTGGCGAGAAAGTCAGAAGACCTTTATAAAAAAAAAACGATGGAGAAATAAAAAGACATTTTGTATTCTCAGATATAAACACTTAATGTCACAAAAATGCCAGTTATCCTAATGTTAATATATAATTTATTGCAATGCCCCATTGGAACCACAGACTGTTTTAATGGAATGGAATTTATGTTCATTTGAAAGAACAAATACATGCCCATGAATAGGCGAGAAAGTCCGAAATAAAACACTGATGAGGGGCATTGATTTTATGACAGTCAATATACAAGCATCTAGTAGAAAGCCATTTTGCCATAGTGGTAGTCAAATGTCAGCATGCATCAGGATTTGCTGGAGGACTTGTTAAAACACGGAAGACCAGGCCTCACCCAGAATTTCTGTTTCAGTAAGTCTGGAGTGGAGCCCAAGATTTTGCATTTCTAACAAGTTCCCAGGTGACGCTGATGGTGGCTGCTGGGCTAAGGAATACTCTCAAATCAATATAGTGTTGACCAAAAAGAAGACAAACCAGTAGACTAGACTAGAAAAGCCAGGAATTAGCCTAGTATAAGTTAAGTATTTAAGAAATGACAAAGGATGTCCATGAGGTACCACTGGGTAAGAAAAGTAAGATGTATAAAAGTTTGTATAATGTGGGCCAGGCACAGCGGTGCATGCCTGTAATCCCAGCTACTTGGGAGGTGGAGGCAGGAGAATTGCCTGAACCCAGGAGGCAGAGGTTGCAGTGAGCTGAGATCATGCCATTGCACTCCAGCCTGGGCAACAGAGTGAGACCCTGTCTCAAAAAAAAAAAAAAGTATAATGTGGTTTCATAGGAAATGCAAAATTAGTTTCTCATGGACCAGCTGGGCCCTATGAGACAGCTGGTACAGGGCTGTCTGAAGGACCACTTAAGAGGGAACATCAGACCAGACCCCAGTGCAAAGGAGCTACAGGTATGACAGAATCCCTAAAAGCCGGAGGAGAAGGAAGTGAACAGCTGAAATGGAAGTGGATTTTACCTGACATGAACACCACAGGTGAGTGATATTGACCAATGTAGAGTGTGGGAGGTCCTTGAAAACACAAAAATGCCCATGAAATGTGAGAAAGAGGTGGCTTTAACCATCTGCCACGTCCAGAGAGCTGGGACACTACATCATCACAATAGTAATGATTACAACTGTGCCAGTCAAAAGGAATGACCCCTGCTGTCCTTCCCTCCACGCCAAGCCTGAATTCCTGGTGACCCAGAGACCACAGCCGTGGAGCTCCAAGAGGAGCAGAAGAATCAGGTGAGAAGAGAGAACCAAATCAACCAAGTCCCTTCCCACAACCTGGGTCAGGGATGGGGTGCTGGGACAGTGACTTCCAATGGAACTTGCAGTTTTGACGATGGCAGTGAACTGAGGACTTATGGGACCTCAAGTGACCATAGCACAGAACATTTTTATTGTCTAAGAGTGAGTAGAAAAATCTGCCTGTGTTTTTACCTGATGGCAGAGAAAGAATAAAATTAAGGGACATGGACAGACAAAAACAGAGTTGCTTTATTCCAAGAGTGTATTTCTTCAATTTAAGAGTTACATAAGACCATAAAATATTTAAATAAATTGCCATTGAAAAACAACTGAGATATGTTTTTTTCTCCCCATGAGAAGATGATTATCTCTGTCCTCTGAGTAGGGAACTCCAGATTTTGGGGGCTACTAACAGCTGCAGAGTTTCAACACCCTAGATAGAATGGTCTGGCACCTAGAAGATAAGCCTACTTACATCTCCCTCCAAAAGATTTTGTGCAAGAGGCGAAGACTTGTTTAAAGGAGGGGAGATAAACTCTTGCTGAGAGTGGAAAGGCAGAAATGGTCTCCTGTGAGGTGGAGGCTTCCCTTCCAGAGGCTGAGAAAGAGCAGAGATTGTGGGGTTTCTGAAAGTTGTAGAGACCTGTCCCCTCCTGTTGTTACTTCCCCAGCTGGGCTGAGTGCAGGATAGCTGTCTGGCAGACCAGTTTTTTCTCAGGCTTAGAGACTAAATGGAAAAGATACTCTGAAGAGCTCCAGGGTCCAAGGATGGCAGAGAGGAAAACTATCAGCATCTTTCTAAAGCAAAGGGCAAGAGGGTAACCATGGCAACCTGCAAAGAAGGACCAAAAGGACCCTCCTGGGCTCCAGGTACCACTCTGATGCTTACGTGCCTCACAGAGATGGAAAGAGGCTCCTCAAACATGACTGAGAAGGAGTTTCTCACCACTGTGGTGAGGGAGATTGTGAGCTAGATTAACTCTGAATTAATAAGCCACTCTGGAACACAAAATATTTGGAGTATATCCATCTATGCTCTGGACAGACATCTAGGTACTGTAAGCCAAATCCTTGAAAAAACAGAGGTTAGGCTGGGCATGGTGGCTCATGTCTGTAATCCCAGCAACTTTTGGAGGCTGAGGCAGGAAGATCATTAAAGCCCGGGAGTTTGAGGCTATAGTGAGCTACGATTGTGCCACTACCCTCCAGCCTGGGTGATGGAGCAGGATACTGTCTCAAAAAACAAAAACAAAAATGGAGGTTAGAGATTTTCACATTCTCAAACAATTGCTCAAGGTTGATTAGTTTGATCCTTCAATTGAGCTCATCAACCTAAAGTGAAAGAGGGAAAGAAATTAACTTGACACAGTGCTAATTCTCCATGTGATAGCATTCTCCCAGGGTTGAAGCTATGTCCTCTTCCAGCTTGCATTTTGCTTCAGGAAGACTATAATTACAACATCACTACCTCTTGCATGAACTTTCCCTTGCTCTCTGTGGCTGTGTGTCTCAGGCTGCCCTTGAAATCCAAGAATTGCCCAAGGCTTAGCCCATCTCTACTGGCTTCCTTCCCTTCCCCTCTCTTGCCTTTTCTTTCCCCCTTCTCTTTTCTTCTATGTTTAGGGGATCCTATCTGGTTCTATGCTGATGACCTTTGCATTTATTTCTTTAATCCAATCTCTCCCCCGAATTCTAGACTTTTATATACAACTGCTTACGAAACATCTCCATTTGGGCATCTAAGGACCATTTCAAACTTAAGTTCAAAATGTAGTTCTTAAGCCCTCTCCCTCTCTAAAAATAGAAAAATAAATAAGTTAAATAACTAACAATAAAATCCCCAGACTCTTCCCTCCCTTTGTATTTCAGTAATGGGAATTCCACAGTTGCTCCAGTTACTTGCTATTTGTCAGGAGTTATCTTCCCTACCACTTTTCCTCGCATTCCTTCCATCTAGTTGTGATGGTGAATATTGAGTGCCAACTTGTTTGGATTGACGCATGCAAAGTATTATTCCTGGCTGTGTCTGTGAGGATGTTGCCAAAGGAGATTAACATTTGGGTCAGTGGACTGGGAGAGGCAGATCCACCCTCAATCTGGGTGGGCACCATCTAATCAGCTACCTGCACAGCCAGAATAAAGCAGGCAGAAGGACATGGAAGGACTTGACTTGCTGAGTCTTCCGGAATTCATCTTTCTCCCGTGCTGGATGCTTCCTGCCCTTGAACATCAGACTCCAAATTCTTCAGCTTTTGGACTCTTGGACTTACACCAGTGGTTTGCCAGGGGCTCTCAGGCCTTTTGGCCACAGACTGAAGGCTGCACTGTTGACTTCTCTACTTTTGAGGTTTTGGGACTGGGACTGGCTTCCTTGCTCCTCAGCTTACAGATGGCCTATTGTGGGACTTCACCTTGTGATTGTCTGGGTCAATTCTCCTTAATAAGCTCCCCTTCATATATACATCTATCCTATTAGTTCTGTCCGTCTAGAAAACCCCAACACATACACTAGCTTATCAGCAAGTTCTATGGTCTTCACCTTTGAAATAGCCCAGTCCTGGCACCTTCTCATTGTCCCATCATCACTTCTCTCTAACTGGTCTCCATTCCCCAACTTCTCCCTCTTTGGGTTATCTTCTACCAAGAAGCCACAATGTTGATATAAACATGCAAATTGGATCACAGTTGTCCTTTGCTCAAAATGTTTCCAAGGCATTGATTCACGCTCCGATTAGAGCTCAACAGCCTTACCTAGGGTAAGGCTCTGCAAGGCTATCCCGGGCTCTCCATGATTTGACCTTTGTATCAGGGTCCCAGTGCTGCTATTCCAAATTACCATACACTTAGTGGCTTACAACACAAATTTATTCTTTTATAGCTTTGGAGGCCATAGCTGAGCACAGTGGCTCATGCCTGTAATCCCAGCACTTTGGGAGACGTAGGTGGGAGGATTGCTTGAGGCCAGGAGTTTGAGGTCAGCCTAAGCAATGTAGCAATACCCTATATTTACAAAAAAAAAAAAAATTAGCCACATGTGGTGGTATATGCCTGTAGTCCCAGCTACTTGGGAGGCTGGGATAGGAGGATCACTTGAGCCCAGGAGTTAGAGGCTACAGTGAGCTGATTGTGCTACTGGACTCCAGCCTGACAGAGTCAGACCCTGTCTCTTAAAAAAAAAATTGGAGGTTAGAAGTATAAAATCAAGGCATCAGCAGGATCACGTTCCTTCTGGAAGCTCTAAGGCAGAATCCATTTCCTCGCTTCTTTCAGCATCTTGAGGCTGCCTGCATCCCTTGGCTCATGGGCCCATCCCTCTATCTTCAAAGCCAGCAGTGTTGCATCTCCTGTTCTCTCTGACCTCTGCTTTTGTTCTCACGTCTTCTCTCTATCTACCTGGCCCTCCTGCCTTCCTCTTATGAAGACCCTTGTGATTACACTGGGGCCACTTTGGTAATCCAGAAGAATCTCTCCTTCTCAAGGCCTTTAATCACATCGGCAAATTTCCTCTACTGTGTAAGACAGCATAGTCTCAGGTCCAGGGGTTACGACATGGACATCTTGGAAGGGCCATGATTCAGCCCACCACACCTGCTTAAATTAGCTCTAACCTTGTCTCTGAATACCTGCGTTAGCACTGTGGCTTTAGCCACACTAGCCATCTTGCAAATCCTGGATACATGAAGTTTGTTCTAGATAACTGCTATCCTCTCAGAGAGGCCTTCCCCTTTGCATCCAATTTAGAATAGTCTTCCCCCAATACTTTATTCCCTTGTCCTACTTAAAAAAAAAAACAACTTTTTAAGAGATGGGGTCTTGCTATGTTGCCCAGGCTGGAGTACAATGGCACAATCATAGCTCACTTCAGCCTCCAACTCCTGGGCTCAAGTGATCCTCCTGCCTCAGCCTCTGGAGTAGCTGGGACTATGGGCATGCCACCATGCCCATCTAATTTGTGTGTGTGTGTGTGTGTGTGTGTGTGTGTGTGTGTGTGTGTTTGTAAAGACAGTGTCTCATTATGTTGCCCAGGCTGGTCTCAAACTACTGGCTTCAAGCAATCCCTCCACCTCCACCTCCAAAGTTTCCAGGATTACAGGCATGAGCCGCCACACCCAGCCTCATCTTACTTTACCTTTGATAGCACTTATTATTGACCTACTATATATTTATTTGTGCATTTTCCCTCTATCACATGAAATACTATGAGGATAGTGATATATATATCTATAGCTCTATATCTATATAAATCTATCCATCTATACACATATACACACATGCACACACACACATTTTGTTTGTTCACTGTTGTGTCATCAGTATCCAGAAGAGTTTGTGGCACAAAATAAGTACTCAGAAGTATTTGGTGCTGTATGAATAACTGAATGAACAATTATTCATTATTCTAGGTTTGGAAGGCCTAGATGGGAGGATCGCTTGAAGCCAGGGGTTTGAGACCAGCATAAACAACATAATGAGATCCCATCTTTACAAAAACCAAAAATGGTGGGGGATGTCTTCAGAGCCTCAGAACTCAGTAGCATTTTAAGCTCCTAAGCTGTAAGTCACTCCGTTTCTCTTCTTCCCACTTCTTGTTAGGAACATAATGAGCAGGAAGTAATAATGAGCAGGAATAAGGAGTTAGGAACATAATGAGCAGGAAGTGTGGAGGAGAAGGGCAACTCCACCTTGCATGCTAATCCACCATACTGACTCACGGTTAACCCTGTTCCTGGAATGCCTCTAAGACTTCCAGTGTATCTACTGCTCCTTGTGTAAGAGCAGGTGCTTACTGTAAATCCCGCCCTTAGGTCAAACAACCTTGATGTGATCGTATTTCAATTACCTTACCCATCCCTTCTGAACTGTCCTTTCCCTGTGGTATATAATCGCTGGGTCTTGAGGGTATTGGCATGAGATTTACCATCTTGTTTCACCGCTGCCCAAGACACATACATGGCTTCTATTTATATGTCTCCATTAAATGTTTCCTCCTGAGAAACTGGATATATCAGCCTCTTTCCTTCCTTCCTTTCTTTCTTTGACAGAGTCTCTCTGTTGCCAGGTTGGAGTGAAGTGGCGCGATCTTGGCTCACTGCAATCTCCGCCTCCCAGGTTCAAGCGATTTTCCTGCCTCAGCCTCCCGAGTAGCTGGGACTACAGGTGTGCGCCACCACGCCCAGCTAATTTTTTGTATTTTTAATAAAGACGAGGTTTCACCATGTTGGCCAGGATGGTCTTGATCTCCTGACCTCATGATCTGTCCCCCTCGGCCTCCCAAAGTGCTGGGATTACAGGTGTGAGCCACTGTGCCCGGCCATATCAGCCTCTTTGGTTAGCCTCTCAGCTTCCTGGGACTTTTGGGGATGGGTTTGCATAGACCCGCCCACCTTGAAACATACGCCTTAAGCAACTTCCACATGCAGTCCTGGAGGAGGTCCAGAATCTTGGGGGGTGTAAGCTGCCTGTTTCCCTTCCTTCCATCAAAACACTGGACAGGGCGGACACATCATCCTATCTGAATACTGTGAAAATCAATGGAATACGAAACCCAACAGAAGCCACAGACCCTGAGGCTGGGGGCGATGATCACTGAACCATGAGGTCACCATATTCCAGCTTGGGCCAGATCGATCTCTCGGTGGTGGTGATGGTTTACACTGGGAACAGTCACCTTTTAAAAATAATACTGAGGACTAAACTCTGATTCTTTTAAATCTTGCGCAAATTCCCAGTTAAGGGGTCTGGGGATTCATGCCCTACAAATCATAAATTCTAATCAGATGGGTTTTATTTAAACTTATATATCATGATTTACTTTCCAACCCGACTCTGGCATAATATTACACAACAAGGAATCAAAATATTTTACCCCGAAACCTGTTTCTTTGCCATATTTTGAAATGGTCCTGCAAAGTTGTTCTTTGTGGGGGAAAATCTGCATCTATAATAATCTCTATTAACGTAGCTAGATCTTTTTCTTCCAGACCTACCCAATCCTAAAAAGATTAACTAAAATTTGAATAGGAAAACTTGTCATCTATTGTCTCTAAGGGAAGCCACTGTAAGACTTCAAAAGAACTTTGGTCTCTGCAATCTTTATCTTAACCTGAACATTCCCTTTCTATCAATTCCAGGTCTTTAGACAAACTCAACAAATTGTCAACCAGAAAATGTCAAAACTTCACCTATAGCCTGGAAGCTCCCTGCCCGCTCCGCTTTGAGTTGTCCTGCCTTTCTGGACCAAACCAATGTTATTTCTTTTTTCTTTTTTTTGAGACGGAGTCTTGCTCTGTCGCCCAGGCTGCTCTGCAGTGGTGTGATCTCGGCTCACTGCAACCTCTGCCTCCCAGGTTCACACCATTCTCTTGCCTCAGCCTCCCGAGTAGCTGGGACTACAGGCGCCTGCCACCACACCTGGCTAATTTTTTTGTATTTTTAGTAGAGATGGGGTTTCACCATGTTAGCCAGGATGGTCTTGATCTCCTGATATCGTGATCCGCCCACCTCGGCCTCCCGAAGTGCTGGGATTACAGGCGTGAGCCACCGCCCCCAGCCGCCAATGTTATTTCTTAAATGTATTTGATTGATGTCTCCTGCCCCTTTAAGATGTATAAAACAAAGCTGCACCCGGACCACCGTGGGCACATGTTCTCAGGACCTCCTGAAAGCTGTGTTCACTCATATTTGACTCAGAATAAATCTCTTCTAATATTTTACAGAGTTTGACTCTTTTCATCCACAATATTGTCTTTCTTTTGGGAGTGAGTTCTGTTGGGACAGAATGAGCAAACAGAATTGCTGAGGTTAGCACATAAACTACAAACCAAACAAATAAACAAGAGTGAGACGCGCTGACCACGAGCAGACAGATTTGCCAAATGTTTCTGACTATTATACATCCCCAGCTCTCTCTTCCTGTGGTTCTATTTTCATCCTTTCCCCTCTTTGGGGAGAAATTCACAGGAGTCTTGCAAACCTTGCTGTACAGCCTGCAAATCAGGAAGGAACCACAAAAGTAACAAATTCATTTCCGTAGTAACAGGCTCAGGACCATCCTGGCTGCCAGTACAATGAGCCGATTTAATTCCTTCCCAACAAACATATCCACCATTTTAACATGTGAATGGCAGAAGAAAGTTAATCTGAGGGGTCTAGAGAAGATAGCTGGCTGAAAAATTCAGGGTGGGTTCCAAGTCCCAGCGAAGAATCCAGCACACTGTTAACACAAATCCAAAAGACAGTTGTAAGTTTTCTCTGCTTTGAAAGGAGTGATTCATCATTTCACAGTGACATACAAAGCCCTTGCCCCACCGCCGCAAGGCGAACATCTCCTTTGAAAGCTTCATTGTTAAATCCAGCAGGGTCCTTAGGACAGCTCAAAGTCACAGCAGCCCAAGTTGGAATAGGCTGGCCTGAAGTGCCCTGGAAGGGATTTTCGGCAGATCCTGCCTTTCCCTTCAGTGTCCAATGCTTCAGCCACTGCCACGCCCCCTTAGCATGTCACTCACGTCTTTCTGTTGAAAGGAATCAGGATAAAGCTTCATGTGCTCTTTCATTCATGCAAGAGTCTGCGGTCAATTATTGCAAGCCTTCCGGCTGGGCATGGTGGCTCATGCCTGTAATCCCAGCACTTTGGGAGGCGAAGACAGGCAGATCATCTGAGGTCAGGAGTTCGAGACCAGCCTGGTTAACATGATGAAATCCTTTCTCTACTAGAAATACAAAAATTAGCCAGGCTTGGTGGTGGGCGCCTGTAATCCCAGCTACTTGGGAGGCTGAGGCATAAGAATCACTTGAATCTGGGAGGCGGAGGTTGCAGTGAGCAGAGATCGCACCACTGCACTCCAGCCTGGACAACAAAAGTGAGACTCCATCTCAAAAAAAAAAAAAAAAAAATATTGCATGCCTTCTATGTTATGGGGTAGCATTCTGCAATGAGGATCCAAGCTGAGAAATGGTGTTCGCTGCTGAAGAATTCACATTCTACTGGGGCACAGAGACATGCCCTGAAACCATAAAAATGGGGGCATAGCAAAATAGGATTAGGTACAAAGTGCTGTGAGAACTTAGGGGAGAGAGTGCCTACCTTAGTTGAAGGAACCATGAGCTGCATCGTAGAGGGTGAGTGAGATTTTGCTAAGGGAAAATTCTGAACGGAGGAAAGTCTAAATAATGTTGCAAATGTGTGAAGGTGTAAGGAGGATGGCACGGTTGGGGAGCGCCGAGGGATTTTGTGCGGTAGGGGTGGGGGTGTCAGGAGGAGATCTGTGAGGTTGGCAAGACGGATACAGTTCTGCTCATCAGGATCTTGAAACTCATACTCAAGTGTTTGGGCTTGATCTGTAAAGTCAAGTGCACCAGGCACACACCACGGATGGTTTTAGCTGGCAAGTCCATAATTATGCTTTTGTTTTTTGAGATGGAGTTTCGCTCTTGTTGCCCAGGCTGGCATGCAATGGTACAATCTCGGCTTACCGCAACCTCCACTTCCTGGGTTCAAGCAATTCTCCTGCCTCAGCCTCCCAAGTATCTGGAATTACAGGCATGCGTCACCACGCCTGGCTAATTTTGTATTTTTAGTAGAGACGGGGTTTCTCCATGTTGGTGGTCAGGCTAGTCTTGAACCCCCCCACTTCAGGTGATCCACCCGCCTCGGCCTCCCAAAGTGCTGGGATTACAGGCATGAGCCACTGCACCTAGCCCATGATTATGTTTATAGTTTTGGAAAAGAGCTCTGGTAGCAAACATAGGGGGAGGGAGATTAGAGCGGGGGTCTCTGCAAAAGTCAAAGCAAGAGGTCATCAAGGTGTGAATTGAGGCAGCCACAGTGCAGGAGAGAGGAGGCAATGCAAGTAAAACATGCTCAGGGATGTAGAGTTAGCAGAGTCTGGCAAAGGCTGGAGATGGAGGGTGAGAAGGAGGAGAGCAGGTGGACAAGGCTTACTTTGAATTACACAGTGAATGCTGCTACCGAGAATGTGTGTGCAAAATGTGTTGCAATAAATGATGGCGGCTTGGGTGTTGCGGGCTTGGAGGGCATGATTCGTTCAACCTGGGACCCGCGGAGTTTGACATGTCTGTAGGGCAACTGGTGCATATGTGCATTAAACTTGCAACCATGGCACTAAAGTTTTGAAATGAGTCTGGGCGTAGAAAGAGAGCTGCGAGGATCATAGGGAAGTCTGGGATAAAAGCATAGGATGGAATAAGACCTCCCAGAGTTTGGGGGCAATGTAATATAAGAAGAGGGCTAAGGAGTAGGGTCTGGGGAACAAAAATGCTTAAGATGCTGGAAGAAGAAGAGAAGGCTGAGAAAGAACAGTCAAACAATTTTGGCTAACTGGGAACAAAAAGCATCTGAAAAACCAACGGGCTGCTAATGGGCGTGGGTTTATTTTGGGGGGAGATGAAAATGTTCTAAAATCGACTGTAGGGATGACTGCAGAACTCTATGAATATACTGAAAACCGCTGACTTGTGCACTAAAAGTGGGCGATTGTATGGTTTGTGGATTGTATCTCCATGAAGCCATTATCGAGAGAGAGAGAGAAAGACATTTTTTCTTAAAAAAAAAAAAAAAAGCAAAAAAACAAAAAAACAAAACAAAACAAAAAAGCAATGAATACCTATGTCCAATACAGCCAAAGGTCAATAAAGAAACGGCTAAAAAGTAGTCTTTGATGTTGCTAATTAGGACAGTAGCGTTGATCTCAGGGAAGGAGGCATCAATAAAGTGAAGGGAACAGAAAGCATATGGCAATAGGTTGGGTGAGAAGGGAGTTAGTCGTTTCTAGGGTAGGTCGGTGGTTAACAATCACAGGCAGAGTTCGGAGCTGGTAGTGAGGAAGTGGAAAGGAGGTGGTGGCAAGAGGGGTGACGTGATGGGGCCCATTCCTAGAGGAGAAAGGGGAGGAGGGCAGGGGACCCAGAGCTTGGGGTGGGGTGCTTTGGGCAGAAGGAGACACCATGATGCCACTGAGTTTGGCAAATGAGGCAAAAGAATGAACAATGTTCACCTTCGATGTTCCCTTTTGTTCACAATGTAGGAATCCAGGCCACCGCTGAGGAGGGAAGCCGCAGTGTGGTGAGGAGATCAGGAAAGGTAGGAACAACTTGGGGTACCAGCTACACAGAACAGAAAATGTACAGGCTGGGGACAGGTGCAGGAACTGCACCCCAGTGCCCAGGACCCAGGTGCGATGTGAGATCAGGTGTCTTAGTTCCTTCTGGCTGCTACAACAAAATATCATAAACTGGGTAGATTCTAAACAACTGACATTTACTTCTCACAGCTCTGGAGACTGGGAAGTCCAAGATCAAGGCATCAGCAGATTTGGTGTCTGATGACCTGGTTCCTAGATGGCACCTTCTTCCTGCGTCCTCATGTGGTGGAAGGCAAGCTCCCTTGGGGCTCTTTTATTTATTTATTTTAAGAAACATAACATTTTAATAGATGAAATAAATACTCCAGTACATGCAAGGTAAAAACTTGACGTTGGGGCAAAAAAAAATCACTCTATAGTGTAAATTAAAAAATAAAACACATGCTCACAGTAGCTTCCCCCCATTTGCAAATCACTGGGGCTCTTTTATAAAAACACCAGTCTCATTCATGAGGACTCCACCTTCATGACCTAACCACATCCCGAAAGGCCCCGCCTCCAAATCATGACCTTGAAGGAGGTTAGGGTCTCAACCTATGAATAAGGGGGGACACGGATATTCCAACCCCACACCATGGATTTGTGATTGTGTTGAAAAGAATTTGAGCCACTTGGCTGGGCACGGTGGCTCAAGCCTGTAATCCCAGCACTTTGGGAGGCTGAGGTGGGCAGATCACCTGAGGTCAGGAGTTCAAGACCAGCCTGGCCAACATGGCGAAACCCTGTCTCTACTAAAAATACAAAACTTAGCCATATGTGGTGGCACACGCCTGTAATCCTAGCTCTGTAATCCTACTCTGGAGGCTGAGGCAGGAGAATCATTTGAACCTGGGAGGCAGAGGGTGCAGTGTGCCGAGATTGCACTACTGCACACCAGCCTGGGTGACAGATCTAGACTCTGTCTCGGAAAAAAAAAAAAAAAAGAATTGGTCACTTTAGAGTGTAAATTCTCAGAGAAACACAACAGTGGCTGATTTTGAGGTTATTTGAGTTGAATCCCCTTCCATTCCCTGAATGAGAGCAATGAGAATGAGAACAGAGCTTTTATTTATTTATTTTTTTGGAGACAAGGTCTCACTATGTCACTCAGGCTGAAGTGCAGTGGCACAATCATAGCTCTCTGCAGCCTCAAACTCCTGGGCTCAGGCGATCCTCCCGCCTCAGCCTCCCAAATAGCTGGGACTACAGGTATGCTACTGCACCCAGCTGAGAACAGAATTTTTAGGAACAGAACCCAAGACGGGCACATCAGCCATGACAAATGGTGCCTTGGAAGTTGCTATGCTCTGGAGCCATTACTTGTTTATAAGGTGTGGGACTAGTCCATGTTCTCCAACCAGACTGTGACATAAAACACTCATCTTCCCTTCCCTCCTTTCCAAACAGTTCCTGGGCTTCTGATTCCCTCTTTCTCTCTCCATACTGTGTTCCTCCTTTATTCTAGCAATACTTTGTTAAAGTCTTTAAAGACCTTTCATTACAGTAGCAACACATGCTCATATAAAATAGAAAAAATTATTAAGAAGAAAAAAAATTATCCATAATATTTTATCTAGACATAACTACTGATAGTATTTGGTATATCTCTTTCCAATATCTTTCCATGCACCTATACCTATATACCTATACCTACATGCACCTATGTTTTAACATTGTTAAGGTCAAATGTGCAATTTTGTTTTCTAGCTTTTTTTTTTTTTTTTTGAGATGGTGTCTTACTCTGTTGCCCAGACTGGAGTGCAGTGGTGCAGTTATGGCTCACTGCAGCCGGAAACTCCCCAGGTTCAGATGATCCTCCCACTTCAGCCTCCTGAGTAGCTGAGACTACAGGCATGCACCACCACGCCCAGCTCATTTTTGTATGTTTGGTAGAGACAGGGCTTTGCTATTTTGTTCAGCCTAGTTGCGAACTCCTGGGCTCAAGCAATCCACCCACCTCAGCCTCCCAAAGTGCTGGGATTACAGATGTGAGCCACCATGCCTGGCCTTGTTTCCTAACTTTCAACCTAAATGTCTACCCTTTAAAAACCTTCTCCTAGTTATTAAATCTAATTGTAAACACAATTTTCATGGCTGTATAATATTCGACATACAGATATACCATAACATAGGAACATTCTTGTGTTCTTAGTTTGTTTCGATTTTTATTGTATTAAAAATGCGACAAAAGCAAAGGAACTCTAATTTTTGTCCACAGCTCTTGCTTCCTAGAAATCGAACTATTAGTTCAAGTCACCATGAATATTTTAAAGATTCTGGATACCTGCTTCCCAATTGCTTTTCAGAAGGCTCATTATTCTTCTGGACTTACTCGACACAAGTCATGTTCAAGGGAGCCTTGTTCCAACTTCCATGGTGCTTTCTCCAGAAGCTGCCTATCAAACTGGTTAAGAGCAGGGACTCTGGAGCAGAATTATTTATCCTAGACTCCCACCTCTGCCACGGCTGTTGTCTTTCGGGAAGCTACTTAGCTTTTTGGTGCCTCCATTTTCCCATCAATAAAATGGGAGGATAATGACAGTGCCTATTACATAGGGTTCTTGAGAGAACTAAAAGTATCAGAATTTGTAAAGTGCTTTCCTAGCATATAACAAGTGCTATATGCCGGGCATGATGGCTCACGCCTGTAATCCCAGCACTTCGGGAAGCCAAAGTGGGCAGATCACTTGAAGTCAGGAGTTCGAGACCAGTCTGGCTAACATGGTGAAGCCCCGTCTCTACTAAAAATACAAAAATTAGCTGGGCATGGTGGCTCACGCCTGTAATCCCAGCTACTCTGGAGTCTGAGGCAGAAGAATCGCTTGAACCTGGGAGGCAGAGGTTGCAGTGAACCAAGATTGCCCCACTGCACTCCAGCCTGGGCAACAGAGTGAGACTCCGTCTCAAAAATAAATAAATAAAAAAAAAAATAACAAGTGCTATGTATGTGTTTGTTAAATTAAATTGATTATATAGACTAGAAGCTTGAGGGCAGAGACTATATCATGCCTGTCTCGGTATTCAGAGCTCCCAGCTTGGTGACTGGCACACAGGTACTCAATAAATAAATGTTTATTGAAGTGCACAGAACCTTGGCCACATTGAATATTTTCATCACTATTTAATATTTGCTGATTTGATAGTCTGACATTGTATCTTGTGCTAATTTATATTTCTTTTACCATGAATGAAGTTTGATAGATTTTTAAAAAATGATTATTGGCCATCTATTTTTCTGCTTTCATTCATCTGTTCCTGCTTTTTGCTTACCTAACTATTGAGATTCTAGTATTTTTCTCATAAAATAAAGATCCAGGGCCAGGCGCAGTGGCTCACGCCTGTAATCCCAGCACTTTGGGAGGCCGAGGTGGGCGGATTACTTGAGGCCAGGAGTTCGAGACCAGCCTTGGGCAACAAGGCGAAAGCCCGTCTCTACTAAAAATGCAAAAATTAGCCAGGAATGGTGGTGCCCACCTGTAATCCCCGCTACTCAGGAGAATCGCTTGAGCCTGGGAGGCAGAGGTTTCAGTGAGCCGAGATCATGCTATTGCAATCCTGGATGACAGAGTGAAACTCCATTTCCCCCCAAAAAAAATCCAAATTATTTTCAATAATTATTATAGATATTTTTCCTGGTTTCTTGTGTGACTTTCAATTTCATGTATGCTGGGCTTTGAGAGCAGAGTAAACAGAGGGGCTTACAAAGCCCTCCTCATTCACAGGCTTGAGAAATATCTACTTCTGTCTCCTTTCACATTTTGTATGTTCTGAGTTTTGTATGTTTCTAATAGTTAAATAATTAACAAAACAGCTAACTCTCTACCTAATAAATGACGTGAGAACCACGTCATTTTTTTTTTGGAGACAAACTTATTTTTGTCTGCATGTCCTAGCTTTTAGGAAGCTTAAAATGATCATTGAGGTGTGATGTGTCCAAGTAAATTACAACTTGCAAGGCTTTGAAATTGACTCTGAAAAGCCAATAAAAAGGTTCTGTTTAATAACTCCTTTCTTTCATTTTCTTTTCCTTGTTCATTACGTTAGATACCACTGTTAACAGCCCACATTTTCTTGATAAGCTATCTTATCCTGGTGGTTCACCACTGGGAAGGATCCTGCACCCTCAGGGGACATTTAGCAATGTCTAGAGATATTTTTGGTTGTTTACCACTTGGCTGGGCAAGGAACGGGGGAGATCCTACTGGCGTTTAGTGGGTAGAGGCTATGGATGCTGCTAAACACCCTGTGATGCACAAGAAGGCCTCCCACTACAAAGAATTGTCTGGCCCAAAATGTCAATGATGCTGAGGTGGAGAAACCCTATTTTAAACTGAAGTGTACAATCTAGTTGAAATAAGGTGCTTTTGGCCAGGCGTGGTGGCTCATGCCTGTAATCCCAGCACTTTGGGGGGCCGAGGCAAGGTGAGCGGATCACTTGAGCCCAGGAATTGAGACCAGCCTGGCCAACATGGCGAAACCCTGTCTCTACTAAAAATACAAAAATTAGCTGGGTGTGGTGGCGTGCACATGTAATCGCAGCTACTTGGGAGGCTGAGGATGGAGATTCACTTGAACCTGAGAGGTAGAGATTGCAGTGAGCCGAGATCACATCACTGCACTCTAGCCTGGGCGACAGAGCAAGACTCTGTCTTGAATACAAAGAAAAAAAAAAAAGAATAAGGTGCTTCTGCAAACTCTGAGGCTATTCTCGGGATGTCAAGAAGAAAATGCCGTGAGATGAACCATTAAGGTTTCCTCTGAGCCTCTTTAGTTCTGCCCATTGCAAGATTTGGGCCTCTCTGGGAATAGAGGAGCTGACATGAAGGCTAAGGAAATAATATTGGTCCAAAGATCATCTCTTAGAGATCTGTGTATGTTTTCTCTGTGAATCAGGCTTGTACTCCTTCCCATGATGCTGCCCACCTAGACATCACACAACTTGATAAAATCTCCCAGGATTTAAAAAGCTTGGCAAGACTCGTTTTTTATATTCTGTCACGTTCTTCAGGACTCAAACTCCTATAGCTACTGAAACTGGGTTCTGATGCCTTGTGCCTGATGTCCTAGCACAGCCAGAGCCCTACTTGTGGAGTAACCCTTAGTGATTTTTAGTGCTTCCTTTGTCCCATCTGATGTCTTTATTTATAAACGGGTTTAATTCTGGACCTATTATACTGTTGATTTCACTGATTTAAATACTATAACTTTATACTGTGTTTTAATATCCCATTGGCCAAGTCTCACTTATTCCTTCTATCCCCACTCAACCAGAAAGACAGGATCTTGCTCTGTTGCCTAGGCTGGAGTGCAGTGGCATGATCACGCCAACCAGGCTGTCACCTCAGCCTTCTGAATTGCTGGGACTACAGGCACACGCTACTATGCCTGGCTAATTTTTAAATTTTTTTTGTAGAGACGGAGTCTCGTTATGTTGCCCAGGTTGTTCTCAAACTCCTGGCCTCACTCAGGTGATCCTCCCACCTCGACCTCCCAGAGTGGTGGGATTACAGGCATGAGCCACCATACCCAGCTCAATCAATTATTTTCTTCAAGGTCTTAAGTTTTTATTCTGTATTCCAGATGAGATTAGAATATATCTGCCATTTCAATAAAAGTTCCATTGGAATTTTGATTCAGAGCACAATGATCTATGCATTAATCTGAAGGAAATAAAAGAAAAACCCGTAGTGTTATTTATTTTGCTTTCTGAGAGCATGATATGTTTTTTCACTTAAATCAACTCTTAGTTTAGTTTTCAGTAGTTTAATTTGTATCAATTCTGTATATTTCTTATTAAGGTTATTCCTGTGTGCTTTATATTTTTGTTGTTACTAGAAATGAAGTTTCCATATTTCTGACTGGTTATTGATAAGAAAAACAGACTGCAATGTTTGTGTTGCATTCAGCTACCTTGAATTTCATTTTCTTTTTTTGGAGACAGGGTCTTGCTCTGTTGCCCAGTCTGGAGTGCAGTGATGCAGTCTTGGCTCACAGCAACCTCTGCCTCCTGGGCTCAAGCGAGCCTCTCATCTCAGCCTCCCCAGTAGCTGAGACCACAAGGGTACATCACCACGTCCAGCTAATATTTGTATTTTTTGTACAGACGAGGTTTTCCTATGTTGCCCAGGCTGGTCTCAAACTCCTGGGCCCAAGCAATCCACCTTCCTTGACCTCCCAAAATGTTGGGATTACATACATGAACCATTGTGCCCGGCCTTGAATTTCATTTTCAATTTGTGTGTAATTTTAAGTGATTCTCTTGACAATTTTCTCTCTTTTCTTTTTTTTTGAGACAGAGTCTCGCTCTGTTGCTCAGGCTGGAGTGCAGTGGCGTGATAACTTTATCTCATTTTAATTGTTCCTCTTGTTTTGATTTCATAGAATTGTCTACAACTTTCAGAAAATGTTAAATAAGATGATCGTAGTTCTCATTCATTCGACAAGAGTGACATGACTCATTTTGTTTCTGCTTTTGGTAGAAGCACCTCTCATGTATCACCTTTGGCTGGGCTGACTTTCCCCACTCCCTGGTGAAATTTCCAATTCTCTTTTATGGGGTCTAAATTCTGATATAAATATTACATTCATGCCAGGTGCCCAACAAAATTCTCTGTAAGAGTTATGACAGAATGACAAGGTAATATACAGAAGAACAAAAATGACCGTTTAAGGAAGAAATCTGAGAAGAAAAATGACTCCTGCTAGAGATGTACCTACTAAGGCATGGATTCCTTCCAGTCATTCATTAGAGTTCGTGCTTGACTCTAGCTGAGAATGAAAGTAATGTGGAACTATCACTTTTAATGGCAAAAACAGCAGTGACTTTTACACCAATCTAATGGTTCCATCCCATCATTACCTTAGATTCTAAACTAATAGGAGGGAGGCTCCAAATGTCAATTGTTAATAAACTTGGAACCACACTGGCCACAGAAGTATCTTAATGTGCTTATTTCCTGAGAATAATGATCTCAGTAGGCTCCCTAAAATAGGAGTGGGCTGCCCTGTATAGTGCCTGCTGTGCCCAGAAGCCAACTGAATTCTACAAAGGGCACCAATTATTCTGAAAATGACACTCACAATACCTTTCCATTTTAATAATATACGCTTTAATGTTTTTTAACCGTCCATTCATTTGCAGTTGTTGCCCAGATGAGGAGGGACGTGATTTGATTGGTAATGTCACATTTCTTTGCAGGGCACCAAGCCTCATACATAATACAAATATCTGACTATCTGTGACTACATAAACTCGACAATTGAGGGCTGATTTGTCACCAAATATCATCTCTCTTTACTAATTCAGTGTGTCTCTAGAGAACTTCTTTCTTTCTTACAAGCTCAGCACTTCCTCATGTTTAATAAAAGATTAGGTTTCCCAAAAAATAGCTGAGCAGGTTAAAATGGAATCATGCTTACAAGGCCTGATGCAACAGTTCCCAGTTTCTCACTAAAATACTTGCGAAAGAACAAAAAACAATAAACACCGAAATTAGATGAGAATCTTATGGGAATTCACAATGAAAGGCCTGTGATGCTGGATTCACAGACAGGATAGGAGGGCCTTGTGTAGGTCCATCAAGCTTCCTGCTCTTGAGTATGAAAGGAAGGAGGACCAGGCTTTGAGAAACTCTCAGTGTGTGTCCATCTCACATAGGCCCTGAGAGCCTCAGACTGAACCAACAGCAAAGCTGGGCACACGTCTTTGTTCTGAGGCAGCCAGAGAGCTCTTAGCTCCTCTCCACCTCCACTCTCATTTTAACTTCCTTCTCTGTCCATACAGAGCTGCAGTTCCCTGATAGCATTCTGCTCCCAAACAGAGGAGAATGGCGAGATTCCTGGGAGGAGGGTTCTCTTCTGCAGAGCATTGCATGTTTGCCAAGGAGGAAAAAGAAACGCGCTGTGGCAGAGGTTTTCCCTATATTCTACATTTTTGTGTTTCAATGAGCCAGGAAATAAGGCTATGAGAAGACCCCCATCTCAGTCTAGCAGAAACTTATTGGAGGGTCATTTGCTAAAAACAAAGCAAAACAAAAATCCCTGGAAACTTGCAGGCAGCCCTGGAAATGTGTTCATCCACCAACACAAGAGAAAGCTTTATGGACCTACAAAAGGCCTCCTGTAATATCTGTGAGTCCAGCATCACAGGCCTTTCGTTGTGAATTCCTGTAAGATTCGCATTTAATTTTGGTGTTTATTGTTTTTTGTTATTTCAGAAGTATTTTAGTGAGAATTTGGGAACTGTTGCACCGGGACTTGTAAGCATAATTTCATTTTAACCTGCTCAGCTATTTCTTGGAAATGTAATCTTTTATTAAACATAATATTAAGTGCTGAGCTTGTAAGAGAGAAAGAAGGGGGATTCTACAAAAGGGCCGGTTGGAAGAACCAAGCACTTGCTATTCTGTTGGTAAACACCAGCTCAGCACACATTTCTTCCTGTCCAAGGATAAAAGAACAGAAAACAAAAATTTCACCTTGAGCCTCTGGAAACACAAGGTAAAGGGAAGATAATTGTGACTGCTCAGATTAAATATGCCATCTTTGAAATTTATTTTCTAATGAAAAGGAAGGAAATTGAGCATTTCCTTCTTCTTCTTAACAGGATGCAGAAAGATCCTGCAATGGGAAATGAGGAGAGGGGCTGGGGGGAAGATAATATCAACCCAGGCCTCAAAATATTTCTGTTAGTGTTCAAATCTAGTATCCCACAAATAATAAAAAATAGTGTGGCCTATGAAGAGACAACACATTATGAACCCAAACCAGCAAAAACAGCAGAGAACAGAAACAGACTTGGAGGGAATTCCAATATTGAGGCTATCAGACACAGACTGTAAAGCAATGTGGTTTACAATGTTCATGGAAGAAAAAACCAAGCTTGAGAATGTTGTCAATCTAGCCAAGGAGTAGTGTTGGAAAAAAACAAAAAACAAAAAAAAAAAAAAAAAAAAGAGAGAGAGAGGGAGGGAGGGGGGGGGAGAGAGAGAGAGAGAGAGAGAATGTTGGCAATCAATTGGAAACTATCAGAAAGAACACAGACATTGCAAATAAAGAAAAATAGTTGGATCACCTGAGGTCAGGAGTTCGAGACCAGCCTGGCCAACATGGTGAAACCCCGTCTCTACTAAAAATACAAAAATTAGCTGGGCATGGTGGCACTTGCCTGTAGTCCCAGCTACTCAGGAGCCTGAGACAGTAGAATCGCTTGAACCCAGGAGGCAGAGGTTGCAGTGAGCCGAGATTGCACTACTGCACTCCAGCTTGGGCAACAGAGTGAGACTCCATCTAAAAAAAGAAAGAAAGAAAAGAAAATATCCCAAAATTTAAAACTCAATAGTTGGGTGTAACAGCAGATTGGACATGGCTGATAAAAGGATTTAGGAACTGAAATGTAGGTCAAAATGAATACTCCTGAATGATACCGGTAGAGGACAGAGAATACAAGAGACATAAAGCATACTGTGAGAAGATCTGACATAAGGTTTATTCCAGAGTTTCACAAGGAGAGGAGATAGAGAATGAGGCAGAAGCAATATGTGGGGGCTTAAAGGCTAAAATATACAAGCCATGGTTTGAAGAAGCCCAACAAAGCCCAAGGAAGACACATAAAATGAAATCCACAACTGGACACGTCATAGTAAAACTTGAAAAATGCAAAGACATAGCAAAAACCTCCAAAGAGGCCACAGAAAAAATAAGAAGTTACTCTTAAAGAAGCAATAGAGAGACTGATGGCTGACAGATTGCCCTCAAGAAATAGCATCCAGATAGAGAAGACTCATCTCAACAACAATGGATACAAGAAGACACTGGAATAATATAATCTCATTTGAATGAGAAAGTGACTGCTTGCTTAGAAATTTATTCCAGAAATAAGGGGCATAACTTAGAAATTAGAAGACAAAATTACAGTTATTGAACTGTATAGAATCATATATCCATAGAAGCTAAGAGACTAAGGTTCAATAGGGTGAATAAAATTCAGCAAAACCCAATGACTTCTGTAAGCCAAAATACT
Source organism: Homo sapiens (assembly GCF_000001405.40). Lineage (NCBI taxonomy): Eukaryota > Metazoa > Chordata > Mammalia > Primates > Hominidae > Homo > Homo sapiens. Next base: position 71,899,060 of record NC_000007.14, read on the forward strand.
AAAATATAAAGAAAAATTCCATTCACCACAAATACACAACTTCTCTCTCTCTCTCACTCTCCCTCCCAGGCCCCTGCAGAGACATCTTTTTTTTTTTTTTTTTGAGACGGAGTTTCACTCGTCGCCCAGGCTGGAGTGTAATGGCGCGATCTCGGCTCACTGCAACCTCCACCTCCTGGGTTCAAGCGATTCTCCTGCCGCAGCCTCCCCAGCAGCTGGGATTACAGGCATGTGCCACCGTGCCTGGCGAATTTTGTATTTTTAGTAGAGATGGAGTTTCTCCATGTTGGTCAGGCTGGTCTCGAACTGCCGACCTCAGGTGATATGCCCACCTTGGCCTCCCAAAGTGCTGGGATTACAGACGTGAGCCACCACGCCCGGCTGAGACACCTTCTATAAAATGCCAAGAAATGCTAACAAGAAATTTATGGGATGCTTATGAAAAACAGTAAGCATCACCACTGAAATTTATAAAGGAAAAATAAATATTTAGACAGGGATTTCATGTTCCTGAATGGCAAAAGCCTATATCTTAAAGGTCCTTAAAGTAATTTAATAAACATCTTGATGATATTTATTTTGGAATTAGAAAAAAAATCACTCTAAAGTTCATATGAACAAATAAACAGGAAAGAATAATGTGAGAGGGCCAGGTCTCCAGGTATTAAAGCATATAACATACTTCAGAATAACTGATACCATGTCGTAACAACAAAATGTCACCATATGGATGCATGGCATAGAATATGTCCGTACGTATATTAGGCACATTAAGACGTTTGATTCTCTGGAAAAAAAATGAGGTGAAATTCTCATCACATAAATAAATGTAAGCTCTAGAAGGACTGAAGAATTTAATGTTACTAAATCAAACTATAAGCCATAAAATTTAGGCAACTATTTAACTCATCACTATAAGGGCAAAACCTTTTAAATCATAAAACCCACGGAGTAAATAAAATAAAAACTTGCTAGACTTGTCTACTTTAAATTTTTTAAACTTTATCATGTCAAAAATAGGAGAACGAAGATGAAAATACAAAGGAAAACTTGCAAAATAGCTTCCATAATTGTGACAGACAAATTTTTAACATCCTGAATATTACGGCTTTTATAGATCAATAAGAAAAGCAGTTAAGGTCATAGAAAAAGAAAATGCAAATAACTATGGTTATTTTTTTAAATGGCTAATTTAAGACAAAGATGTCCATTTTCACCACTCCTATTCAAGAGGGTACTGGAAGTCTTAGCCAGAGCTATCTATCAAGAGAAAGAAAGACACTCAAATTGGAAAAGACAAAGTCAAATTATCTCTGTTTGCTGATGATATGATCTTATACCTAGAAAACCCTAAAGACTCTGCCAAAAGACTCCTAGATTTGATAAATGAATTCAGTAAGGTTTCAGGATACAAAGTCAATGTAGAAGAATTAGTAGCAGTTCTATACACCACTAACAATCAAGCTGAGAACCAAATCAAGAAGTTATTCCATTAAGGCAGGCAGTTAGTGAAGGAATGGGGCACAATTACTTGCAGGTGGCTAAGAGCAACACAAATGGGGCCAAACAGGTTAGCACAAGGACCCCAGTCAGTAACAGATGTTCCAGAAGGGGGCTAGGGCAGATGTCTGTGGTCACCTGTGGTTGGCAACTTCCTTG